>NC_000003.12:122190422-122493452 GCF_000001405.40 Homo sapiens | reverse complement strand
TTGATCTTCCTCCACTCTAACTCGTATATTGTTTCTCAATCTGTTTTTCCATTGTTGTAGATATGGCTGGGAGCTACACATACTGTTTTTTTTTTTTTCTTGTCCCTTTTATCATTGTGGGGTAGTATTTCTGAGACTAAAAGGATGGGAAGGCCTGATTCTACTATTTTTAATCTGTATGTCTCATTGTATAAGGTAGATTATTATGTTGATTAGTTTACAACTGGCATGAAAATTTTATTGACCTTGGGAAGAAAAACTATAATATGTTTTAATCCTGTTGTGAATAGAGCTGGACAGTTCTAGAATAGTGTAGTGGATTAATGATGAAGTATTGATGATAACAGTTAACTGTTGAGTGTTTGTTATGTCAGGTACTATTTTAAGCACTTAATGAATTAACCTTTCTAATCATCTCAACCAAACTCTGAGGTAGGTTATTATTTTCTGATATGTTATAGTTACACAATAATTGTGAATGTCTTTAAGTATCTGATTATGGACAAGATAAAGCATATGTATATAAAAACACTGAAATGGATAGAAAATAAATTCATAGCATTACTGGTCCTTTATCCGAAGCTCAGCTAAGTGGTTACAGCAGTTCAGTGTGAATGACCATTGCCGTAAAGAATAATAGCCTTTTTCTCTGGAAAGAACCTTTGCAATAATCTAGACCAGCAATGTTAAAATTATGTTCTGTGGAGCTTTGAGGCTCTGAGTTGAGTCTCCTGCTGCTTCTGTTCCCCCATGAAACGTTTGAAAATGGTTGAGCTATGCTGTCCAATATGAGATAGTCACTAGCTACAGTTAGCTATTGAGCATTTAATATGTGGCTAATTCAAATTGAGACATGTAAGTGTAAAATTTACATTGGATGTTGAAGCTTCCATATGAAAAAATAATGAAATCTCAATTTTTATACTGAAATATTCTAGACATGGGTTAAATAAAATATTAAAATTAATTTTATCTTTTATTTCCTTTTTCAAATGGCTGCTAGAAATTTTTAAAATTTCATTTGTGGCTTTCATTATATTTCTGTAGGACAGTGCAGATACAAACCATGTTTCTATTTTATACCAAAATTTTGAGTTTGAATGATTTGGCCAAGATTACATAGCAGATAAGTAGAACCAAGATCTTCTCACATCTGAATTAGTGTTCTTTCTACAGGATTGTGCAGCATTAGGTCCACCTGATAAAAGTTGTACTGGCACGCTGTGACACAAATCTTGTGTTTGTTTTGCAGAGCAGGATTGGAAAGAAAGCATAGTTAAAATGTGATGGTCGGGCCGGGCACGGTGGCTCACGCCTGTAATCCCAGCACTTTGGGAGGCCGAGACGGGCGGATCACGAGGTCAGGAGATCGAGACCATCCTGGCTAACACGGTGAAACCCCGTCTCTACTAAAAATACAAAAATTAGCCGGGCATGGTGGCGCGCGCCTGTAGTCCCAGCTACACGGGAGGCTGAGGCAGGAGAATGGCGTGAACCCGGGAGGCGGAGCTTGCAGTGAGTCGAGATCGCGCCACTGCACTCCAGCCTGGGCGACAGAGCGAAACTCCGTCTCAAAAAAAAAAAAAAAAAAAAAAAAAAAAATGTGATGGTCAAAGCATTGCTTTGCATGCTTAGCTCACCTCTTATAACTAACGATTAAATGATATTGATTATAGCTATTTAGATACCGTGGTACATCTCTTATTCTGTATGACCTCTATTACCTTTTTGGGATTATTTCATTTAATGTCATTTTAAAGATTTTCACAGTTGTCCATCATGCTGAGACGTTTTCGCTTGAGTAGTTGCATAACTTGCATGTTTTCCAACCTTTTACTGCATTATAAATTGTCTTTGACAAATTTAATGTGTTAATCTCATTCTTCCACTTTTATCAAACCAGTGTTTGTGCTTCTTTTGGCTAGTAGTATTAGTTGCATGTTTGTCAGTTTGCCCTTTGATTTCACCTGTTTAACCAACGGCCGCTACAGTTTTTATCACTGCATTAATAACATTTAACATATCTTGAAAGTGGTTGTACATTTTAAAAATATTTTCTGTTGCTAATTTTTTTTCTAGCAGTTTTGAATACTGTTGACATAGCTTTGCTGTTCTAAGTCAAATATTGGACGAGCAGTCGTGTTTTTCATGACCTGTAGTACTTAAAGATCACTAACAGCATCCCGCTGTACCAAACTGCCTGTGCGTATAAACTGCAATACCAATAGATGTAATGTTAGTGACTGGGTATGATTTTGGAATCGTGTAAATGTTTTAAATAACTGTAAAACAAAATTAAAATGAGAGAAGAAATCCTCAAAAAGAAGGAAACAAGTGACCTGGTTTGTCATGCTTGTGGCTAAGCCACACAGAGAAGAATTATTTTAGTATACCTTTAAACTGTGGTAATTTGACTAATTTCCTCTGCTAGTTTATATCTTAAGGACAAAAAAGAAGTATAAATGAATCTTCACTTGCTTTTGGTAATCATATAAAATTGGTAGTTATGAAACTATATATACATTTGTATATGAATAAAGGAAATTCATATTTATATTAATATTAGAAACCTGATACTTTTAGTTTAAGAAAATAAGTAAATAAGAAAATTAAAGAAGTTAAGTAAGTTTGAATTGGTAATATCACTGGGAATTTATGATATATTTTCTTTAATAAAACAAAACACCAGCTCTGTCCTGAGAAGGCCTAGAAATAGCAAATTACCTTTTTGCAGTGAGCACTGGCATTCTGAGGTATTTAGAATTTTTTCTCAAAGGAACCAGGTTCCTTGCAAAAATAACTGGTTCTTGGTTAAAGATAGGGAATATTTTATAAAGCAAAGAAGTTTTCTGAGATCACTGGAGTTTTGTTGAAAAGACTCAGAGCCAACTTGAACTAGCTCCTAGCTCCCATTGGGTAAAAATAGGGTATTTTGAGTATCAGAAAAGGTTATAAAGACTTCTGCTTCTGGCCAAAATGGAGTATTAGGACCAGGATTTACCTTCCTACCTGAAGGAACCAGGAATAAACAGATAAAATACATGAAAACAGCAGTTCAAGACACTAGGCATTAGGCAGTGGAAGATAGTGATCTCTAAAGATGGGAAACAAATGAGATAAATCCTGTGATTATCTCAGCTTTCTAGTTGTAAACATAGAAAGAGGCGCTAAGGCAGAGCCCACAGCCTCGCTGCCTTGAGGCAGAGCTCAGAGTCTGTGAAGACCAGGCAAATAGAGTTTCGTAGGATGGAATATCAAAGAAGAGAGACCTGTATATTGAGTGAAGCCTGAAAATCTTCAAAGGCTTTCCTCAGATATTCAGCAGAATGCTGATTAGCACATGTGTTTGAGGAAACTACCCAAGGTTAGAGAAAATATCATTTTAAAGGATTAGACGGAACAGTGCCTGGTACTTACACAGGGCTGGAAACAGTGCCTATCCCTCTAGCTGGACTGGAGAAACTCATAATTCATGAGGGATTAGGTAGAGTATTCAGGAGAGCCTTGCCTCAGTAGTGGAGATTAATGAGCTGTATACTTAGTACTGCTCCATACTTAACCTGACAAATGAAAACAAGGTCCAAAAGGATCAAACAGTTTCCATATAACTTAGCTGTATACCGAAATGGAGCTCAAGAATGTTTATAGGAATACGAAAATATCCAGTACACGAGGTAAAATTGACATTGTCTGGCATCCAAAGATTGTGACGTATACAAAAAAGCAGGAAAACACAACTGTAATGGGGAGAATGATCAGTTGAAACTGACTCGACTGATAAAGATGTTAGAGTTATCAGGTAATAAAATATAAATGGTTATTATAACCATACCATATTCCATGTGTTCAAAAAGTTAGAGACATGGAAGATAAAAAAAGACTCTGCCAGGCATGGTGGTTCACACCTATAATCCCAGTGCTTTGGGAGGCTGAGGTGGGAGGATCGCTTGAGCCCAGGAGCAACATAACGAGTCTACCAAAAGATAAATAAATAAAAAACTTAGCCAGGCTTAGTGGCGCACGCTATAGTCCTAAGTCCCAAGGTTGAGGTGGGAGGATGGCTTGAGCCCAGGAGTTTGAGGCTTCATTGAGCTATGACTGTGCCACTGTGCTCCAGCCTGAGTGACAGAGTGAGACCCTCTTAAAAAAAAAACAAACAAAAAAAAACAAACAAAGTAAAAAGGTATAAAAAGACTCAATTTGAACTCCTGGAGATAAAAACTGTGATGTCCAAGATGAGAAATTCCCAAATGGGATTGATTGCAAATTAAAAATTGCAGAAGAAAAGATTAGTGAACTCTGGGCATAGGAATAGAAACCATCAAGAATGAAAAAGAGGTAAAATAACCCACCCCCGCCCTGCCCTGACACACACACACACACACACACACACACGCACGCAAAAAAACCCACAAGCGAGTTATGGGACAACTTCAAGAAAGCTAAATACAGGCAATTGGAGTCCGTAAAGGAAAAGAGAGGGTGGAAGAGAAAAAATATTTAAAGAAGTAATGGCCGAAAACCTTTTATAATGAAGAACTGTAAATCCACTGATTGAAGGAACTAAGTGAATCCCCATCACAAGAAAGATGAAGAAAACTACGTCATGGCATATCATAGCCAAACTGCTCAAACCCAAACTTAAAAGGAAACTCTTAAAAACGCCCAGAGTAAAGACATGTTACCTGCAGAGGAACAGAGATAAGGATGACATCACAGTTCTCGTTGTAAACAATACAAGCCAGAAGACAGTGGAGAATCGTTTAAGGAAACTGTCAACTAAAGAATTCTTCACCCCCAGACGTTGCACTGAGACAGAAGTAAAATAATGTCCTGGATTACTTGAGCAAATCCCAGCTATCAAATTATTTTATCTGTAAATACTTCAATATGTATCTCTACAGAATAAAGATTCTTTTTTTCTTTTCTGGAGACAGAGTCTCATTCTGTTGCCCATGCAGGCTAGAGTGTAGTGGTGTGATTACAACTCACTATAGCCTCAACCTCCCAGACTCAAAGTGATTCACCTCAGCCTCCCTGGTAGCTGAGGCTGCAGGCACGCACCACTACATCTGGCTGATTAAAAAATTTTCTTGTAGAGATGGGGTCTCACTATGTTGCCCAGGCTGGTCTCAAACTCCTGGCCTCAAGCAATCCTCCTGCCTTGGCTTCCCAAAGTGCTGGCATTACAGGAGTGAGCCACTGTGCCCAGTCCCGGATAAAGATTTTTAAACTTAAAAATCATCAAAGAGCGCAGTCAGCTTTTCACCTCAAATTTTAGCAGTCTTCCATGGTCCCTTCCTAGATCCATTACTTTTATAGGAGTTACGGGGATCATTTCTTCTGCTTTTATTAGCTGGAAGGTCATTCAGAATAGTGTTATCATACTTTAAAAAGTTAGTTTTTTAATATTAAGCATCTAGTCAACATTCAGATTTTCTACATTGTCACAAAATCTTATGTTTGTTTCTTAGAGTCAGAAACTAAGTCATACATTGTATTTGGTGCTGTCTCTTAACTGTTTTAAAAAATTTTTATTAATAATTGGTGAAAAAATTTTTCCTCTTACTCATTTTTAAGTGTACAGTTCAGTAGTGTTAACAATATTCACATTGTTATATAACATATATCTAGAACTTTTTCATCTTGCAGAATTGAAATTCTATGCCACATTAAACAAGTATTCCTCATTTCTCCTTTCCCAGCTTCTGATAACTGGCATTCTACTTTCTGTTTCCATGATTTTGATTTCTCTAGATATCTCATATAAGTAGACTCGTACAATATTTGTCCTCTTGTAACTGACTTATTTCACTCAGCATAATGACTTCAAGGTTCATCTGTATTGTAGCTTGTGACAGGATCCCTTTTTCTTTAAGGCTGAATAATATTCCATTGTATGTATTACCACATTTTCCTTATTCATCTGTTGATGGACATTTGGGCTGCTTCCACCTCCTGGCCCATGTGAATAATGCTGCAATGAGCATGAGAGTGCAAATATCTCTTTTGATATTCTGTTTTGAATTCTTTTGGACATATACACGTAAGTGGGATGTCTAGATCATAATGATAATTTCATTTTTAATATTTCAAGAGCCTCCCTACTGTTTTTCATAGTGGGTACACGTTTTATTTTATGGTAGTTTTGATTTCCATTTGTCTAATGATAAGTGATGTTGAGCATCTTTTCATATGCTTGTTGGCATTTGTATGTCTTTGGAGAAATGTCTGGTGTTTTGCCTATTTTTTAATTTGGTTACTTGACTAATCCTTACATTCTGGTTTTGTCAGCCTGATCTGTCATTATAAAGAGGCCCGACAGCTTTTTACCTCAAGTTTTAGCAGTCTTTGATGGTCCCTGCCTAGATCCATTACTTTTATAGAGGTTACAGTGATCATTCCTTCTGCTTTTATTCGCTGGAAGGTCACTCAAAAGAAGACCTTTCCCTTAGCTACAGTTCACACAGGACAGAGAAATGCTTGATTCTCTTCCTGTATTTGTTTTCAGAATAATGAGTTGGTTTCTTAGCATCCTCCAAAGGGATGAAATAGTGTGTGCTTTAATATCATTAAGAATGTACAGAATTGTAATCCCAGCACTTTGGGAGGCTGAGGCGGGCGGATCACGAGGTCAGGAGATCAAGACCATCCTGGCTAACATTGGTGAAACCCCGACTCTACTAAAAATATAAAAAATTAGCCGGGCGTGGTGGCGGTGCCTGTAGTCCCAGCTACTTGGGAGGCTGAGGCAGGAGAATGGCGTGAACCTGGGAGGTGGAGCTTGCAGTGAGCTGAGATCGCGCCACTGCACTCCAGCCTGGGCGACAGAGCGAGACTCCGTCTCAAAAAAAAAAAAGAATGCACAGACTTTAACATAGATACTTTCAAAAATAGGTTTATGACAGTCTGGTTGACAGTCTGTGAAAACCATCACCATAGTTAAGTTGTGAACATATTCATCTCACCCAGAGGTTTCCTAGTGCACCTTTTTAGTACATTTTTCTCTACCTCTTTCCTCTGATCTATTTTCTGTTACTACTGATTAGTTACCATAAATGGAATTATGCAACGTGTATTCTTTTTCTTTCTAGTTTCACACAGTTTAATCATTTTGGTATTCACTTATTGTTTTGTGTATGAATTGTTCATTCCATTTTATAATTGAATAGTATTCTTTTGTATGGATAAACAACAACTGGTTTATCCATTCACT
The DNA here is from genome assembly GCF_000001405.40 of Homo sapiens. Lineage (NCBI taxonomy): Eukaryota > Metazoa > Chordata > Mammalia > Primates > Hominidae > Homo > Homo sapiens. The sequence continues at coordinate 122,486,236 of NC_000003.12, read as the reverse complement.
TGTTGATGGAAATTTGGATTATTTCCAGTTTTTGGTGATTACAAATAAAATTGTTAGGAACACTCGTGGACAGCTTTTTGTGTGGATATAACTTTTCTTTTCCCTCAGGTAAGTGTCTAGAAGTGATATGGCTGGGTTGTATAGCTGGTGTATACTTAGGAGCTGTCAACTGTTTGCCAAAATAGGTTGTACTATTTTACCTTCCCATGAGCAGTGTACAAGAGTTTGAGTTGCTGCACATCATTGTTAACATTTGGTATGGTCAGTCTTTTCTATTTCAGCTATTCTGAGGAGTATGTAGAAGTACTCCATGATGGTTTCAGTTTTCATTCACCTAATAAATAAAGTTGTAAGCATCTTTTCTTTTTTAAAAAAGTTTATTTTTAATTGGCAAATAATAATTATGTATATTTATCATCTTATATACTTCTTTGTGGTGCGAACATTTAATATTCACTCTTTCAGCAATTTTGACTTATGTAATACATTATTATTAACTGTAGTCACTATGCTATACGATAGATCACCAGTGAGCATCTTTTCATCGGCTTATTTGCTGTGTATCTACTTTAGTGAAGTCTGTTAAAAAAAAAATTCCTTTCCAGTTAAATTTTTTAACTGAGTCGATTGTCTTCTAGATATGTCTTTTGCTAGATACGTGTTTTACACATATTTTCTCCCAGTCAGTGGCTTGCCTTTTCATTTACAAAAGTAACATTTTAAAGAACAAGCATGTATATCTGATGTGAGGTACATGTTAAGGGTTCTTTTTTTTTTTTTTGGCATATGGCTATCCAGTCGTTCAGGTGCCATTTATTGTAAAGATTATTTCCCCCATTGAATTTCCTTGGAAACACTTACCGTTGACCATATCTGTATAGGTCTGTTTCTGGACCTCTACTTTGTTCTATTGGTCTATTTATCTAGCTTAAATACCATGCTGGCTGGTAACTGTAGCCTTAAGATTAGTTTCAAATCAGGTAGTGTTAGAGCTCCAACTTTTTCTTTTTCAAAATTGTTTTGGTCTGGGTGCAGTGACTCATGCCTGTAATCTCAGCACTTTGGGAGGCCGAGGCGGGAAGATTGCTTAAGCACAGGAGTTTGAGACCAGCCTGGGTAAGGTGGCGAGACACCATCTCTACAGAAAGAACAAAACAACAACAACAGCAACAACAACAAAACTAATTAGCATGCACCTATAGTCCCAGATACTCAAGAGGCCGAGGTAGAAGGATTGCTTGAGCCCAGAAATTCGAGGCAGCAATGAGGTATGATTGTGCCCCTGCACTCCAGCCTGGGCGTCAAAGCGAGATCTCATCCCTTAAAAAAAGTAAAACGTTGTTTTGGTTATTGTAGGTCCTTCACATTTATATGAACTTTAGAATCAGCTATTCAGTTTGTACATGAAAGCCTGCTGGGAATTTGATTGGGATTATGTTGAATCTATAAATCAGTTTGGAGAATTGATACTGTTAACAATCTTGAGTCCTCTGACCCATGAGCACAGTATCTTCATTTATTTATGTCATCTTTCTTTCTTCCTTTCCTTTGCTTTCCTTTATTTTATTTATTTTTTTTATTATTATTTTTTTTTGAGACGGAGTCTCACTCTGTCTCCCAGGCTGGAGTGCAGTGGTGTGATCTCAGCTCACTGCAACTTCTGCTTCCCTTGCTCAAACAATTCTGCTTCAGCCTCTCAAGCAGCTGGGATTATAGGCGCCCACCACCATGCCAGCTAATTTTTGAATTTTTAGTAGAGATGAGGTTTCACCATATTGGCCAGGCTGGTCTTAGGTGATCTGCCTGCCTCGGCCTCCCAAAGTGCTGGAATTACAGGCGTGAGCCACTGTGCCCGGTCATGTTTATTTTTTATAATTGAGATTTTATTGGTTGTGTTGAGGATTAGTATACAGACATTTCAGTTTGTACACAGTTCTTATGTACTAAAAATCTAAAAAGCTGTGTATTGTAATTCTTTTTTAAACAGTTATTCCAGTGAGTTTCCAGCTTAAAATCTGGAGGCAAATTTTTAAGAGGCTGTCCAGTACCAGTATCTTAAAATGTTAAGTTACTGCATACATCCCACCAATTCACAGTTTAATAGCATATATACTACATATTCAAATTTTCAATCTTTTGCAGTACATTAACAAAGTTATTAGGAAAACAGCACTACCATGACTGAAGATTTTACAGAGTATGCACAATTCTGATAGGGAGAGCCATGATCAAGGAGTGGTTTTCTTTAGGAAACAATTCTGCTAAAAAATAACATAGGAATAGAAGTAATTTAAAATATTCAAGACATTAAATGCAGGACTGTGATTCCATATTGCCATTTTGTATACTTTGTATTGTAGGATATAAAAACTAATCCCTCATCTATGGAATGTCAGAGCCTCCCATAATTCAGTATCCCACACTATTTTCTGGTTGTACCAAAAAATAAACAACCAGCAAATGATTTCACCTCTTAAGAAAAGCATTTACACTTAAAAAATGGGATGAGGTGGGATTCCCTCCTTTTAAAAATGTTTCTAGAGCTACTAGAAAACTTATATTTACAAAATAGTTTATGAAAATATTCCTCTAGGCTGGGCACGGTGGCTCACACCTGTAATCCCAGCACTTTGGGAGGCTGAGGCGGGTGGATCAGCTGAGGTCAGGAGTTCAAGACCAGCCTGGCCAATATGTTGAAGCCCCGTTTCTACTAAAAATACAAAAATTAGCCAGGTGTGGTAGTGGGCGCCTGTAATCCCAGCTACTTGTGAGGCTGAAGCAGAAGGATTGCTTGAACCTGGGAGGTGGAGGTTGTAGTGAGCCTAGACCATACCGTTGTACTCCAGCCTCGGCAACAAGAGTGAAACTCCAATTTAAAAAAAACAAAACAAAACAACAACAATGAAAAAACCAGAAAATTCCTGTGGATAGTACAAGAAGGGAAACAGGAATGACTCATAAGACAAGGTATGTGATATTAATCACACTTGGCTTTTTTTTCCTCTGGCTTTCTCAGTTTAGTTTCTCTGTTTTCTGTAGGTAGGTAAATCTTTAGTTTCTTGGTTTGCCACTGCGATGTATTTTCTCTGCTTTCCTTTTCACTTTTGTTTTGTCTGAAGATGTATCCTTTCCTGCTGCCTTTTTTGGTTTCCTGTCCACTTTTGTAGGAGCAGAGTTAGCTGAGAACTGTGCTGGGTCTCCACCTGGGCTCTTCCTTCACTATCCCTTCAGCTGAGCTGACCTTCCTTCCTCTTTGATATTTTGGTGGTGGAGAGGCGCGAGAGCCTTGGTGAAGCTAGGCTGCCTAGCTATTGCTGTCCTGTCCCGTCCCATCCCGTCCCATCCCGTCCTCCCCAGTCTCTACCAGCTACTGAGACCTGCTGCGGGGGTTAGGTCATCTTTACATTCTCTTAGCAATTTGTAGTTTTTGGTGTATAGGTCTTACAGATTTTTATCTTTTGTCAGATTTTTCCCTAAGTATTTCATTTTTATTGATGCTGTTGTAATTGTTATTTTTTAGATTTCAGTTGTTCATTGTTAATATGTAGAAATGCAATTTAATTTTGTATATTGATCTCCTAAAGCTTGCTGAACTCACTTGTTAGTTCTAGTCCCTTTGTTATAGATTCCATTGGGTTTTTTACATAGGCAATCATGTCATCTACAGATAAAAGTTTCCTTATTTTCCATTCTTATCTGGATGACTTTTATTTCTTTAACTTGTTTGGTTGTACTGACTAGAACTTAATGGTGCAGTGTTGAATGAAAATAATAAAAACAGACCTATCTGTTTTATTTCTGACCTTAGATGAAAAGTAGTGGGTCTTTCATTACCTGTGATGTTAATGACAGGTTTTTCATATATAGTCATGTACTATATAACTATGTTTCCATCAGCTATGGAGCACATATATGATGTGGTCCCATAAGATTATAATTACCATATTTTTACTGTACCTTTTCTATGTTTTGATATGCAAATTTTTACCTTTGGGTTAAAATCGCCTCCAGTGTTCAGTACAGTAACGTGCTGTACAAGTTTGTAGCCTAGGAGCAATAGGGCATATCATATCGCCTAGGCGTGTAGTAGCTATTCCATCTAGGTTTGTGTAACTACAATCTGTGATGTTCACATGATGATGAAGTCGTGTGATGTATTTCTCAGACTCTTGTTAAGTGATGCATGTGTGTATTTTATGAGATTAAGGAAGTTCTCTCTCTTTTTAAAAAGTTTTTATTTCTATGTATGTTCTTATACAGTATGCTAAAGAAAAACTTTTTTAGGAGAGTTTCTTTAAAACCTTAAAAAAAAATTTCATTGAGCCCAAAATGTCATATGACGTTAAGGAAGTTCTCTTCTGTTCCTAGTTGAATAGATATATAAATGTTTAGAGTTCTTACATCTTCTTGATGAATTGACTCCTTGATCATTATGAAATTACCTACTTTCTGATATATTATTTATCTTGAACCAACTTGTCTGACATTACAATACAGTCACTCCAGCTTTCTGTTAGCTAGCATTGGCTTTAAAACAGTTTCATTGAGATATAATTCACACGCTGTACAATTCACCCACTTGAAGTGTGTAATTCAGTGGTTTTTAGTATATTCATAGAGTTCCAGTACTTCACCACAACCAATTTTAGAACATTTTAGTCACCCGCTAAAAAACCCCTTATGCCCATTAGCAGTCACTCTCCATTCCCTCTGCTCCCCGCTTAGGACCCCTCAACCCTTATCTACTTTCTGTCTCTATAGATTTGCCTATTCTGGACATTTCATATAAGTGGAATCATACAGTATATGTGGTCTTTTGTGATTGGTTTCTTTAACTTAGTAGAGTGTGTTAAAGATTGATCCATGTTGTAACATGTATTGGTACTTCATTCCCTTTTCTCACTAAATATTCCATTGTGCAGATATACCACTTTTTGTTTATTGACTCAGTTGTTGGACATTTGGATTAACTTTTTTACTATTGTGAATAATGCTTCTGTGAACACATACAAGTTTTTGTGTGGATGTATGTTTTTATTTCTATGTATGTACTATACGGTATGCTAAGTACGGCACTTAGTACAGTATACTGAGAGTGGAATTGCTGGGTTATGTGGTAAATCTACATTTAATATTTTGTGGAACTGCCAACCTGTTTTCTACAAAAGCTGTACCATTTTACATTTTTATTAGCAATGTTTGAAGGCTTCAGTTTCTCCACCTTCTTGGAACACTTGTTATCTTTTTTGAGGCAGGGTCTCCCTCTATTGCCTAGGCTGGAGTGCAGTGGTGCCATTATGGTTCACTGCAGCTTTGAGCTCCCAGGGTCAAGTGATCCTTCCACCTCATCCTCCCAAGTAGCTAGGACTACAGGCACACGCCACCATGCCTAGCTAATTTTTTATTATTTTTTGTAGACACAGAGTCTCACTGTATTGTCCAGGCTGGTCTCGAACTCCTGGCCTCAAGTGATCCTCCTGCTTCAGCCTCCCAAAGCACTAGGGTTGCAGGTGTGAGGCACTGTGCCTGGCCTCAATGGTTTTTTTAAAATACTTTTTTTTTTTTAAATGAGAAAAGTTTAAAAAAAATTGTACCACATTATTACTGTTTCCGATGGTCTTTATTCCTTTTTGTAGATCTGTATTTCATCTGGTGTTAGTTTCCTTCTATCTAAGGAACATCCTTTAACATTTTCTTATAGGACTGGTCTGTTATGATGAATTCATTCAGTTTGTATGTGTCTGAAAAAAGTTTATTTCACTATTTTTATAAAGACCTTAATTAATTTTTTTTTTTTAGCAGTTTTTGGTTCCCCTCAAAACTGAACAGATAGTACAGAGATTTCTTATATGCTCTCTGCCCCCACACATGCATAGCCTCCGGCATTGTCAGCATCCCCCATGGAGTGATACATTTGCTATAATTAATGAACCTACATTGACACATCGTCACCCAAAGTCTATAGTTTATATTAAGATTCATTCCTGGTGTTGTGCATTCTGTGGGTTTGATATCACACAGAGTAGATTCCCTGTGCTAAAATTCTGTGCTCCACCTATTTGTCCCTCCTTTCCCCAACCTCCTACAACAACTACTAATCTTTTTACTGTCTCCATAGTTTTGCCTTTTCCAGAATGTCATATAGTTGGAATCATACAATGTGTATGCCTTTTCAGATTGGCCTCTTTCACTTAATAATATGTATTATTTAATGTTCTTCCATGTCTTTCCACGGCTTCATAGCTCATTTCTTTTTAATGCTGAATAATATTCCATTGTCTGGATGCACCATAGTTTATCCATTTACCTGCTGAAAGACATCTGGATTGCTTCTGAGTTTTGACAGTTATGGATAAAACTCCTATATACATTTGTGGGAAGGATTTTGTATAGATATAAGCTTTCAGGTTTTTTTGATGAATACAAAGGAGTATTGTTGCTGATCCTATGGAAGAGTTAATTTTTGTTGTTGTTGTTGAGACAGAGTCTTGTTCTGTCGCCTAGGCTAGAGTGCAGTGGCATGATTTCGGTTCACTGCAGCCTCTGCCTCCTTGGTTCAAGTGATTCTCCTGCCTCAGCCTCCCGAGTAGCTGGGATTACAGGCGCCTACCACCACTCCCGGCTAATTTTTGTATTTTTAGTAGAGACAGGGTTTCACCATGTTGCTCAGGCTGGTCTTGAACTCCTGACCTCAGGTGATCCACCTGCCTCGGCCTCCCAAAGTGCTGGGATTACAGGCATGAGCCACTGTGCCTGGCTGAGTATGTTTAATTTTGTAACAGACTGCTAAACTGTCTTCCAAAGTGGCTGTACCATTTTGCCTTTTCTGCCGGCAATGAATATGAGTTCCTGTTCCACAGCCTTGCCAGCATTTGGTGTTAGCAGTGGTTTTGGATTTTGGCCATTCTGATAGGTAGGTAGTGGTATCTCATTTAGTTTGCGTTTCCCTGATAACATATAATATGGGTTACCTCTTCATATGCTTGTTTGCCATCTGTATATCTTCTTTAGTGAAGTGTCTATAAAGGTCTTTGGCCCATTTTTAAGTGGGTTGTTTGTTTTCCTGTTAAGTTTTTTATATATTTTGGCTACCAGTCTTTCATTAGATATTTTGCAGATATTTCTTCCCAGTCTGTGGCTTGTCTTTTCATTCTCTTGGTAGCGTCTTTCACAGAGCAGAATGTTTTAATTTTAACGAAGTTGAGCTTATCAGTTATTTCATGGATCATGCCTGTGGTGTTGTATCTAAAATATCATTACCAATCCTAGGAACTCTAGCGTTTCCCCTGTATTACCTTTTAGGAGTTTTTTAGTTCTTTTTTTTTTTTTTTTTTTTTTTTTTGAGACGAGGTTTTGCTCTTGTTGCCCAGGCTGGAGAGCAATGGCACAATCTTGGCTCATTGCAACCTCCGCCTCCTGGATTCAAGCGATTCTCCTGCCTCAGCTCCAGAGTAGCTGGGATTACAAGTGCCTTCTATCATGCCTGGCTAATTTTTTTTTTTTTTTTTTTAGATGAAGCCTCGCTGTGTAGCCGAGGCTGGAGTGCAGTGGCGCGATCTTGGCTCACTGCAACTTCCGCCTCCTGGGTCCCAGTTCAAGCAATTCTCCTGCCTCAGCCTCCTGAGTAGCTGGGATTACAGACATGTGCCAACATGTCCAGCTAATTTTTGTATTTTTAGTAGAGATGGGGTTTCCCCATGTTGTCCAGGCTGGTGGTCTTGAACTCCTGACCTGCCCACCTCAGTCTCCCCAAGTGCTGCGATTAAATTTTTGTATTAATAGAGATGGGGTTTCACCATGTTGGTCAGGCTGGTCTTGAACTCCTGACCTCAGGTGATCCACCCACCTCAGCCTCCCAAAGTGCTGGGATTACAGGTGTGAGCCAATGCGCGTGGCCTAGTTTTTTATTACATTTAGGTCTGTGATTCCTTTTGGGTTAATTTTTGTGAACGAAGGATGTAAGACCTGTGGTTTAGATTTGTTTTTTTGCCTGTGTGTGCCCAGTTGTTCCAGCACCATTTCCTCTCTTTGGACCCTTTTTTCTTTTTCTTTTTCTTTTCTTTTTTTTTTTTTTTTGAGACAGCATCTCGCTCTGTTGCCAGGCTGGAGTGCAGTGGTGCCATCTTGGCTTACTGCAACCTCCAACTCCCTGGTTCAAGTAATTCTCCTGCCTCAGCCTCCCAAGTAGCTGGCATTAGAGGCACGTGCCACCACGCCCAGCTAATTTTTGTATTTTTATTAGAGACGGGGTTTCACCATGTTGGCCAGGATGGTCTCAATCTCCTGACATCATGATCCCCCCGCCTTGACCACCCAAAGTGCTGGGATTTCAGGCATGAGCCATTGCACGCAGCCTGGACATTTTTTTTTTTTTTTGATACAGATATTTCAAATGGCAAATAAAATTTTATATATTTATGGTGTACAACATGATGTTTTGAAATATGTATATATTGTGGAATGGCTAAATCAAGCAAATTAATATACAGATCATCTCATATACCTATCATTTTGTGTTAAGCACACTTCTACAGTCTCAGCAGGATTTGTTTTTTTGAGACAAGGTCTTACTCTGTCGCCCAGGCTGGAGTGCAGTGGTGTGATTGTGGGTCACCGTAGCCTGGAGCTCCCACCTTAGCCTTTTGAGTAGCTGGGACTACAGGCCAGTGCCACCCTGCCCAGCTAATTTTTTGCTTTTTTGTAGAGGCAGGGTCTTGCTGTGTTGCCCAGGTGAGTCTTGAACTCCTGGTCTCAAATGATCCTCCGTCCTCAGCCTTCCAAATTGCTGGGATTTCAGGTGTGAGCCATCATGCCTGGCTAATCTGTTGTCTTAACAGTCTTCAAATGTACAATATACTGTTATGAACTATAGTCACCATGTTGTACAATAGATCTCTTGAACTTACTCTTCCTAACTGAAATTTTGTATCCCTTCACCAACATCTCTCCAGCCTTTCCTGTCCCCAGCCCTCCACACTTATTAACAACCATTATACTCTCTACTTCTGTGAGTTTGGCTTTTTTAGATTCCACATAAAAGTGAGATGCTTATGTGGTCTTTCTGTATCTGTCTTATTGCCTTAACATAATATCCTCCAGGTTCATCCATGTTGTTGAAAATGATAGGATTTCTTTCATTTTTAAGAACGTCGGTCTGTTGTATATATAGACCACACTTTTTTGCTCCATTCATCTGAGATGGACACTTAGGTTGATTCCATATCTTGGCTATTGTGAATAATGTTACAGTGAACCTGGGAGTGCAGATATCTCTTTGACATACTGACTTCCTTTCCTTTGGATATATGCCCAGTAGTGGGATTGCTGGATCATATGGTAATTCTTTTTTTAGTTTTTTTTTTTTTTTTTTTTTTTGTGGAACCTCCATACTGTTTTTCATACTGGCTGTAATAAATTACATTCCCACCAGCGATGTGCAAGGGTTTCCTTTCCTCAGCATCCTCGCCAATATGTTATCTTTTGTCTGTTTGATGATTGTCATTCTAACAGGTATGAGGTAATACCTCATTATGGCTTCAATTTGTATTTCCCTGGTGATGAGTGATGGTGAGCATTTTTTTCATATACTTATTGGCCATTTTATGTCTTCTTTTTGAGAAATGACTAAGTTCTTTCCCTATTTTAAAATCAGGTTGTTTTCTTACTATTGAGTTATTTTTGAGTTCCTTATATATTTTGGATATTAACCCCTTATCTGATGTACGGTTTGCAAATATTTTCTTCTGTTGCATAAATTATCTCTTCACTCTTTTGATTCCTCTGCTGTGCTTTTTAAAAAGTTTGTTGTAACCCCATTTGTCGCCCTGCTTTTGTTGCCTGTGCTTTTGGGGTTCCATCCAAAAAATCATTGTCTAGACCAGTGTCAAGAAGCTTTTTCCCTATGTTTTACAGTTTCAGGTCTTAGTTTCAGTCTTTAATGCATATTGAATTAATTTTTGTTTATGGTGTGGGATAAAGGTTCAGTTTCTTTCTTGTGCACATGGATATCTAATTTTTTGAGCCCCATTTATTGAAGAGACTGTTCTTCCCCTATTGTGTGTTCTTGGCACCTTTGTAGAAAAATCAATTAATCATAAATGTGTGGATTTATTTCTGGGCTGTTTATTCTATTCCATTGCTTTATGTGTTCGTTTTCATGCCAAGACCTTGCTGTTTTGATTACTATAGTGTGTAACATACAGTTGACCCTTGAATAAGGTCTTGAACTGCTTGGGTCCACTTATATGCAGATTTTCCCCTGCCTTTGCCACTTCTGAGACAGCAAGACCAACCCTTCCTCTTCCCTCCTCCTCAGCTTACTCAACTTGAAGATGAGAAGATGAAGGCCCTTATGATGATCCACTTCCACTTTATGAATTGTAACTATATTTTCTCTTCCTTATGATTTTCTAAATAACATTTTCTTTTCTGTAGCTTACTTTATTGTAAAAAATACAGCATATAATACATATATCATGCAAAATGTGTTAATTTAGTGTTTAAGTCATTGATAAGGCTTCCAGTCAATGGTAGCATATTTGTAGTTAGGCTGTGGGGGAGTTAAAAGTTATATGTAGGTTTTTGACTGCGTAGGGGATTGGCTTCCCTAACGCCTGTGTCATTTAAGGGTCAATTGTATTTTGAAATCAGTCAGTGTGAAGCCTCCTCCTCTGTTCATTTTTGCTCCAGATTGCTTTGGCTATTTGGGGTCTTTTGTAGGTCCATATGAATTTTAGGATTTTAAAAAATTTCTGTGAGAAATGTCATTGGAATTTTGATGGAAGTTACATTGAATCTGTAGATAGCTTTGGTTAGTATGAACATGTTAATACTGTTCTTCTAATTCATGAACATAAGAATATCTTTCCATTCATTTATTTCAATTTGTTTCATCTGTGTTTTATGTAGTTTTTAATGTACAGGTCTTTCACCTCCTTGGCTAAATTTATTCCTAAGTATTTTATTTTATTTTTGTAGCCATTGTAAATGGGATTGTTTTCTTAATTTCTTTTTCAGATAGTTTGTTGTTAGTGTATGGAAATGCTACACGTTTTTGTTTATTGATTTTATATCCTACAACTTTCCTGAATCCATGTATTATTTCTAACAGTTTATTGGCGGAGTCTTCAGAGTTCTTTCCATGTAAGATATGTCTTCAGCAATCAGGGACAATTTCATTTCTTCCTTTTTAATTTAGATGCCTTTTATTTCTTTCTCTTGCCTAATTGCTCTGGCTAGGACTTCCAACACCATATTGAGTGAAGATGGCAAGAGTGGGCATCCTTGTCTTGTTTCTGATCTTAGAGGAAAAGCTTTCAACTTTTCACTGTTTAGTATGATGCTAACTGTTGGTTTGTCATATATGGCCTTTATTGTGTGGAGGTAAATTCTTTCTATACCTAATTTGTTGAGAGTTTTTATGAAAGGATGTTGAAATTTGTCTCATGCTTTTTCTGCATCTATTGAGATGATCATAGGTTTTTGTCCTTCATTCTGTTAATGTGATTCACATTCATAGATTTGCGTATGTTGAACCATCCTTGTATCCCTGAGGTAAATCCTACATGTTCATATTGAATGATCTTTTTAATGTGCTGTTTGTTGAATTTTGTTAGTGTTTCGTTGAACTCCAGCACCGTTTATTGAAAAGACTACCTTTGCACCATTGTATTTTATCCTTTTCTTTGTTGAAGATCATTGTACTAGATTTATGAGGTCTATTTCTGGGCTCTCTATTCTGTTTCATTGATCTGTTTGTCTAGTCTTTTGCCAATACCATGCTGTCTTGCTTACGATAAATCTTGAAGTTGGGTAGAGTCATTCCTCTAACTTTGTCCTTTTCCTTCAATATTTTGTTGGCTATTTTGGATCTTTTTCCTTTCCATATACATTTTAGAATCATCTTGGTGATAGAAAATAACTTTCTGGGATTGTAATTGCATTGAATCTATAGGTCTAGTTGGGAAGCACTGACATCTTGCCAATGTTGAGTCTTTCTTTATAGATAGGAATAATACCTCTCCAGTTATTTAGGTCTTTGATTTGTTTCATCAGAGTTTTGTAGTTTTCCTCATAGAAATCTCGTATATGTTTTGTTAGATTCATACCTAAGTATTCTGTTTTTTGGGGAGTGTAATGTAAATGACACTTTTTAATTTCAAATTCCCTTTATTCATTGCTGGTGTATAGGAAAGCAGTTGAATTTTGTATATTAACCTTCTGTCATGTAACCTTGCTATAATTGCTTATTAGTTCCAGAGGTTTTTTTATTGATTCTTTTGAATTCTCCATGTGGACGACTGTGTCATCAGAGAAAAAAAGATGGTTTTATTTCTTCTGTTCCCATCAGCATGCCTTTTTCCCTTTTCTTGTCTTACTGCATTCATTAGGACTTGCAATACAATGTTGAAAAGGAGTAGTGAGAGGAAATCTCCTTGTCTTGCTCCTGATCTTAGCAGAGAAGCTTCTAGTTTCATACCATTTAAGTATGATGTTAGCTGTAGGTTTTTTTCTGGATATTCCTTGTCAAGTTGAGGAATGAGAATTTTTAAAATCGTGAATGGGTGTTGGATTTTTTTTCATATGCTTCTTCTGCATCTATTGATATGGGTGTGTGATTTTTCTTCCTTAGTCTGTTGATGTGATGGATTTTATTAATGATTTTCAAATGTTGGACCAGTAATTTACACCTGGGATAAATCCCACTTGATCATGGTATATGATTCGTTTTATACATTGTTGGGTTTGTTTTGCTAATGTTTTGTTGAGGATTTTGCACCTGTGTTCATAAAAAATGTTGGTCTGTAGTTTTGTTATAATGTATATTTGTCAAGTTTTGGAATACTCTGATGTTGGCCTCTACTGAATGAGTTAGGAAGTATTCCTTCTGCTTCTATCTTGTGTAGGAGATGGTACAGAATGGGTATAATTTCTTTCCTAAATGTTTTATAAAATTCACCAGCAAACCCATCTAGTCCTGGTGTTTTCTGTTTTGGAAGGTTGATTGGTTCAGTTTCTTTAATACAGGCCTATTCAGATTGTTTCTTGTGTGAGTTTTGGTAGTTTGTGGCTTTCAGGGAAGTGGTTCATTTTATCTAGGTGATCAAATTTGTGGAAATAGAATTGTTCATAGTATTCTTTTTTTATTTTTATTTTTTTGAGACAGAGTCTCGCTGTTACCTAGGCTGAAGTGTAGTGGTGCAATCTTGGCTCACTGCAACCTCTGCCTCCCGGGTCCAGGTGATTCTGGTGCCTCAGCCTCCTGAGTTGCTGGGATTACAGGCGCCCGCCACCACACCTGGCTAATTTTCATATTTTTAGTGGAAACGGGGTTTTGCCGCGTTGGCCACACTGGTCTTGAACTCCTGATCTCAAGTGATCTGCCTGCCTCAGCCTCCCAAAGTGCTGGGATTACAGGTGTGAGCCAGTATACTGTGCCTGGCCAGTATTATTTTATTGTCCTTTTAATGTTCATGAGATTTGTAGTGATTTTCTTTCTTTGAGTTCTGATATTAGGAGTTTGTGTCCTCTGTCTTTTTGTTAGTCTACTTGGCTAGAGGTTTATGATTTAATTGGTCTTTTCAAAGAACCAGCTTTTGGTTTTTTCATTGATTTTTCTCAGTTGATTTCCTGTTTTCAGTTACATTGATATCTGCTCTTGTTTTTATTCTTCTGCTAACTTTGGATTTAATTCGCTGCTTCTTTTTCTGTTTTTTTTAAGGTGATTGATTAGGTGATTTTAGATCTTTTGTCTTTTCTGGTAAATGCATTCAATGCTATGAATTTCCCTCTAAGCACTGCTTTCACGTCATCCCATAGATTTTGATAAGTTGTGTCTTCATTTTCATTTAGCTCAAAATATTTTAAAATTTCTCTTGAGATCTCTTTTTTGACCTATGTGTTATTAGAAGTGTGTTGTTTAATCTCCAAGTACTTGGGTTTTTTTTAAAAATTATATTTCTGTTATTGATTTGTAATTTAATTTTATTGTGACCTGAGAGGAGGCATTTTATAACTTGTTCTTTTGAATGTGTTAAGGTTTGTTTTATGGCCCAGAATGTGGTCTATCTTGATGAATATCCTATGAGTGTAAAAATGTGTATTCTGTTATTTCTTCTGTGACATAATCTGTGAATGTTCATTATATCCAGTTGATTAATGTTGAGTTCAATTATGTCCTTACTGGTTTTCTCCCTGCTTGATCTGGCCGTTTCTGATAGAGAGGTGTTGAAGTGTCCAACTATAATAGTGAATTCATTTATTTCTCTTTGCAATTCTATCAGTTTTTGCCTACACAGACACTTTGTTGTTAGGCTTATACACGCTAAGCATTGTTATGTCTTTTTATCCTTATTTTTATCCTTGATAAAAGTTATCCTTGATAACTTAACTTGTCTTATCTGCTGTGTCTGAAATTATTACGGACAACTCCGCTTTCTTTTTTTGAGACAGTCTCGCCCTGTGGCCCAGGCTGGAGTGCAGGGGCGCGATCTCGGCTCAATGCAATCTCTGTCTCCCAAGACATGTACCACCATGCCTGGCTAATTTTTGTATTTTTAGTAGAGATGGGGTTTTGCTATGTTGGCCAGGCTCGTCTTGAACTCTTGGCCTCGTGTGATCTGCCTGCCTTGGCCTCCCAAAGTGCTGGGATTACAGGCATGAGTCACCACGTCTGGCCAACTCCGCTTTCTTTTAATTGGTGTTAATATGATATATATTTCTCCATCTATTTACTTTTAATCTGTGTTTTTATTTAAAGTGGGTTTCTTGTAAACCACATCCAGTCGGTTCTTGTTTTGTGATCCACTTCGACAGTCTCTTTTAGTCTTTATTTTTTGCCAAAATGCCGATTTATTTAGAATATTGAACTGAATATTAACTGTCAAATTGAAATCAGTGAAGGAAAACATTGTATAAGCAAAACAGTTTGCATTTTGGGACATACTGCAAACTTTCAAGGAATTGCGGGACTAAATATAAAGGTGTAGAGTGATTATGTTGACAAATATAAAGGTATTTTATAGCTGACCTCTTCCATTTCCTGCCCTTACTCTCACCCCTGCATTGTATGCAGGCCCAGCTTCTATGTCAGAACCTGCATTTCTTTATCTGAGGACTTTCTGTGGCCACTGAATTCCAATTTTGCATCTGTGTGACAAGTTGCAGGTACTAGGAAATTAACATTCCCCAACAACCTTGAACCAATGATGGAAGATGATATATAAATAATACTCCAGTTCCCTCACCCCTGAATAGGATGACTCCAAGATGTATCTGACAATCTCTTTTAATTGGTGCACTTAGACTATTGACAGTCAAAGGAATTGCAAAGATAGTTGGATTGATATTTACCATATTTGTTACTGATTTCTATTTGTTAGCCTTTTTTTTTTGTTTCTAGTTTTGTCTTTCACTCTTTTTCTGCCTTTGTGGTTTTAATTGAGCATTTTATATGATTTCCATTTTCTGTTCTTTCTTAGCATATCAATTGTACTTTTTTACTTTGCTTAGTGGTTGTCCTAGAATGTCCTAGATTGTAAATGTATATTTACAACTACCTCAAATCTGCTTTAAAATAACACTATACCTTTTAACAGGTAGTGTATCTTACTATAAGATAATCCTGTTTCTCCCTTCCATTCCTTGTATCATTGCTGTTAACTCATTTAACTTTTTTTAAAAATTTTTATTTATTTATTTATTTATTTATTTGTTTATTTATTTTTGAGACGGAGTCTTACTCTGTTTCCCTGGCTGGAGTGCAGTGGTGCGATATTGGCTCACTGCAAGCTCCACCCCCCGGGTTCACGCCATTCTCCTGCCTCAGCTTCCTGGGTAGCTGGGACTACAGGCGCCCGCTGCCACGCCCGGCTAATTTTTTGTATTTTTAGTAGAGATGGGGTTGCACTGTGTTAGCCCAGATAGTCTCAATCTCCTGACCTCATGATCCACCCGCCGCCTCCTCCCAAAGGGCTGGGAGTACAGGTGTGAGCCACCGTGCCCCGCCTACTTATTTAGCTTATACAGAAATGTTTGTAATCTTATGTATATACACATTAGCTTACATAATCAAATGCATTGTTGCTATTTTAAACAAAATTTTACCTGCTAAATCAATTTTTAAGATGTTTTAATTTTACATTCACTTATTCATTCTTTGATGTTCTTCCTTTATGTAGATCCAAGTTTCTGACCTGTATCATTTCCTTTTTGCCAAAGAATTTCGTTTAACATTTCTTGCAAAGCAGGTCTACTGACAATAAATTTCCTTAGTATTCTGAAAAAAATCTTTATTTTTGTTTCCACTTTTGAAGGATGATTTTGCAAGGTTCAGAGTTTCTAGGTTGGTGGTTTTCTCTCTCAACACTTCAAATATTTCACTTCACTTTCTTCTGGCATGTGTGGTTATCATTCTTATCTTTATTCATGTGTTAAGTACAGTGTTTTTACCCTTGTCTTTTAGGATTGTTTTTCCTTTATTTCTGATTTTCTGTTGTTTGAAAATGATATCCCTAGGTGTAGTGGGATTTTTTTGGCCTTTGTCCAGCTTGGTGTTCTCTGGGCTTCCAGTGGTTTTGTTCCCAGACCAAACTGGGTTGGGCTGCTGTTTCTCATGGCCCAATAACAAGATGCAGATGAACTGGGGAGGAAGAGAGTTTTTATTTTTGTACCTGGTTACAGGGAGAAGGCCTAGAAATTATTGCCAGACCAACTCGAAATTACAAAGTTTTCCAGATATTATATACCTTTTAAGCTATATGTCTGCGTGTAAGTGTGTATTCATCTAAAGACATAAGTGATGAAACTTCTTTTAATCTGTAACTAAGGTCTGAGTCTTGAAGACCTTCCTCTGGAGTCTCAGTAAATTTACTTAATCTAGGTGCTGAGGTGATTACCCTTATCTTGTCTCCTGCTCGTGGAGGTTTGGGGAGTTCTTTCAGACATCCAATAAACTTGTTTGTGGAGGCCTGGGGAATTTCTTTGTTATGCTTTAAGGCCCAGGAAAGGCCTAGGCAAAACTCTTGGTGGGCTTTTGTTAGATTCCAGCCTTTGTATAAGGGCACTGGCTTTTTTTAGCTTTTAATATTTAACTTAACCAGTCAGTCAGTACTGAAACAGTTGTTATGGAGCCCTGCATTAATGAGACATGGCCTGCTACAGTTTGGTGTCTGATACTAATTTGGGGGAAATTCTCAGTCATTATTGTGTCAAATATTTCTTTTGTTCTTTCCTCTCCTCCTGATAGTTCCATTCCATGTTTATTATACCATTTGTAGTTGTTTCAGTTCATAGATACTCTGTTCTATTTGTGTCAGTCCTTTTTCTGTTTTCTTTTCAGTTTTAAAGATTTCGAATGAGATTTCCTTAAGCTCAGAGATTATTTCCTTAGCTGTGTCTTGTTTACTAAAAAGTCGATCAAAGGCATTCTTCATTTCTGTTGTTGTTGATCTCTTGCATTTCTTTTTAGTTCTTTTTTAGAATTTCCATCTCTCTCCTTACATTGCCTATCTGTTCTTGTATGCTGTCCACTTTATCCATTTAAAGCCCTTAGCATATTAATCGTAGTTTTAAATTCTTGGTCCGATAATCTCAACATCACTGCCGTGGCTGAATCTGGTTCTGATACTTGCTCTGTCTCTTCAAAATGTGTTTTTTATATTTTAGTATGCCTTGTAATTTTTTCTTGATAGCTGGACATGTACTGGGTAAAAGAAACTACTGTTAAATAGGCCTTTGGTAGGTGGTTTTGGTATTAAGAGTAATGCTGATCTCCTAGAATGAGTTGAGAAGTACTGTCTCTGCTTCTGTCTTCTGAAAGAATATGATTATGTGCTGATTAGTATTAAGTTAAATCTCAGAGAGAACCTCCTGTAGATCTTGGGTGTTCTTTTTGTGTTGTACTCTGCGTTATGAATTTTAGGTCTCTTGGCCTTCTCAGCTCTGAACTGTGTTTTCTCAAATCCAAGGAGCATCTAAACTCTGGTTGAGTTTACCTTTCCTGCACTGCAGCCTGGAACTGTCTGCATAGTAATCTGAGGCAGTATTGGGGCTTATCTTGGGTTTTTCTTTCTGAGATATCACTACTCTGTGGTTTTTATTGTCCAATGGCTGAAACATTATTTTATGTATTTTGTCTGTTTTTAGTTGTTCAGCGTGAGAGAGGGTAAGTTACTGTTACTCCATCATGGCTTGATGAATAAATGTGCTGCCCAGGATTCATAAGGATATAATGGTAATCACCCTCGTTGGCTGACTTTGGAGAGAACTAGTCTCCTTTGCCTATACACATTAACGGAGCTGCTTTAAAGGTAGTGCTTAAGCAGTCATCATTTGTTGCCACTGGTTGCTGGATAGGTTGGGAAGGTCAGAAGCCACAGTCCACCATCTTTGGAGATTAGGAGGGAAGTATTAAGTCATTTGAACATAGTTTTTATTTTCATTTTCCTTGGTACATTGTTAGGACTGTCCTGATGTATACTTTACATAAAGGGATGAGGAAAATGGCCAAGCATGACCCAGCTCCTTTTTCCAACCTTTTTTTTTTTAATGTCATATAGTGTCAGACCTCTCTTAGTAAGTTTTACATTATCAAGTGTTGTTTATAGCATGTTGTAATAGTTAATTATATTTGATTATAAGACTATGGAGAAATCTGAAATGGTTACTCATCAGTAAAAGCTGACAGCTTTAGAATTTTAAAAATGATTTTCAAAGACTTCACTTTGAATGGGGTGCCTAGTATTTGAATGTTGAACTCCCTTGTGTTAGAATTTACATTTACATTGCTACCAATCTTTTATCTTTCAGTTATTCAAGCGGAGAAATGTTGCTACAGCAGAAGAAGAAACAGAAGAAGAAGTTATGTCAGATGGAGGCTTTCATGAGGCTCAGATTAGTAACATGGAGATGGCACCAGTAAGATAATGAACTCTTTTCAGTGTTTTTGTGATGAAGATATGAGATGTAGATTTCCTTTTGAGTTTTAAAAAAGGTTAGATGGCTACAAAAAGTACTTGGCATTTCATTTTTAAAAAGAATATGCTTAATCTCATGGTTCATTAAATGTTTATTATATTTTGGATAAAGTGCAGTTAAATTATAAAGATTAATTCTGCTCTAAAAACTTAACAAGCTAATTATAAGATAAAATTACTCTTTAAAAGTTGAATAAGAATAGACACCTTATTTATTTATTTATTTATTTATTTATTTATTTATTTATTTATTTATGTTTTAGAGACAGGGTCTTGCTGTGTTGCCCAGGTTGGAGTGCAGTGGCGCAATCGTAGGTCACTGCAACCTCGAACTCCTGGGCTTAAGTGATCCTCCTGCTTTAGCCTCCCAAATAGCTGGGACTACAGGCATGTGCCACCATGACTGGCAAATTTTTAAATTTTTTGTGGAGACAGGATCTCACTGTGTTGCCCAGGTGAACTCCTGGCCTCAAGTGATCCTTTTGCCTTGGCCTCCCAAAGTGCTAGAATTACAAGCTTGAGCCATCACACCAAGCCATAAGAGATACTTTAAAGAAAATAATGATTTTTTATTGATTTACAAAATTGACCTGTTTGTATGATTTAAAAACTTGATTCCACATCAGAACTCTTGGATTTTTCTGTTGTAAACCATTTTGTTACTTTTTTGAAGTTAACATGAAGAGATAAAAGTCATGCTTTATTTGTATGGATTAGACCTATCTAGATTTCTAGAGTATTGTAATTACGTAATTTTAAAAATAGGTTATATATGTGTACATATATATATATGTGTACACACACACAGTTTTTTTAAAAAGAAAATTATCTCCTAAAAGGTACTGTTGTTTGTAGTAACAAAAAAAGTACAATTAAAAAAAATGAAGAAAAATCTTTCTTCCGCTTAGCCACCTAGTATTTTTCTCCATTGGCAACTAGTATTACTAAATTCCTATTTATTCTTTCTGAGAACTTTTGTATATTAAAATGTTCTCCTCTCCCCCACCTTTTTTTTTGGTAAATGGTGGCATACTATTCATAGTATTTTGTAGTTTTTATTTTTATTTCATTTCATAGATCTCCAGTTTACATGAACCAGCTTTCTTTGAGAGTTGGGAGGGTAGTATTATTTCCTTTGGAATTCATACAGACATAGCCAATGCCATCATTTTGTGATGAAAGTTTCTAGGCCCTTCAGAAAGCCAGTCTTTCCAATTTTTTTAAGAAGAGAGTGTTAAGTGAATATAAAGTGTTTTATGGATTGTATTAGGGTTCTCCAGAGAAACAGAACCAATGAGAGAAAGAAATTTAGTTTAAGAAAGTGGCTCGTGTCTTTGGGAGCTGGCAAGTGTGAAATCTGTAGGGCACACTGGCCCACTATAAATTCAGGTTAAGAGTTGATGTTGTTGAATCCCTTTTCTTCAGAAAACCTAGTCTTTGCTTTTAAGGGTTTCAACTGATTGGATGAGGCCAACTTGGACTACAGGCGTGCGCCACTACCCCCAGCTAATTTTTTTGTAGTTTTAGTAGAGACAGGGTTTCACCATATTGGCCAGGTTGGTCTTGAACTCCTGACCTCGTGATCCACCCGCCTTGGCTTCCCAAAGTGTTGGGATTACAGGCGTGAGCCACCGCACCCAGCCAGATTACAACTTTCCTTTGTGCAACTAAAAATGTATGGATGGTTCTTGACTTAGGAGGGTTCAAGTCAGGATTTTTCAACTTTACAGTGGTGTGAAAGCAATATGCAATCAGTAGGAACTGTATTTTGAATACCCATACAGTCACTCTGTTTCTCATTTTCAGTACAGTATTAAGTAAATTACACGAGATAGTCAACCACTTTATTATAAAATAGGCTTTGTGTTAGATCATTTGTTCAGCTGTAGGCTAATGTATGTGTTCTGAGCATGTTTAAGGTAGGCTAGGCTAGGCAATGAAGTTTGGTAGGTTAGGTGTATTAAGTGTACTTTTTACTTAATATTTTCAACTTATGATGGGATTAGTGGGGCATAACCCCATTCATTGTAAGTTGAGGCACATCTTTACTAACTCCTTCTGCGGAAGAGGATGCAAAATCTTTGGGTGATGTTCACTCCTGTCCTTGATAGCCTGTGACTTAAATATTATAATGTAAAGTTAACAATACTTAAATAGTGTAATGTAAAGTCAGTACAGCTTGCTATAAGAGGATGAGAGAGGGAAGAAAAAGATATTTGCTTAATGTGTGTATATATATATATGAATGTGTTTATGCAAACATATTCATAACAAATCATATAGAAACCTTGATTTAGGAATCAGTCTTGCAATTTTGAAAATAGTTACTTTTCTGATTCTTGAGTAGAATGCGTCATATATTCCCCTATGAGGATTCTTAGGTATTGCTTACCAGTCATCTAGCATTTACAGCTTAGTGCAGCTTTCTTCACAATTCATCTTGTTGACTGCTACCCTTCATGAAATAAGAACTTTGTTTCTTTCTGACAAATGACCCTGAGAAGAAAATTAACTGCTAATACTGGGGATGAGTTATGGTGGGAAATGGAAACATTCTAATAAAGCAAGAAGGTAGTGGGAAACTGGAAAGTTTTAATAAAACAAGAAAGAAATTTTAAATAAGTTTAAGAGTCAGCTGTTGAATTTGGCAGTGGCTGGATTTATACAGGACCACTCTATTTACTCACTCAATAAGTATTGCAGAGCATTTACAGTACACCAGCCCTTAGTGATAGAGTAAGACAGACAGGGTCTTGGGCTTACAAGGAAGTTACAGTATACTGGAGGAACACAGAAAAATATCTGGGAGTGTAATAAGGGCTGGGGCATACGATTGAAATATGGTGCTGTGATAGAGATAAAGTGGCTACTTTAGGCTTGGAGGTCTTGAAAAGCCATCTTTTAAAACTTAACATTTAATTTTGATAAGAAAGAATAGCCAGCTATGTGATGAGCAAGGAGGGGAAGAGCAATAAGCTCCTTGTCTTATTTACTAGTAAGATCACTTTCTACTGTGAGCTTTTTAATGATAGACAAAGAATTTGGCTTCATTATATTATTAATAATCTTACACGTTTCTATATGTAAAGATTGTCCTACCTTTATGTAACTTCTGGGGAAGTATGATTAACTTAATAACTTGGCCATGATATCTGTTATCTTTCTTTCCTTTGAATTAAGGGTGATAATTTATTATATGTTCTTTTTGTTTGTGATCGCAGGGTGGTGTCATCACTTCTGACATGATTGAAATGATATTTTCCAAAAGCCCAGAGCAACAGCTTTCAGCAACACAGAAATTCAGGAAGCTGCTTTCAAAAGGTGAGCTATGAATATGTTCAGTATATTTTTTCATCTCTCTACAAAATTACTTTCCCATAGTCTGTTTTTCATACCACAGGTAATTTGTGTTGGAGTATTTTTATCAATAAAAGAATAAAAATACAGACATATATGTAATTGTGAACCATGCCTAAATTTTAAGTTTCCTATTTATTTGTGGGATCTCACCAGGATCAGAAAACAGAATTATTTTCATTTTTGGGTTATTTTATAAAAGACTTTATAGTGAATAGTAGTCAGTATCATGTTAATTCAAATTGAGAGACTGACTTTTTTTTATAGAGTGACTTTAAAAATACTCCTTGAAAGAGTTATGATTGTTGATTTTAATGTTAGCAATTTACCACTGAAAGTTAGGAATGCATTTACTGGTGGGCAGGGTGATTACCTTTTTTTTTTTTTTTAAAGACGGCTCTGTTGCCAGTCTGGAGTGCAGGCTGGGCGCGATCTTGGCTCACTGCAACCTCCGACTCCCTGGTTCAAGCGATTTTCCTGCCTCAGTCTCCCGAGTAGCTGGGATTACAGTTACACGCCACCACCCCCAGCTAATTTTTGTATTTTTTTTTTTTTTTTGAGATGGAGTCTCACTCTGTCGCCCAGGCTGGAGTACAGTGGCGCTATCTCGGCTCACTGCAAGCGCCGCCTCCCGGGTTCACGCCATTCTCCTGCCTCAGCCTCCCAAGTAGTTGGGACTACAGGCGCTCGCCACCGTGCCCAGCTAATTTTTTGTATTTTTAGTAGAGACGGTGTTTCACTGTGTTAGCCAGGATCTCGATCTCCTGACCTTGTGATCCTCCTGCCTCGGCCTCCCAAAGTGCTGGGATTACAGGCGTGAGCCACTGCGCCCGGCCTTTTTTGTATTTTTAGTAGAGATAGGATTTCACCATGTTGGCCAGGATGATCTCGATATCCTATCATGATCCGTCTGCCTCTGCCTCCCAAAATACTGGGATTACAGGCATGAGCCACCGCACCCGGCTGGTAAGTACTTTTTTTGATATAATTAGTGTAGAATGGAATCTGATACTTGTTATCAACCTGGGCAAGTAAAAAGAATTCTGAACCCGATTATAACGTTGGTAGTAAATACTTAAACCCCCCAGTATTAAGTTATGGTTGTTTAGAGTCATTAGTGATTTAAAAAAATTTAATATATCCCTTGAGGTTAAGTGGAATAAAAAACTACTACTATGACAAAAAAATATTGTCTTTTGCAGACCGCTTATTAAAAATATTTGAAGGAAATGTACACTTCCTCACCCCTTTTAAAAAAGTCTTATCTCTTTCAACATGCTAAGCTTAATGGTTTTCTTCTGTAATGTGCTTTTTTTTTTTTTTAAGGGCTTTCACCATTCTGCTACCTTCCTGCATGTATTCTGGTTTGCCAGCATACCTCTTAAAAATGTGATAACTAGAATCCAATATTTCAGATGTGTTGTTATTAATGTAGGGTATGGTGAGAGGTTACCTTCTTTGCCCTAAGAGTGTCTATTTTGATAATGTAGTCCAAGGTAGCTAGTTATTTTGATAGTCATGGCATAGTAATATTTTATTGAATTTTCAGCAAACTAAACTCCCTAGTGCTTTTGTTCACGAACTGTTGTTAGGTTTTGTTTGTGAAGTCATGTAGATTTTTAAAAATTGCCATTTAAAAAACTTAGATGCTGAACTTTGCTTTATTTCTGTTTTTTTTTGTTGTTGTTGTTGCCTATTCTGACTTATTGTTCTTTTTCTGTGTTATTTCTGTAACTCAGCATATTAACTAGTTTATTGTAATCATCAAATTTGTTTTTTTGTGCTTACCTGCGTGGTTAATATAAATGTTCAACCAGGTAAATGACATGTCATTAGAGTCCTTTCCAAATGAACATTGAACCATTAGTCACCTCTTTCAGTAAGGCCATCGACTTGGGTAAGAATCTCCCTAGTAGTATTGTGATCTAATTGCCATTTTTCTGGCATTGCCACACGCATATTGTCAGTAACTTTGTCAGTCTCTGGCTGAAGTTATTAATCTGATTGTCTATGACATTTCCCTCCTATTTGCCTTATAAGTTTTTATTGAGTGACATCATTTATAGGATACTGTATTATCATGAATGAAAGTGAGACTAAGTTGGCAAGTCAATCTTCGTGAATTCTTGCTAGCTCCTACAGGTACAAAATTAAATTCTGCAGGCCTATTGAGAATCTTGTAATGCAATTCCTTAAGATGATTTACAACAGACAAGAGCAGTTAGACTTAAAACTCATGTACAGGAAACAGGCTAGAAGGAAGTATACCAGAACACTTAACAATGGTCTTTTGAGGGGTTTTTTGCCCCCTGCTTTTTAGGTTTTCTAAAAAGTGGAGGCAGTAATTTAATTTTTAAGAATTTTTCCCATCCTTTATTCTCATATTGAGACTTGTCTTCATTGTGAAACATTTCAGACTACCCTGTCCTCAAAGTGATAAACCCAATTTGACATTTCATTTGTTTTAGGTAGATTTCCAGCATGAGAGATGGTAAATGGAGGGAGGGATGTTAAGAAGTTTTGAGCTGTTAAGTTCTTGCATTGAAATCAAAGGATTTTTTTTTTCTTTTATTTTATGGGGAAACAGAACCTAACCCTCCTATTGATGAAGTTATCAGCACACCAGGAGTAGTGGCCAGGTTTGTGGAGTTCCTCAAACGAAAAGAGAATTGTACACTGCAGGTGCGAATAATTTTTATTTATTGCCTCATAACTTAATTCCTTTTGAAAATTTTTATTTTGTACACAAATTTGTTACTAATTTTTATCTGTATGAAGAATTAAGTTTGTTTATAATGATATTCCTGACAACTACATTGCAAGCTGCTTTCATAGCTTTGTTAACATGTAGGCCTTCGTTATACTCTTTATTATTATTATAATTTTTAATCATTTAAAATGTTTATGATTGTGGATAATACTTCTCTAATAGGGAAATGTTTACAGCAGAGGAGCCATTACAGCCAGGAACTTATGTGTGGGCTACATAAAATTTGGTGTTGAGGGAGTTTTAGATGATACTTGGTGGCTTTCTCAGGATGGTGTAACATGGGCTAGATCAGAGTCTTATTAATTCCCAAATCTGTTCCTAATTAATTCTTCCTCCACCCCACAAAAAGCCGATAAGGAGATAACTTTGTCAGGAATCTGTGTACTTATTGCTGTGTCAATTTAGGCTTTCAGTACTGTACTATATAAGGGATTCCAAGAGGAAATTTTGTAATCTCTGGATTCAGAATTTTCTTTTTTTTTTTTTTCTTCTTTTTCTTGAGACAGAGTCTTGCTCTGTCGCCCATGCTGGAGTGCAGTGGCAAGATCTCAGCTCACTGCAAATTCCATCTCCCAGATTCAAGTGATTCTCCTGCCTCAGCCTCCCATGAAGCTGGGATTACAGGCAGCCACCACCATATCCAGCTAATTCTTTTATTTTTAGTAGAGATGAGGTTTTGCCATGTTGGCCAGGCTGGTCTCAAACTCCTGACCTCAAGTGATCCACCTGCTTGGCCTCCCAAAGTGCTGGGATTACAGGTGTGAGCCACTGCTCCCAGCCAAGTATTCAATAATTTTCATAAGAAAAGAAACCAACAGTCAGCTGACTCTCATCCTAGAAATTCTAAACTACTATTTTTTTTCCCCCTGGATAAAGTTGGGTTTTTAGAAACTGATGATTTTTTAGTAAACTTCCCTGGAGTAACCAACTGAGTCAGTGCCTTTATTAGTTACAAATACATGTGATCCCTAAATTCTCACCTGTAGGATCTAATCTCAAAGGCTTGGGCCCTGAGACTATGCAGCTATAAAAATTGGTTAGGTACCAAGTTGATCACAAAATGGGATTATCTTTCTAAGTAAATATTTGCCAAAAACTAGTTAATCAAAGATATCCCCCACCCCTTGTGTGCTGTTCTTTACTCTAAGGCTGGAGCCATGTAGACACTGGGGCATTTTTGTTAAGTGATAGCTCCTGTCCCCAGGTTCCTTACTGTCTACACCATTATAGATTATTCATACAACTTGATGATTTGCCTTGATGTTTTCTCTCCTTTCCTCCTATCCCTTCTTTCTCTTTGTTTTACACTCTTTGTTGCGGTGATGAGTTCCTTCCAGAGGAAAAACAAGAAATCCAGAAAAGGTAGAGTACTTCAATGTCACATCAGTTTTTCTTCTCCAGTTTGACACTTACCAGTTCCCATGCTCATTTGAATTAAGGTTCTGTTTTGCTAGCTGCCTCCTGGATTGTAATTCTGGTCCCCATCTAAGGCCAGGATCATCAGACACCTGAAAAATAATCACGTTCACCCTGAGAGCAAGGGAAGAGAGACTTTTCTCAGGATAAAAGGAAATCCAGACAACCAACACTGCAGAGAACAGAGCCTGATCCCCTAAGCAACCTGCCGAGAACCAGAGGGACCAAATGAGGAACCTTACTGCAGTTTATCATTTGAAATGCTTTGTAGGAAGAGGGAGGTAGGGAAAATTATTTTGTTCATGCTGAAAAAAGTGTTTCTTTCCTGTCTCTGGGAATGAGAGTAGATGAGAGATACTGAATTTACTCCTTGATCTGGCGGTTTTTATTAGGTGGTAGTTCTTTTATGCATTAAATATAGATGGTATATAACCTTTCAGATCTAAAATGAAAAAAGTCGGAGAAATGGATCTTTCCCCATCTCTGCATTCCCTTGTACTCCTTAAAAAGTACAAGTACATTCTCCGACAGTGCCCTCTTCTGGCTAAGACATTCTACATCTTTTTTTAATTCATTACTCTGTAATCTTGGAACTTGTATTTTAACACATCTGAAGATGAAAGCCTTCAGAAATCTCTAATTTGCTTCTATGTAAACTCCCAGATTCCACCCTTGTGCAAACTAATAATTAGGCTGAAATATTGCAAAATGATTCCTCCGGAAGTGATAACCTCATGATTTTATGAGGATAGTCTTAGCTGTCCTAACTCTGAGAAATAACCAACTGTTTGTTATCTAAGGGCCATCTCTAGCTTTTTTATGTGCACATTTAAGGACACCATGGTGTTCTCCCTCCACTGTGACTAGTGGGGACCTTTGACCACCTCAGAAGCAAGGGGGCAAATATATCGAGAGAGACCTTAAAGCCAGGAGACTTGATGATCTACCATGCTTTCAAATAATTAGACATGCTCTGGGAAGCTTGGAGGTTACTCCTTCCTCTGCCTTCTTGGAGAGCAGACAGATGTAAGCTATCCCTGATACTCTTACCTGCTTACTAGAACTTGAATAATGCACCTTTGGAATAGGGCTTTTGTCATTTCTCTTCCAGAAGGAGAGTCATGCTATGTGGTGCCAAGAGGAAATTTGATGGCTCAGCTCACTAATAAATCTTGTGGACAAACTTAATTTCTTCATTCCATAGATAAAGAACTGTGAATCCTATTGAAGGGTCTTTTTATGTTCTTTCTGGCTTCCCAAGTCAGTAAGGTACCTCAAACCAGGGAGATAAAAGTGCCTGCTTTGAGCATTGCTACCCAGGTGCTGAAGGTGAACATGGGTGGAATCTAGGATTTTGGAAGCAGACAATGGCTTTTAGCTAAGCGCATTCTCAAGCTCAGTGACATCTAGGTCTCAGATAGACTTGAGCCCTTGTCATGAGACTGGTCTGGTTTATGGCATGGTCTGTGAGCCTACTTTTTTGCTTCTTTGAGTCCAGGCCCAGTATCTTTGTGCTGTCCTTTGCAATGCTGAGATGTGGCATTCCCAAACTTTCTTATAGAAGTTTATAAAAATAGCTAGAAATAAATATATTGCCTTCTATTTCCAAATATTAGACAGATAATCCTTGAAAAGTTGTAAATTTGAATTACATTGGCTTAGTTTCCCCTTTTCTGCCTTTCTTGTCCCCTCTAAAAGCTTAATGTGATAAACTGCAGTAAGCCTTCATCCTCCTGTGTCTTTTCCCATCTTCATTGATCTCTCTGCCTTTCCTGGAAAGTTGCTCAGATGACTCAGGCACTGTTCTCTGCAGAGTTTGCTATCTGGGTTTATTTTTCTGATGTGAGCCTTTCTTTTCACTTGCTCTCCAGGTGAGCCTGGCATTTGCTAGGAACCAGAGTGGAACCGGCAAAGTGGCCAGCAACAGAGTCCTGATCCAAATGGAGAAAGGGAACCAGGCGTACCTCAACCTGGAGTGGGAAACTTGATAGGAGGTCAGAAGTACTTCAGCTTTGGATTCTCATTTTCCTTATTTAAGGAACTGAGCGCCAGAAGGTAGAGACTAAGAAAGGGAAGAGAGAAAACATCAAACCTTCAGTGTGCAGATTTCAGGTGTAGCCTTATTTAGTGAGTTCAGGACAGTGAAAAATAATGAGTGGAATTACAGTTTATAAGTAGTTCCAGCTGCATGATAGCTTGTTTCCTTGTATGATGCCATTCTTGGATATTAAGAATATAGTAGTTTAAAACAACAAAAGAAGTGAAGATTTTATTTGGCCACCATTTGTTACTTCAGGCAATACCATTTCTTAGATTTTTTTTTTTCCCAGGTTAATGATTTCCTGGTAACAGGGTTGCTTACTTTAATTAATTTTTTTGGCTGTTTCTATCATAACTTTATGCATATGTGTTTGCCATCAATTCTAGGCTTTCCCATTTCACAACTATTTCATGTTAAATTCTAATCTAGTACCCAAGGCTGAAACATTTAGAAAAAACAAAAAAATAGATGGCAAATCTCAGTGGAATACAGCTTTAAAGTACAGACTATGATGAAAGGGAAGTTATGTAGTTTAAAGTACATCTAATTTTTTAAAAACATAAATACGTTTAACAGTTACTTCTTCTAACATTAACAGAGGCCTATACTCAGGGAAATTCTGTTTTTTACTCCCTCCTCTCATACATATGTGGATACCTGCATAAACATACATACATATCACACATGTATAGATGGGTGTAGAAAATTTCACAAATACAGCTTGATTAGCTTTCACAAAGTGAAAACAGCAAAGTAATCAGCACCCTGTGTGTGTGTGTTTTATTGCCTTATTAATGCATGAATATGGTTGTATTTTCAGTGGTCCTCTTGTTACAGTTACCCATCTACTTCTATCCCCAATAATAGCAAAACTGTTTTTGATTTTCATTCCTGAATTGCATTGAGAGGTTATCATCATTGTGTACTACTTAGTGATAAGCATAACTGGCATGTTATTCTTTTGCTAAGATGTAATAATTTCTTTTTTTTACCATCTGTATTCAGGCTGTTATTCACTTACTTTTCATTTTCTTAGTCATTGTCACTTGAATTGTTTTGCTTCTCTATTTTATTAACTTGTGTAGCTTCTGGAATTCTCCCTCATTTCCCCTGAGATCTTTGGTGCTAAACTCAAAATAGCAGTTTGAACGCTGGCACCAATTAGAATTCTAAGTAATTTTTTCTCACCAATAACTCTGTACTATATCCCTGTATACCCAGGTTATTATTATAATTTCTTTTGCATCCAAATCTCACTGTAATCTTTTTCTTGTATACAGATGGTATGTATTCTGATCTTATTTTTTTTCCAGATTGCTTTTCCTTAGAGTTTTCATTTATTTGACTTTATGTTTGCAGTATCTGATGACTGTTTATTGAACTTTGAGCCTGCCTTGTGGTGGGACAGTTTGCTTTTATACTTACATCATATGACTCTGGTTTACAAATTAATTTTCCTAGTAAGCAAAAGAAACTACATCTTAGGTGAACTTGTTTTTTCTTTTTTAGTATAAATAATCTGGCATACTGTTATTTAAAATTTCTTGAACTAGATATCCAAACTACAAGCAAATGAAATATTTCTGGGTCAGCATTATGTTTCAGGAAACTATGACTGGGCTTCGTAATGTATTAGATTAGGAGGCTGTAACTTAGTCCTTGTCTTTGACTGTGTAACATTACTCGAGTCATTAGTCAAATTGTTGGATTTTTTTTCAGATAGTTTCCTCATTTGTACACAAGAAAAGCCAGATACTTTACATCTCTGGGTTGTTGTAGGGATCATCTGCGAGTATGTGAATAGTACTTTGAAAATATAAAGTGGCCGGGTGCGGTGGCTCATGCTTGTAATCCCAGCACTTTGGGAGGCCTAGATGGGAGGATGACTTGAGATCAGGAGTTCAAGGCCAGCCTGACAAACATGATGAAACCTCGTCTCTACTAAAAATATAAAAATTAGCCGGGCGTGGTGGCACATGCCTGTAATCCCAGCTACTTGGGAGGCTGAGGCAGGAGAATCACTTGAATCCGGGAGGTGGAGGTTGCAGTGAGCTGAGAACGTGACATTGCACTCCAGCCTGGGCAACAAGACTGAGACTCTGTCTCAAAAAAGAAAAAAAAGAAAATATAAAGTACGGTACAAATGTCAAGTTTTAATTCAGACGTACTGAAAGGGACTGAGTGTTGCTTTCATTAGTAATTTAATCATAGAGATAAATATGGGAAGAATTTTTATTTCATGATATCTGGGGTTTAATCTGTAAGTCCCCAGAATTTTTGTTATAACAAAAAGGGACCAGATACGGGCTCTTTAACCGAAGTACTCCTACTCTGGGCCTCCCTGCTGCTACTAAACCACCTTACCTCACTCATGTATGTCACTTTTATAGTTTTCTTTGGAACATCCATTGGTTATGTGTCTTCTGCTATGAATTTTCTATCACTAACATGGCTTTGAACGTGATTTGATCAGATGGCCCATTTTCCTGTCTTCCTCTATTCCCAAAGATTAATGAATTTAGTTTTCTACCTGACAGCTACCTTTTAGTTAATCTGGAAGCTTAGAAGAATCACAGGTCATTTGATGACGACTTGTTATTTTCTCTGATTTAAAGGACATGCCATGGAATTTTTCTTTTTTTCTGTGTATGTGCTTTATTAAATAGAAGACAGAATGGTGGAAGAAACAACCTGAAATGTAATTAAGAACTCTTAACTAAATAGAAAAGAGTTCATTATTGGATTTCTCAATATTAAGCTAAAGAGTCAAGTTAGTGTTAGAGATATATTTTAGTAATATGCTCTATTTTTTGTTGGCCATAATTTCCTTTATATCTTCTGTTTACCAGTGCTGTAATGCTATATATCAACCTTTAGTCAGTTTACCTTCATTTTTCCCTCCCTATTAAGAATGCCCAAAAAGTCCTATCTCTGTATTTTGGTTTGGAGCTCTCTCATTTATTGGAAGCTCTTATTCTTTGAAGTTGTCATTTCTTTTCATTATGTGCTGTTAACTCCTTTCACCTACTTATCATTTGATACCTTTTGCCTTTTTCACTGTGCCTGTATTTTATGTTTCACACTAACATTCTCCCCCCATTTTACTTTGCCCATTCTACAGAAGTTTTTAAATCTTTTTTATTAGATAACATACATGGTACAGGCTAAAAGGCACATAAAGCTTTCCAGTGAAAAGTATCTTTTTCATCCTTATTCCCTAGTTACCATCACCTTTCTATGCAGGCAACAAGTATTTAGTTTCCTCTAACTCATTCTGAAGATAATCTGTGCAATAAGTAAATTAATGCATATATTCCTTTTTAACGCTTTTAGAAAATATGGTATAATGCCATATTAATGTACACTGTTTGCATTTTGTTTTCATTTATATCTTGGGAGATCATACCATATCAGCATATGTAACACTCTCTCATTCTTTTTATGGTGTCATGTTTACTCTTTCTTGAACTGAAATTTTAGACACCCTGAATATTCTTCTAGGTTGAGGTATTTCTTCTGGATATTCTTCTTTTAAAATTAATATAGTACTCAACTGATAGGTTATGTGCAAATAATGATCTCAGAATCTTTTTTTCATGTACAGAAAATGTTACTGTTATAAGTAAACAAACTTTTACATTCTAAAAAGATAATGAAAATTATTTTTATCTTTATAGTTTGAATCAGCTTGGGTACTGACAAATATTGCTTCAGGAAATTCTCTTCAGACCCGAATTGTGATTCAGGCAGGAGCTGTGCCCATCTTCATAGAGTTGCTCAGCTCAGAGTTTGAAGATGTCCAGGAACAGGTAAAAATGAAACAAAAAGAAGCAGGTGAAAGAAAGTTTTTGGCTGGGCATGTCGCTCACTCCTGTAATCCCAACATTTTGGGAGGCCAAGGTGGGTGGATCACGAGGAGTTCGAGACCAGCCTAGCCAACATGGTGAAATCCCGTCTCTACTAAAAATACAAAAATTAGCCGGGCATGGTGGTACGTGTCTGTAATCCCAGCTACTTGGGAGGCTGAGGCAGGAGAATTGCTTGAACCCGAGAGGTGGAGGTTACAGTGAGCCGAGATCGCGTCATTGCACTCCAGCCTGGGTGACGAGAGCAAGACTTTGTCTCAAAAAAAACAAAACAAACAAAAAAAGAAAAACAAAAAAAACCACAAAATTTCCCAACATAATAAGGGGCTGAGTTTCACCAGTTGGCTTTGGTAATCTATGGATTGTCACAAAGGAGTGTTCTAGAAATTTAGTCTTAACCAAATAGAAAATTTCTTAGTGACTGTAGGCAGAATTTCTCTTAGACACATAAAATAATCTTCCCCTTCCAAACCTGACATTCTTTAAGCCCTGTATATGTACTTTTTTAGACCATGTAAGCAGTTACTGATAGAGGTTTTTTCTTGTAGAAATTTCAAGTGTTGAAAGTAGGCCAGGTGCTGTGGTTCCTGCCTGTAATTCCAGCACTTGGGAGGCTGAAGTGGGCAGCTTGCTTGAGCCCAGGAGCTCGAGACCAGCCAGGGCAACATGGCGAAACCCAGTCTCTACAGAAAATAAAGTAGGTGGGCATGGTGGCACACGCCTGTTGTCCCAGCTGCTTGAGAGGCTGAGGTGGGAGGGTTCACTTGAGCTCCAGGAGGCTGAGGCTGCAGTGAGCCGATATCACACCACCGCACTCCAGCCTCGGTAACAGAGTGAGACCTATCTCAAAAAAAAAGAAAGTGGCTAGTCTTTGCCACTTTTGTGCAGAAAAGTACAGAAAGCAAGTTTCTTTTTGTTCACTGTTTTCTTATGTAAGCAAGAAAATACTCTCTTTCTGTCTCTTTTTTTCTTTCTGTCTTTCTCTCTTTCTGTCTCTCCATCTTTCCGTCTTTCTTTCTCTCCGTCTCTCCATCTCTCCTTCTCTCCGTCTCTCCTTCCCTCTGTCTCTCCTTCCCTCCGTCTCTCCTTCCCTCCTTCCCTCCGTCTCTCCGTCTCTCCCTCCCTCCCTCCTTCCCTCCTTCTCTTGCTTCCTCCCTCCCTCCCTCCCTCCCTCTCTCCTCCCTCCCTCCTTTCCCTCCCTCCCTTCCTTCCTTCCTTCCTTCCTTCCTTCCTTCCTTCCCTCCTTCCCTCCCTCCCTCCCTCCCTCCTTCCCTCCTTCCCTCCTTCCCTCCTTCCCTCCTTCCCTCCTTCCGTCTGTCCCTGTCACCCAGGCTGGAGTGCATTGGCTCAATCTCGGCTCACTGCAACCTTGGCCTGTCAGGTTCAAGCAGTTCTCATGCCTCAGCCTCTCAAGCAGCTGGGATTACAGGCGCCTGCCACCACACCCGGCTAATTTTGTATTTTTAGTAGAGATGGAGTTTCACTGTGTTGCACTCCATACTGGGTGACAGAGCGAGATTCTGTATCAAAAAACAAAAACAAACAAAAATGAATTAGTTCTTTCCTTTAATAAACCGAATACCTTCTGTTTGTTGTACACTTTAGGATATTATTTATCTTCCTCCCCCAATCCTACAACTGTTTCATTTGACTCCCTGATGAACGTGTTATTGTGATATACTGGCATCTGAAAGAATTATGAGGGAATTAAACTATGTAACCTTTATTAATGAATGATTCTTTCACAGGCAGTCTGGGCTCTTGGCAACATTGCTGGAGATAGTACCATGTGCAGGGACTATGTCTTAGACTGCAATATCCTTCCCCCTCTTTTGCAGTAAGTTTCTTCTTCCTTCTTCCTTTTTTTTTCTTTTTGAGAATAAAAATGTAAGAGATTCCTCAGAAAGCATTACATGTTTGGAAATCATTTTGGATTTTCTAGTGTTATTTTTAATTCCAGATATTTTCTTGTTTAGATCATTTCCTCAAGCACCCTATCTTTTTCCATGCCAAAATTCTGAATTCTGAATTACTTGCATCAGAATTAATGAAGTTTTAATGTTCTGGAGAAAAGCTATCTGAAGACATCTCTTTATCAAAAGTATTATTATTTAGTATTTATGTCATCAGATAATCACTGTCTGTTACATAGTTTACCATTGTACCATCGTGCTTTTAGGTTATTTTCAAAGCAAAACCGCCTGACCATGACCCGGAATGCAGTATGGGCTTTGTCTAATCTCTGTAGAGGGAAAAGTCCACCTCCAGAATTTGCAAAGGTAAGGACTATGCTTTTGGGACATTGGCAGAAAAAATACAATTAAAAGAGTATTGCAACCAATGGTAAGGTGAACAGGAAGATAATTTTTGTTAAAATTTAAAATGTTAGAATTTTATCTGTTTTTGGAGAAACAGGGTTGTTGTTGTTTTTGTTGGTTCTCTTTATTATTTAAAAAGCAAATTTAGAGCATAGCTTGAAGGTGCACATTTACGATGGGACTGCAAATAAAGCATAGCATGAAGGAAGAATTTGTAAAGCTTATTGAAATTAGGCTTCATACAATTAGTATACTGTTTAGGAGACTATCCTTTCAGTTCTCTTAAAACAGTGGTTCTCAAAGTGTGGTCTGTGAGTTCTCTGGGAGTCCATGAGATTCTTTTTTTTTTTCCAATAGGTTTTTGGGGAACAGGTGGTGTTTAGGTACATGAGTTACTTGTTTAGTGGTGATTTCTGAGATTTTGGTGCACCCAACACCCAAGCAGTGTACGCTGTACCCAGTGTGTAGTCCTTTATCTCTCACCCACCTCCGACCCTTTCTCCCTGAGTCCCCAAAGTACATTGTATCATTCTTACGCTTTTGCGTCCTCATAGCTTAGCTCCCACTTATGAATGAGAACATCTGATGTTTGGTTTTCCAGTCCTGAGTGACTTTATCTACTTGTTGATTGATGGGCATTTGGGCTGGTTCCATGTGTTTGCAATTGTGAATTGTGCTGCTATAAACCTGCGTATACAAGTATCTTTTTCTTATAATGACCTCTTTTCCTCTGGGTAGATACCCAGGAATGGGACTGGTGCATCAAATGGTAGATATACTTTTAGTTCTTTAAGGAATCTCCACACTGTTTTCCATAGTGGTTATACTGGTTTACATTCCCAGCAACAGTGTAAAAGTGTTCCCTTTTCACCACATTCATGCCAACATCTATTTTTTGTTTTTTGGTTTTTTGAGACGGAGTTTTGCTCTTGTTGCCCAGGCTGAAGTGCAGTGGCGCGGTCTCGGCACACTGCAACCTCTGCCTCCTAGGTTCAAGTGATTCTCCTGCCTCAGCCTCCCGAGTAGCTGGGATTACAGGCGCATACCACCACACCCGGCTAATTTTTGTATTTTTAGTAGAGACGGGGTTTCACCATGTTGGCCAGGTTGGTCTTGAACTCCAGACCTCAGGTGATCCACCCACCTCAGCCTCCCAAAGTGCTGGGATTACAGGCGTGAGCCACCACGCCCAGCTGCATTTTTTAATATGTTTGTTGGCTATTTGTATATCTTCTTTTGAGAATTGTCTGTTCATGTCCTTAGCCCACTTTTTGATGGGATTTTTTTTTCTTGCTGATTTGAATTTCTTGCAGATTCTGGATATTAAAATAAATGGGTATTTTTGTAGTTGTTTTTAATTTGGAATCATTTTTCACTGAACAAAACCTTAGCATTTTTGGTCTTTAACAAAGTATCTAAAATACAGAATTTCCTAGTTTTCACATTTGTGAAAGTTCCTTTACCTGTTTAGTCCACAAAGAATGTGTTTTGATAGGGAGTCTTACTCCAAGAATTGATGTATATAAAACTTTGCTCTCTGAAATTATTTTCCTTGGGCTTTGACTACAGATTAGTGCAAGATCACTGACAACATTGCCAAAGATGGAAATGCCACTTAGGTACTTGCTGCTTCATCTTTAGAAGTGTAAATCACCCTAGAAGTCACCAAGTACATGCCTGGTTGCCTTCTTGAGTATCTCACCTCACTTCTGGCTTTTAGTCTATTGAATTTCATAATCATCATTTTCCTTTTACAGGTTTCTCCATGTCTGAATGTGCTTTCCTGGTTGCTGTTTGTCAGTGACACTGATGTACTGGCTGATGCCTGCTGGGCCCTCTCATATCTATCAGATGGACCCAATGATAAAATTCAAGCGGTCATCGATGCGGGAGTATGTAGGAGACTTGTGGAACTGCTGATGTAAGATATCTTTTAGAAAGTGTGTCCACTTTCTCTCCCTTGGTACTAGTTTTCTAGCTGCTAATACTTAAATATTAATGGATTGTACATGATAATTGATTTATTGTGCTTTGGGCTACTGTTTTTGTTACTTGTTTATTTTGATGTCAGATCTGTTTGTCTTGTTTTATTGAGGCTTATAGAGAACCTCTTAGTCCTCTGCTGTTAGCAGGCCTTTAGCAGAAACATTGGGAAAACTCTGATATGTGTAGTTCCAGGCTCATACTGGATGGCCTGAGATCAACCACCGGACATCAGAAGGCATACTGCCACTAAAATAGTCATTCCTTATCTGTCTGTCTCATTTAGAGCTTATTTTAGACAAGTATCAGAAATTCAATCTTATTTTGCTTTATCATCTCCGTGATGCTTTTGATAATGGAGTGGAAGATTTACTCGTGACATAAATAATTTGAGACTGTATTAATCAAATTTTTAGATACTACAGAAGAAAAAAATGAAAGTGATAACATAATGGAGAAATGGTACAGTTACAAGGTATGGGAGATTTAAAGTACAAAGTAGATGCAAAGAGACATTGTCGCAAACATGACATTTGGAATATATTAGATAGTTATAATGTATTAATACAAAATAGAAAACTCTGGGATTATAGCAGGCTACAGACTGGATGCAGATCAGTAATGTAGTGCTAATGTGAATTAATGGCAGTATGATGCTGCAGGAGTCTGAAGTACATCATTCAAAATCTGGGAAGTAATCCTTTGTATTCTTTAGTCACTAGACTACTATATATTTTAGCCATTTCTTTTTTTTTTTTCTTTTTTAAAAATTATACTTTAAGTCCTAGGGTAAATGTACACAACATGCAGGTTTGTTACATAGGTATACATGTGCCATGTTGATTTGCTGCACCAATTAACTCGTCATTTACATTAGGTATTTCTCTTAATGCTATCCCTCCCCCTGCCCCCAACTCCACGACAGGCCCCAGTGTGTGATGTTCCCCGCCCTGTGTCCAAGTGTTCTCATTGTTCAATTCCCACCTGTGAGTGAGAACATGCAGTGTTTGGTTTTCTGTCCTTGTGATAGTTTACTCAGAATGATCGTTTCCAGCTTCATCCACGTCCCTGCAAAGGATATGAACTCATCCTTTTTTATGGCTGCATAGTATTCCGTGGTGTATATGTACCACATTTTCTTAATCCAGTCTATCACTGATGGACATTTGGGTTGGTTCCAAGTCTTTGCTATTGTGAATAGTGCCGCAATAAACATGGATGTGTCTTTGTAGTAGCATGATTTATAATCCTCTGGGTATATACCCAGTAGTGGGATGGCTGGGTCAAATGGTATTTCTAGTTCTAGATCCTTGAGGAATCGCCACACTGTCTTCCACAATGGTTGAACTAATTTACACTCTCACCAACAATGTAAGAGTGTTCCTATTTCTCCACATCCTCTCCAGCATCTCTTGTTTCCTGACTTTTTAATGATGACGTGAGATAGTATCTCATTGTGGTTTTGATTTGCATTTCTCTGATGACCAGTGATGATGAGCATTTTTTCATGTGTCTGTTGGCTGCATAAAAGTCTTCTTTTGAGAAGTGTCTGTTCATATCCTTTGCCCACTTTTTGAGGGGGTTTTTTTTTCTTGTAAATTAGTTTAAGTACTTTGTAGATTCTGGATATTAGCCCTTTGTCATAGGAATGCTTGTGATTTTTGCACATTGATTTTGTATCCTGAGACTTTGCTGAAGTTGCTTATCAGCTCAAGGAGATTTGGGGCTGAGACGATGGAGTTTTCTAAATATAGAATCATGTCATCTGCAAACAGGGACAGTTTGACTTCCTCTTTTCCTAATTGAATACCCTTTATTTCTTTCTCTTACCTGATTGCCCTGGCCAGAACTTCCAGTGCTGTGTTGAATACGAGTGCTGAGAGAGGGCATCCTTGTCTTGTGCTGGTTTTCAAAGGGAATGCTTCCAGTTTTTGCCCATTCAGTATGATATTGGCTGTGGGTTAGTCATAAATAGCTCTTATTATTTTGAGATATGGTCCATCAATACCTAGTTTATTGAGAGTTTTTAGCATGAAGGGCTGTTGAATTTTGTCAAAGGCCTTTTCTGCATCTGTTGAGATAATCATGTAGTTTTTGTCGTTGGTTCTGTTTATGTGATGGATTACATTTATTGATTTGCATATGTTGAACCAGCCTTGCATCCCAGGGATGAAGCCGACTTGATCGTGGTGGATAAGCTTTTTGACATGCTGCTGGATTCGGTTTGCCAGTATTTTATTGAGGATTTTCACATCAATGTTCATCAGGGATATTGGTCTAAAATTTTCTTTTTTGTTGTTGTGTCTTTGCCAGGCTTTGGTATCAGGATGATGCTGGCCTCATAAAATGAGTTAGGTAGGATTCCCTCTTTTTCTGTTGATTGGAATAGTTTCAGAAGGAATGGTACCAGCTCCTCTTTGTACCTCTGGTAGAACTTGGCTGTGAATCCATCTGGTCCTGGGCTTTTTTTGGTTGGTAGGCTATTAATTACTGCCTCAATTTCAGAGCCTGTTATTGGTCTATTCAAGGATTCAACTTCTTCCTGGTTTAGTCTTGGGAGGGTGTATGTGTCCAGGAATGTATCCATTTCTTCTAGATTTTCTAGTTTATTTGTGTAGAGGTGTTGATAGTATTCTCTGATGGTAGTTTGTATTTCTGTGGGATCGGTGGTGATATCCCCTTTATCATTTTTTATTGCATCTATTTGATTCTTTTCTCTTTTCTTTATTAGTCTTGCTAGCGGTCTATCAATTTTGTTGATCTTTTCAAAACACCAGCTCCTGGATTCATTTATTTTTTTGAAGGGTTTTTTGTGTCTGTATCTCTTTCAGTTCTGCTCTGATCTTAGTTATTTCTTGCCTTCTGCTAACTTTTGAATTTGTTTGCTCTTGCTTCTCTAGTTCTTTTAATGGTGATGTTGGGTGTTGATTTTAGATCTTTCCTGCTTTCTCTTGTGGGCATTTAGTGCTATAAATTTCCCTCTACACACTGCTTTAAATGTGTCCCAGAGATTCTGGTATGTTGTGTCTTTGTTTTCATTGGTTTCAAAGAACATCTTTATTTCTGCCTTCATTTCGTTATTTACCCAGTAGTCATTCAGGATCAGGTTGTTCAGTTTCCATGTAGTTGTGCGGTTTTGAGTGAGTTTCTTAATCCTGAGTTCTAATTTGATTGCACTCTGGTCTGAAAGACAGTTTGTTGTGATTTCTGTTCTTTTACATTTGCTGAGCAGTGTTTTACTTCCAATTATGTGGTCAGTTTTAGAATAAGTACAATGTGGTGCTGAGAAGAGTGTATATTTTGTTGATTTGGGGTGGAGAGTTCTGTAGATGTTTATTAGGTCCACTTGGTGCAGAGCTGAGTTCAAGTCCTGGATATCCTTGTTAACCTTCTGTCGTGTTGATCTGTCTAATATTGACAGTGGGGTGTTAAAGTCTCCCATTATTATTGCGTGGGAGTGTAAGTCTCTTTGTAGGTCTCCAAGGACTTGGTTTATGAATCTGGGTGCTCCTGTATTGGGTGCATATATATTTAGGATAGTTAGCTCTTCTTGTTGAATTGATCCCTTTACCATTATGTAATGGCTTTCTTTGTCTCTTTTGATCTTTGTTGGTTTAAAGTTTGTTTTATCAGAGACTAGGATTGCAACCCCTGCTTTTTTTTTGCTTTCCATGTGCTTTGTACATCTTCCTCCATCCCTTTATTTTGAGCCTATGTGTGTCTCTGCACGTGAGATGGGTCTCCTGAATATAGCACACTGATGGGTCTTGACTCTTTATCCAATTTGCCAGTCTGTGTCTTTTAATTGGGGCATTTAACCCATTTACAATTAAGGTTATTATTGTTATGTGTGAATTTCATTTTATCATTATGATGTTAGCTGGTTAATTTGCCCGTTAACTGATGCAGTTTCTTCCCAGCATTGATGGTCTTTACAATTTGGCATGTTTTTGCAGTGGCTGGTACCGGTTGTTCCTTTCCATGTTTAGTGCTTCCTTCAGGAGCTCTTGCAAGGCAGGCCTGGTGGTGACAAACTCTGTCAGCATTTGCTTGTCTGTAAAGGATTTTATTTCTCCTTCACTTATGAAGCTTAGTTTGGCTGGATATGACATTCTTGGTTGAAAACTCTTTTGAAAACTCTTCTTTTTACTCTTTTTTCTCTAATCTTGTCTTCACACTTTATTTCATTAATTTGATCTTCAGTCACTGATATCCTTTCTTCCACTTGATTGAATCGGCTATTGAAGCTTGTGCATACGTCACGAAGTTCTTGTGCCATGGTTTTCAGCTCCATCAGGTCTTTTAAGCTCTTCTCTACACTGTTTATTCTAGTTAGCCGTTGGTCTAACCTTTGTTCAAGGTTTTTAGCTTCCTTGCAATGGGTTAGAACATGCTCCTTTAGCCCAGAGAAGTTAGTTATTACCGACCTTCTGAAGCCTACTTCTGTCAACTCGTCAAAGTTATTCTCCGTCCAGCTTTGTTCTGTTGCTGGCGAGAAGCTGCGATCTTTTGGAGGAAAACAGGCGCTCTGGTTTTTAGAATTTTCAGCTTTTCTGCTCTGGTTTCTCCCCATCTTTGTGGTTTTATCTACCTTTGGTCTTCGATATTGGTGACCTACAGATGAGGTTTTGGTGTGGGTGTCCTTTTTGTTGATGTTGATGCTATTCCTTTCTGCTTATTCGTTTTCCTTCTAACAGTCAGTTCCCTCAGCTGCAGGTCTGTTGGAGTTTGCTGGAGGTCCACTCCAGACCCTGTTTTCCTGGATTACCAGCAGAGGCCACAGAACAGCAAATATTGCAGAACAGCAAATATTGCTGCCTGATATTTTCTCTGGAAGCTTCGTCCCAGAGGGGCACCCGCCTGTATGAGGTGTCTCTCGGCCCCTACTTGGAGGTGTCTCCCAGTTAGGCAGGAAGTCAGGGACCCTGAATGGAAGGACCGGCTGAAGCCATGGCAGAAGGACATAAATTGTAAAGATTTCATGGACATTTATTAGTTCCCCAAATTAATACTTTTATAATTTCTTACGCGTGTCTACTGCAGTCTCTGAACATAAATCGTGAAGATTTCATGGACATTTATCACTTCCCCAGTCAATACTCTTATAATTTCCTATGCCTGTCTTTAATCTCTTAATCCTGTCATCTTCATAAGCTGAGGATGTATGTTGCCTCAGGGTCCTGTGATGATTGCATTATGTGTACAAATTGTTTGTGAAAGGTGTGTTTGAACAGTATGAAATCTGGGCATTCTAAAAGAACAAGATAACAGTGATTTTCAGGGAACAAGGGAGATAACCATAAGGTCTGACTGCCTGCGGGGCTGGGCAGAACAGAATCATATTTCTCTTCTTGCAAAAGCGAATAGGAGAAATAGCGCTCAGTTCTTTTTCTCAGCAAGGAACAGCCCTGGGAAAAGAATGCATTCCCAGGGGGCGGCCTCTAAAATGGCCGCTCTGGGAGTGTCTGTCTTTTGCAGTTGAAGATAAGGCATAAAATACGCCCTGGTCTCCTTCAGTGCCCTCAGGCTTGCTAGGATTAGGAAATTCCAGCCTGGCGAATTCTAGTCAGACCGGTTTTCTGCTCTAGAAAACACTGTTTCTTGTTAAGATGTTTATCAGTGACAATGGGTGTACAGTGGGACATGAAACCTCATCAGCAGTTCTAATCTCACCCTGGCCTTGTGATCTTGCTCTGCCCCCATTTTCCTTGTGATATTTTATTGCCTTTTGAAGCATGTGATCTCTGTGACCCACACCCTATTCGTACACTCCCTCCCCTTTGAAAATCGCTAATAAAATATTGCTGGTTTTGTGGCTTGGGAGCATCACGGAACCTGCCGACATGTGATGTCACCCCCGGAGACTCAGGTGTAAAATTTCTCTCTTTTGTACTCTTTCTCTTTATTTCTTAGACTGGCCAACACTTAGAGAAAATAGAAAAGAACCTACATTGAAATATTGGGGGCTGGTTCCCCCAATAGGCTACACGGGGTTCAGGGACCCACTTGAGGAGGTAGTCTGTCCATTCTCAGAGCTCAAACACCATGCTGGGAGAACCACTGCTCTCTTCAGAGCTGTCAGACAGGGACGTTTACATCTGTAGAAGTTGTCTGCTGCCTTTTGTTCAGCCTATGCCCTGCCCCCAGAGGTGGAGTGTATAGAGATAGTAGGCCTTGCTGAGGTGCGGTGGGATCCACCCATTTCGAGCTTTCTGGCTGCTTTGTTTACCTACTCAAGCCCCAGCAATGGCAGACGCCCCTCCCCCCGCCAGGCTGCAGCCTTGCAGGTCGATCTCCAGCTGCTGCGCTAGCAGTGAGCAAGGCTGCATGGGCATGGGACCCGCTGAGCCAGGCATGGGAGAGCAATCTCCTCGTCTGCCATTTGCTAAGACTGTGGGAAAAGCACAGTGTTTGGGCGGGGTGTACTGATTTTCCATGTACAGTCTGTCACAGCTTCCCTTGGCTAGGAAAGGAAAATCCCCCGACCCATTGTGCTTCCTGGGTGAGGCGACGCCCTGTCATGCTTCACCTTGCCCTCCGTGGGCTGCACCCACTGTCCAACCAGTCCCAGTGAGATGAATCAGGTACCTCAGTTGGTGATGCAGAAATCACCCGTCTTCTGCGTCGATCACTCTGGGAGCTGCAGACCAGAGCTGTTCCTATTCAGCTATCTTGGAACGGAACCCAGCCATTTCTTTTTAATCATCACATGTTAAATTTGAAGGAACTGGCTTAGTTTTTAGAAGAGTGATCGGTCTCATTAAAGTGGAGGGAAAAATAGGACCCTTAAGGAAAATCAAAAGATAGTGACTTAATTTAGCTAGAAATAAGGACTTAATATCTGTCTTCAAATATATATATATGGCTTTGTGGAGTGGTTTTTGGACCAGTAAGGCAGCTTATTTAGTAAGTTTAGTTGAAAGACCTTTGTATTTAGAGTGTGACTCCTGACTTGCATTTTCAAGTTAGTTCAGCTGTTGATGTGTCACTTTTACGTCTGAAAATTAA
The DNA here is from genome assembly GCF_000001405.40 of Homo sapiens. Classification (NCBI taxonomy): domain Eukaryota; kingdom Metazoa; phylum Chordata; class Mammalia; order Primates; family Hominidae; genus Homo; species Homo sapiens. The sequence goes on along the minus strand of NC_000003.12, from coordinate 122,442,503 downwards.
GACAATTTATAAAACTTAAAAATGTTGCGTAAATGTTAATTATTGCTCTCAATTATCTCAGCAACCATACAAAAGCCAGTAAAGAGGAAATGAAACCTATACTAAAGAATGAGAGGGAAAAGTTGGAATCCAGGTGATGGAATACCTGGGAAAGATTCCTAGGAAAGATTGGTAGTTTTTTCCAAATGTACTAAAATAAGGGGAAAGACAGTTCTAGGGAACACCAGACATTCCATCATCATGATAAGCGTTCCCTTAATTAGCCCCATGGGTACATTTCTGCTCTAAAATTCTATCACAATTTTTTTGTTTTTTAATTTTGGTCTTGGAAGGAAATGAAACTAAGGATAGAACTGTTTGCTATAACATTACTTTTTGTTTTTGCAGGCATAATGATTATAAAGTGGTTTCTCCTGCTTTGCGAGCTGTGGGAAACATTGTCACAGGGGATGATATTCAGACACAGGTATGAAGAAGTGGTAACTTTTTTTTGTCCTTTAAAAACAGTATATTGAACTTCATGATCATGTTTCTATTATCGTATTTTACTCCATATTATTAGGGAAACTTGATACTCTGTTACACTAATGTTTAAAAATGTTGGGCCGGGGGCGGTCACTCACGCCTGTAATCCCAGCACTTTGGGAGACTGAGGCGGACGGATTGCCTGAGCTCAGGAGTTCGACACCAGCCTGGGCAACATGGTGAAACCTCATCTCTACTAAAAATACAAAAAATTAGCCGGGCGTGGTTGCACACGCCTGTAGTTCCAGCTACTTGGAGGCTGAGGTAGAAGAATCGCTTGAACCCAGGAGGTAGAGGTTGCAGTGAGCCGAGATCGCACCACTGCACTCCAGCCTGGGCAACAGAGTGAGACTCCAGCTCAAAGAAAAAAAAAAAAGTTGGTTTAGGCATCTACTCTCAATACCTTTAGTATCTCTGACTTGACCTGTTGCTTGTAGTAGTTTGGGGTTGTCCTATGATAGTGACTATTTTTTGGTCAGGCAGATTTGTTTTTCTTCACTCCTATTTGAAATAGTTCTCATGGGCATCAGAATCCTCTAGTAGCATCTTTTCTCTGTCTTTTTCATCTCAATATCACCTTCTCTGATAGCTTTCTCCTTTTGTACATGGTAAGTCCCCTGTGTGAGGAAGATTCTTCCCTCCTACTTTCTAATGTCACCATCTACTCTATTCAACTTCTGTATCAAGACACACCATTCACAGTGCATTGTTCTAGCCATATTTCTTCCTGAAATCTCAGCTGTGTTGTGATGTTGAAGTCTTTTAGTTCTTCTGCCTCATCGACCATTTATTTCTCCCTAGCAAGCTCCTTTTCCTCTTGTCTCCTTTTGTGGACATCTTCCACGGGGCAATCCTTCTGCCTCATTCATAGATCTTATTTATAATGTCAGTGATTACCCTTGTGTGCATGGATTCAGAATTGGGAATTGGGTTTTAGCCTTAGCGTTTTCTTCACCAGTTCTGACTTTCAGCAATACATTTAATGCCTTTTCTAATCTCTAAAATTAAGGAGATTAGATTTGTTCTCTCAGGTGTCTTCTAACTGTAATGTATTTACTTTAAATATATTCTGTACACAAGGGAACTCATTTCCCCTTGCATTACCTGAACCTCTGCTTATGTTCCCTGTATCAGTGAATGGCACCATCAGTTCCCCTGAAACCTGGACATCAGCTTGATTCTTTCCTCTCCTCCAACTCCATCATCAGTTACTAAGTCCTGTTGTTCTGTCTCTATTCATCCTTTGCAGGGCTTAGTTCAGACACTTCAGAAGAGAATAGGAGAAGAAAAGAATATATGTTTGACTATATTTGCATAAAATTTCTCTGGAAGGATATACAGGGAACTGAAAATGTTGGTTGTCTTTGAGGGGAACTGGTTGGCTGGGATACAAGAAGGGGAAAGAGGCTTTTAACAACTATGGAGTCTTTTATACCCTCTGAATTTTTGAACCCTATCAGTATCTTTCTGTCCCTCACCCACCTCCATATGCTGTATGCTTTTGCCATATTTGTTCCTTGAATTGGCTGTGGCCACTCTCAGCTCAGAGTTTTAACGCATGCTTTATTCCCTCTGCCTGGAACATGTGTCTCCACTGCTACCCCTTGCTCTGACTGCCACCTCACACATATCCACATTCTCTGCTCCTAATGTTTTCTTGTTCTTCAAGTCTTGGTATTAACATTATTTTCTCTGAGAAGCCCTGTTTGACCCTAAACTCTTAAGTTAGGTACTTATTTTTTTTTCTTTATCCATCAGAATATTAATCACATTGTATTGTAACTAATTACTAGATTTTAAGATTCTAGAGGTGGATTATGTCAGTGTTTATTTCTGTGCCTCTGTAAATCTAATAATTTCTGGCACAATATATAGGGACTTAAAGAATATTTATTGAATGCAATGAAGTTCTGAATCTCTACATCTACTTCTGACCTATCTCAAGTTTCAGTCCTATATCTGCAGTAGTTTCTTACATATTTCTGCTTGCATATCTCACGTTTGTCTCACAGTATATCTTCTTTCCCCCACAAGGCAAGTTCCAAGTTTTTATTTTTCCTATTTCAGGTAATGATATAACTATTCTCTTTACCTACACATGAAACTTTGCAGTTACATGTGGTGTCTCCCTCCCTTATAGTTTGTATAGCAAGTTGCTGGGTCTTCTTGATTGTTATTGTTACTAGATCCCCATCAAATTACGTACTTTTGGTCCTTGTCACACACACAGGTTGTTGCTGTACCCATCCATCCTCCGACTGTCCTAAGCAGTTACTCTTCTCAATTTATTCCCCCTAATAACAGCTGAATCTTTCCTAAAGTAATGTTATTTGCATTATCTTCCTCTAGAAATAATAAGCTGCTTTAGTGCCTGTAAGATAAAGAAACTTGAAAGATTCAAAGGAATTTCTCCTTAAGATTTTAGTCTCATTCTTCTTTCTAGCCTATTATTTTTGGGGCATAGAACTCTTTTGTAATAGCCTCATCATGGCCAGGTATGCTGGCTCATGCTTGTATTCCTAGCTTTTTGAGAGGCTGAGGTGAGAGAATTGCCTGAGCCCAGGAGTTCCAAACCAGCCCATGCAATATAGCAAGACCCCATCTCTAAAAACATTTTTTTTTAATTAGCTGAGCATGATGGAATGTAACTGTAGTCCTACCTACTCTACTCAGGAGGCTGAGGCAGGAGGATTGCTTGCACCCAGGAGTTTGAGGTTGCAGTGAGCTATGATCATGCCACCACACTCCAGCCTTAGTGATAGAACGAGACTATGTTTCTTAAAATAAAATAGCCTCAGTAGTCTGTTCTTACAGTACTTTGTAATAGCTTGTCTCTGCATTTTTTCATTTCTAGCTTATGTGCAGTGTCAGTCCCTCTTTTTGCTAATGAAATCCTATTGCCTATTTAATAGGCATAAAAGACTTCATTTTAATTTGCATTTCTTTCATTACTTAGGAGATAATTTTCTATTAAAATTTTAGTTTCTCTTTTCAGTTTACACATAGCAACCCTCTCATTTGTTGCAAATATTTTTCACAGTGGATGGTGTACATTTAAAATCTGTTACGATTTTTGACATGAAAACATGTTTCATGAAATTTTTATTTTCCCCTATAATTTCTTTATTTTTATGCTCATACATACAGTCTTTTACCATCCCCAAGTCAGCTATTTTCTAATATTCTGCTTTATGATTTCTTTTAAAAATATTTACTCTTAAGTAGTTGCAAATTTATTTTGGTGACTTAGGGTTTATATTAGTCTGTTATTTCATTGCTATAAAGAAATACCTGGCCGAGCGTGGTGGCTCCTGCCTGTAATCCCAGCACTTTGGGAGGCTGAGGTAGGTGGATCACATGAGGTCGGGAGTTCAAGACCAGCCTGACCAACATGGAGAAACCCTGTCTCTACTAAAAATACAAAATTAGCCGGGCGTGGTGGCGCATGCCTGTAATCCCAGCTACTCAGGAGGCTGAGGCAGGAGAATTACTTGAACCCAGGAGGCGGAGGTTGCGGTGAGCAGAGATTGTGCCATTGCGCTCCAGCCTGGGCAACAGGAGCGAAACTCTGTCTCAAAAAAAAAAAAACAAAAAAGAAATACCGAAGACTGAGTAGTTTATAAAGAAAAGAGGTTTAATTGGCTCATGTTTTTGTAGGCCATACAGGACGCATATAGTAGCTTCTGCTTCTGGGGAGGTCTCAGGAAACTTAAAAGTTATGGTGGAAGGTGAAGAGAAAGCAGGCTTGTCTTATGTGACGTGAGCAGGAGCAAAGAGTAGGAGAAGGTGCTACATACTAGAACAGAACCATGGGGATGGCGCTGACCATTCTTGAAGGATCCACCCCCATGATCCAGTCACCTCCTACCAGGCCCCACCTCCAACCTTGGGGATTACAATTCAACATGTGATTTGGGTGGGGACACAGATCCAAACCATATCAGGGTTAAGAAATGATATTGAAAAAATTGTCTTTAATCTGTTTAGCTTTTTATTCCAGTTCTGTCATAGCCACAAGTCATTGGAAGAAAGGATTAACTTATTATAAACTTTATAAATAGCTGCATTTGTTTCTAGAATAGATCTCTGTTCTCTGTTTAGTGATTAATTCTTAAATCTGCCATATACTATTTTAATCAAACTTATATTATTTTAGTTTCTAGTAGAGTAGGTCTCCTTCTTCATGTGTATTTGTGTTACCTCCTTCACCTTTATAAACTGATAGCTGAGGTCATATCTTTTTTATCTTTGTATCCTATAAAGCATCTAATATACCTCATTAAGTACGTATTCGTTCATTGACTACCAAGTAGTGTGTTATCAGAGGACCTACAAATCTGAGACTCCTGACTTTTCTGGCCACTTGATATATTTACCCATTCAGAAGACTTACGCTATTGGGATGGGAAGGTGAATGAGTAATGCTTTTGTAATTACAATAGTAACATTATTGTATCTTATTAAGTACAGTTTAGCAGTTGTGAATGTGTACAATGAAACTGTACTGATACTCTTAGAAACTAATTCTTATTAACAGTGAATACTTTTTTTTACCTGTATAAAGTTACTTATTTATAAAATTTCAAGGGGAGATGTTATGTCTTTCATAAAATGTGTTCCTTAAGTTAAACATTGATATTTAGAACAATACAATAAGTAAAATTTTCAAACTTTTTCTTTTAGGTAATTCTGAATTGCTCAGCTCTGCAGAGTTTATTGCATTTGCTGAGTAGCCCAAAGGAATCTATCAAAAAGGAAGCATGTTGGACGATATCTAATATTACAGCTGGAAATAGGGCACAGATCCAGGTAACCTCATAGGACCTAACTTCTCTTTCAGTATTTTTATTGAAAAGTAAGGTTTTTTTCTCAGTCACCCTTTAAAACACATTTGTTTTTGGCTGGGTGCGGTGGCTCCTGCCTGTAATCCCAGCACTCTGGGAGGCTGAGGCCCGTGGATCACTTGCGGTCAGGAGTTCAAGACTATCCTGGTCAACATGCTGAAACCTTGTCTCTACTAAAAATACAAAAAAATTAGCCAGTCGCAGTGGCAGGTGCCTGTAGTCCCAGCTACGCGGGAGGCTGAGGGAGGAGAATTACTTGAACCGTGGAGGTAGAGGTTGTAGTGAGCCGAGATTGTGCCACTGTACTCCATCCTGGGTGACAGAGCAAGACTCCATCTCAAAACAAAATAAAACGTATATCGTTTTCATTATTGCTTTGAAGACCACTTTCAATGTTGTTGTCTTATTTCATAGTCAGCTTTTTACTTTATCCTAGCTTATAGATGTTAAGTCTTTTGAAATTTACACTTAAGCCTTCATTTTTTCTGTTGCCGTTAATATTTGATGTTTCACCAAGACCCAAGAAATAGTTATCAGGGGAACCACCTCCAGTGTTTCATGTAGGTTCTTTTCTGTTTTCCCTAAGTGTCGGCCGGTCTGAGAAATAAAGGGAAAGAGTACAAGAGAAATTTTAAAGCTGGCTGTCTGGGGGAGACATCACATATCGGCACGTTCCGTGATGCCCCCCAAGCTGCAAAACCAGCAGGTTTTTATTAGTGATTTTCAAAGGGGAGGGAGTGTACGAATAGGTTGTGGGTCACAGAGATCACATACTTCACAAGGCAATAAAATATCACAAGGCAAATGGCAGAGCACGGGGCGAAATTAAAATTGCTAATGAGGTTTCAGGCATGCATTGTCATCGATAACATCTTATCAGGAGACAGGGTTTGAGAACAGACAACCAGTCTGACTAAAATTTACTAGGCGGGAATTTCCTCGTCCTAATAGGCCTGGGAGCGCTAAGGGAGACCGGGGTTTATTTCATCCCTTATCCACAACCATATAAGACAGACAGTCCCAGAGTGGCCATTTTAGAGACCTCCCCCTAGGAACGCATTCTCTTTCTCATGACTGTTCCTTGCTGAGAAAAAGAATTCAGTAATATTTCTCCTATTCACTTTTGTAAGAAGAGAAATAATAGCTCTGTTCCGCCTAGCTCTCAGGCAGTCAGACCTGATGGTTATCTCCCTTGTTCCCTGAACATCGCTGTTATCCTCTTCTTTTTTCAAGGTGCCCAGATTTCATATTGTTTAAACACACATGCTTTATGATGCAATCATCACAGGGTCCTGAGGCGACATACATCCTCAGCTTAATGAAGATGACGGGATTAAGAGATTAAAGTAAAGATAGGCATAGGAAATTATAAGAGTATTGATTGGGGAGGTGATAAATGTCCATGAAATCTTCACAGTTTATGTTCAGAGACTGCAGTAAAGACAGGTGTAAGAAATGATAAAAGTATTAATTTGGGGGAACTAATAAATGTCCATGAAATCTTCACAATTTATGTCCTTCTGCCAGGCTTCATGGTCCCTCCATTCAGGGTCCCTGACTTCTTGCAACAAATAATGTCTTGTATTTTCAAAATGTTTTGATGGGCTTTATGCTGAGCACGATTGGCTTTAACGCTTTCCAAGTAAGATATTTATTTTTCCAGTGGACCCATGTAGATTGCCTCAAATTTTCATGAATTTTTGGATACCCATTTTTCTTTAAATAGTTACTTGGTTTTTACTTTTGTCTTTGTATTGGTGGGAGAGTAACTCAAGTGGACGACAAGCAGTGGGCCAAAGTGTTCAGCCTGGGCAATGTTCAAGGATGGAACAGTGGGTAGGAAAAGATATAACACAGACATAGAGGGCCTTGGAGATGAATGGAAACAGAGAGATCATCTAATCCAAGGTTTTCATTTACCACAATTTTGTGTGTGTGTGTTTGTGTGTGTGTATTGAAGCATCCATTACATTGTATCCCATAAATATATACAATTATTATTTGTCAATAAAAAATTTGAATAAAAAGATGAAACGGCTCATGGAATTAAAATGATTTGCTCAAGAGCACCTCTAGTAAAATGACAGGACCGGGATTAGGTGTCTTTCCAGTAATCAACTTTGTCAAACTTTGTTGACGTCCTTCACAGGTATAATAAGAGTTTTTGACCAGGAAAGCATTTTGTCCCCAAAATGCTGAATTAGGAACTGAGATTAATAGCTATAACAATCTATAGCATTCATATGAGGTGATTTCATCTGTATTTGATTGCCTGTCACCACCAGGCTTTTTTATGCAGAACTTCTCAGTTTCTTAATGTAGGAAATGATATAAACCCATGTTAGGTACTTGAGCCAGGAAGAAACAGGGAGAAAGTAATTTTGGGAAGGCTACTTTAGTGTTAGTACATGAAGGGGATTGAGTAAAAGTACTCCATCCAACTATAAGTCTTATTTTGGTAATCTGGGAGGTGGTGGCTTGGAGAATAGCATGGCAATGCCAAAGGAAAGGAAAAAGATGGACTCAGGATTTTAAAAATTGAGAATGTAAATTAATAGCCTTTGTGAACTAGAGGGGTTTAAAAGGAAACTTGATATAGCGGGCAGATGATGTGTTTGAGATGACTAGCAGACCTAACGTAAACTGCTGGCTACCCTGGGCTGATGCTCCAGTGAGAAGTGAGGACTAGAGAGTTTTCGCACATGGAAGTTCACATGCTATGAGAGAATGGAATAGCAGAGGAGCAGAAAATTGAGCTCTTAACAATTTGTTACTGTGGGCAGAACAAAAGAGGAAAGTGAAAGAGAAAAGAACTCAGAGAAAATAGGAGATTATAAGATCATAAACTCCAGGGAAGATGTTTTCAGTGATACCAAGACAGAATAAGGATTAGGGATAGGCTGGGTGCGGTGGCTCCCACCTGTAATCCCTGCACTTTGGGAGGCCGAGGTGGGTGGATCACCTGAGGTCAGGAGTTCAAGGCCAGCCTGGCCAACATGGTGAAGCCCTGTCTCTACTAAAAGTACAAAAATTAGCCGGGTTTGGTGGTGTGCACCTGTAGTCCCAGCTACCCGGGAGGCTGAGGCAGGAGAATCACTTGAACCCAGGAGGTGGAAGCTGCAGTGAGCTGAGATTGCACCACTGCACTCCAGCCTGGGCAACAGAGTGAGACTCCATCTCAAAAAAGAAAAAAAAAGGTTAGAGATAATGACATAACTCTTTTCAATTTATTTCTGACAGGAGAAGGGGTGTTAATAGTCAAACTAGCTTAGAAATTATAATTAGTATCATGAATATTTTTATAAATCTCACAGTTTTTTCCATTTAAGTTTTTCTTTAATTTTAGACTGTGATAGATGCCAACATTTTCCCAGCCCTCATTAGTATTTTACAAACTGCTGAATTTCGGACAAGAAAAGAAGCAGCTTGGGCCATCACAAATGCAACTTCTGGAGGATCAGCTGAACAGATCAAGTAAGTACCAATCAGGCAGCATATTGTAAGTTAAAGAAAAATTATTATTGTGTCTATCACTTTATAACCTCCCACATATTACCTAGAGTAAAAGATTAGCTGCCTTTGAGGGGAAAAGTAAGTGAGAGACGATCTTACCAAATAAGAATGTTTAGTTCCAGTCCTTAGGAAATTGTCCTTGGTGTCATAATTAGATGTGTATTTAATTCTTTATAACTCTCCCATTTCTTTTTGCTGAAAAACAATCCTGGGATATAAGAAGTAGGCATAGTCGAGGCTTGAGGCAATAGAAATCCTTGCTTCAACCTACTCTGGAGCTACTTGTCAGAAATATCTTGGGTAATATAGGTTACTTGTAGAACTTGAGCCCAAGTTTAATAACTCACTCTTGCCCTTTTTAGTTTAGATGTCTTAATAGTAGAATTGGATCAGAATTGAAAGAGTGGTATGTCTGAGAATGAAGTGCCAAATTTAGTAGAGGCAGGTATCTTCTAAAGTACTATGGTATTCTTGTTAAAGGGAGGAGCTGTAGCAGCTCAAGACTTAAATGGCTCCCTTGGTAGCAGCTTAGTGATTGACTGATTGAGATGGAGTCTCTCTGTTGCCCAGGCTGGAGTGCAGTGGCACTGTCGGCTCACTGCAACCTCCGCCTCCTGGGTTCAAGCGATTCTCCTGCCTCAGCCTTCCTAGTAGCTAGGATTACAGGTGAGTGCCACCACACCCAGCTAATTTTTGTATTTTTAGTAGAAACGGAGTTTTCCCCTGTTGGCCAGGCTGATCTTGAATTCCGGAGCTCCGGCGATCCACCTGCCTTGGCCTCCCAGAGTGCTGGAATTACAGGTGTGAGCCATCATGCCCGACGAGCAGCTTATAAGCTTAATGAGTGGAAGAAAACATAAATATGGATGGGAATCAGTTCTTCAAAGGAGCATCATATAATTAAATGCAAAATTCAGGACATCTAGTATTTCAGATAGGGAAAAAAAGTAATGATGAAGAGAAAAATGGAGCCTAGCCTAGACTCAGCCAGTCTTAACTTTATGGGGAATCCAAAATTAAGGAAAGATGGTTTCAAATGAGTGCTAAAGCATTAACTCCTTACTCATACGTAATATCAGACAAACATAGCTACTACTTACATTGTTGCTTTGTGGACTGAATGTAGGCATTCATCAGATGCTAGTTTTGAGTGTTCTGTTTGGAATTAAAAAATAAAAATAGTAACAAAGTACAGAAATTTATCAGGTAGAGAAAATAAGAAATATGTACCTGAAAGAATAAAATTACAAACAGATTAACATATGCAGTAGCTATTTTGGTGAAGTTCATCATGGGCAGGTTATTTCAGGGAGACAGAAGCACATTTGTCTTGTAGGTTTTTTCCAACCTCCAAAATTCTGATTCTAGAGTACTATGATTTTAATTATGCTGTCACCAGATGGTAAAAATAATGAAGTACTATAGTTATTTGAATAAGCTTTATGTTCAAATTCACATTTATAGTTATTAATTGTCTCTATATTTTATAGCAAATATATTTTCTTAATTGAAATAAGCCAGGCCGGGTGCAGCGGCTCATGTCTGTAATCCCACCACTTTGGGAGGCCAAGGCAGGTGGATCACAAGGTCAGGAGTTCGAGACCAGCCTGGCCAACAGGGTGAAACCCCGTGTCTACTAAAAGTACAAAAATTAGCCAGGTGTGGTGGCGTGCACCCGTAATCCCAGCTACTTGTGGGGCTGAGACTGGAGAATCGCTTGAACCCGGGAGGCAGAGGTTGCAGTGAGCTGAGATCATGCCACTGCACTCCAGCCTGGGTGACAGAGTGAGACTCCATTTCAACAAAAAAAAAAAAAGAAGAAGAAGAAATAAACCATAAACATATATATTTTATTATGCCATCTTTCATGAGAAAGTATTCAGGAGTATTTTGCTCTGTTAGAGAAGCGCAGAATTGCTGCTGTCCCTTTTTAAAATTCAGCATAGCTATTTATAATAAAATTAATTACCAACCTCCTAGCAGTTTCTTCTTCCCCACATGAAGAGTTATCTTGAAAGAATGTCACAAAAATATTACAGTCCAAATTACAAAAAACAAACTGACTTTATCACTTATAAAAGACATCTATCTGGCTTCTGCTGCTTCTTGTTGCAGATACCAGATTTGGATGCAAGAAACAATTAGAATATTTTAGGAAATATCTTGGCCGGGTGTGGTGGCTCATGTCTGTAATTCCAGCACTTTGGGAGGACAAGGCAAGCAAATCACTTGAGGTCAGGAGTTCGAGACCAGCCTAGCTAACATGGAGAAACCTTGTCTCTACAAAAATTAGCTGGGCGTGTTGGTGTTCTCCTGTAGTTCCAGCTACTTGGGAGGCTGAGGTGGGAAAATGGCTTGAACCCAGGAGGCAGAGGTTGGTTGCAGTGAGACAAGATCGTGCCACTGCACTCCACCCTCGGAGACAGAGTGAGAGACTCTGTCTCAAAAGATAAAAAAGAATGTTTTAGGAAACATCTAGAATTTTAGGTTGAATATAATCAAATGTTAATACATATATAACACATGTTCTTAATGAAGGATAAGGATTATTAACTGAAATTAGAGAAACATTCATCAAAGAAGTGAAACTTACTATTTGTATAGAGAATTGGCAGTTTTGGAGGGGAGAATAGCATGAGGAAAAGTGAGAGAATGCAGTGTTTTTGGAGGTGGCAGGTCAGTCTTGCTATAGGTCGTTCTTTCACAAGGATGATTAAGTAATCGACTGGTGAATACTGGGATGAAAGCCTCAGTCTTGGGTATTGGGAAGACTTGGCCTGTCTAAGCTCACGAGTGACACAAAGTAAGGCCTGTGTCTAGGTTCATTATTTTTCTGTATGGATGTTCAGTTGTTTTAGCACTGTTGAAAAGGTGGAATCCTTTCTCCATTTAATTGCCTTTGCTATTCTGTTAAAGATCAGTTGACTGTTTTTGTGCGGGTGTGTTTCTGGGCTTTCTATTCTTTTTGTGTGGGTCTGTGCATGAATTTGCAGTTTATCTGAGAAACCAAACACACAAACACACAGTTTATCTGAGAAACCACACACACACACACACACACAGTTTATTTGAGAAACCACACACACACACACACACACACACACACTGGTAGTACAGTATAGGAAGTCCTCACTTAATGTCATTGATAGGTTCCAGGAAACTTTGACTTTAAGAGAAACATTGTATATATCAAAACCAATTTTATCATAGGCTAATTAATATAAATCAGTTGAGTTACTACGTGATATTTCTGGTCAAGGAAACATCCCCAACCTTCAAAATATAGACCCAAAAACCTTCTAATATTAAACATTGAAACAGATGTCAGCTATACATAAATGTAAGAAAGATTAATAAAAACAAGTATGATAATATCCAATTTTTGGTGAATCCGTGAATGATGGCAGTAGTAGTGGTGGTGGGTTAAATCAAAGAATACAGATTTACAAAACAAAAGTTATGAGCATCTCCTACCATCCTGCCACCACACAATTAAAAAAGCAACAATAACATATAAAAAAGGATTCCCAGCACTGAAGAATTTAATGAATGAAATAAAAATACAGTTGAGATATTCAGCAGTGGATCAGATCAAGCAGAAGAAAGAATTACTAAACTTAAAGATAGGTCTTTTGAAATAACTCAGTCAGACATACATGAATGAATGAATGAATGAAAAAAATAATTAAAAAAGAAAGCCTAAATGGCATCTAGGATACCATCAGGGGAACAAACATTCAAGTATTGTGAATGTCTGGGCCCTCTATTTTGTTCCACTGGTTTTTTGTTTGTTCTTTCACCAATACCACACTGTCTTGATTAGATTATAGTAAGTTGATAATGTCATTCCTCCAACTTTGTTCTTCAGTATTGTATTGACTATTCTGGGCCTTTTGCCTTCCCATATAAACTTTAGAATCAGTTTGTTGGTATCTATTAACATGCTGGGATTTTGTTTGGGAGTATCACATTGAATCTATAGATCAAGTTGGGAAGAATTGCCATCTTAACAATATTGAGTCTTGTCCATGAGCATGGAATATTTCTCCATTTTTTTTTTTAGATCATCAGTTTTGTAGTTTTCCTCATATATATCCTGTTGTACATATTTATTAGATTTACACTTTTTTGATGCTGATGTAAATGAGATTCTTTTTTTTTTTTTTTTTTTTTTTGAGACAGAGTTTCGCTCTTTCGCCCAGGCTGGAGTGCAGTGGCACGGTCTCGGCTCCTGCAACCTCCGCCTCCTGTGTTCAAGCAATTCTGCCTCAGCCTCCCAAGTAGCTGGGAATACAGGTGCCCGCTGCCATGTCTGGCTAATTTTTGTATTTTTAGTAGAAACGGAGTTTCACCATGTGGGCCAGGCTAGTCTTGAACTCCTGACCTCAGGTGATCCACCCGCGTTGGCCTCCCGAAGAGTTGGGATTACAGGCTTGAGCCACCATGCCTGGCCTGTTTGCTGAGTTTTTATCATGAATAGGTATTAGATTTTGTTAAATGCTTTTTTGCATCCGTTGAAATGATCGTAAGTTGATTACATTGATTCATTTTTTTAAAATGACGGATCAGCCTGGCATATTTGGAATAAATCCACTTGGTATATAATTCTTTGTATACATTCTTGGATTTGATTTGATAATGTTTTGTTGAGGATTTTTGTATTCATGTTCATGAGACATATTAGTCTGTAATTTTCCTTTCTTATGATGTCTTTATTTAATTTTGGTATTGGGGAAGTGCTGGCCTCAAAGATTGAGTTAAGAAGTATCCCCACTGTTTGTTTTCTGGAAGAGATGGTAGAATACTAGTATCGTTTTGTCCGTAAATGTTTGCCAGAATTCACCAGTGTGAAACCCTCATCCTGATGTTTTCTATTCTGGGAAGTTATTAATGATTCAATTTATTTAATACATGTAAGCCTGTTCACATCAGTCATTTCTCCATGACTGAGTTTTGGTGGTTTGTGTCTTTCAAGAAATTGTTCATTTTATCATCTGAATGATCAAATGTGTGAGCATAGAGTTGTTTGTAGTATTCCTTTATTATCCTTTTAATATCCATGAGATCAAGTGATGATTCTCTTTCATGATATTAGTAATTTTGTCTTTTCTCCTTTTTTCTTGTTTGGCTAGAGATTTATTTTTATATATTTTTGAATTCTTCCTCCCCCACACAAAAAAGCAATATGTGAGAAAGAAATAGATTAGCACTAGCAGTAAGTTTCAAAATGACCTTACCAAACATTCACATAATGCAACTGGATTCATTATCCCTGCCTCTCTGTACTCAACTTGAGAAACCAGAATGATAAAAAATGACATGACTATTTACTGTGAATGTGATACAGTAATCATGTCTCTGAAGTTCAAGTATGATTAATCTTGATTACATACGGTTATACATTCTGCTTGAATTAAAGGAAAAATACCAGTTCTAGAATCCTCTGACATTTGTTTATTCTTCCCACAACTTACTTTACTAAAATTCTAATCATCTTTGAAAGATTTGGCTTATCAGGCTTGTGCTGGCTTTTAGCACCAAGAGTGTCATGTTTGAGAGGTGTGGCTATCTATGGAAACAAAGATGAAATTACTCAAACCTATACTATTTTGATGAGTCGCTCATTTCAAGGTATTAATAAGTAAGTATTCCTGTTTTTGGAATGCATAAATTGTGAAGAGAAAAGAATGGAGAAAGGTGCCAGAGAACTGGTTTGGGATAATTTATTTAGAGGGTTTTTTGTTTTTGTTTTGTGAAAAGGTATAGCTTGTATGGTTGAAAGAGTGCTTGTTTTTTGTTTTTTTTTTTAAGTCTCTGCAGTGAAGTTGAGGATGACTTGCTCACTAATTTCATAAGTTTAACAAAATTAAAAGTTTTGTTTGACTACATTATTCTTTGTATTTAGGTACCTAGTAGAACTGGGTTGTATCAAGCCGCTCTGTGATCTCCTCACGGTCATGGACTCTAAGATTGTACAGGTTGCCCTAAATGGCTTGGAAAATATCCTGAGGCTTGGAGAACAGGAAGCCAAAAGGAATGGCACTGGCATTAACCCTTACTGTGCTTTGATTGAAGAAGCTTATGGTAAGATGCTTTGGTTGAAGAAGTTTATGGCCAAGAATGAATTGGGTCATAGATAGAGTTCAGTAAAAACAATACTACTACTGCTAGGCACTGGATGAAAAGAGGACTGTTAGGAAATTGCTGCTTCTGCAGACTGGATATTACTTGCATATGTATTTAAGATGTCAGTTTATAATACTAGCTTTCAGATGTAATCCCAGCAGTCATTTCTGTGCTATTATAAAATACTTATGAGATACAAATAATCTTTCTTTACATCAAGAACAGAGATATATGACAAAATATAGTTTAGGAATATATAGTTATGGAATTTCCAATATTTATTGAAGTTTTCAATAAAGATTTTCCTTTATTCTTCATTTTAGGTCTGGATAAAATTGAGTTCTTACAGAGTCATGAAAACCAGGAGATCTACCAAAAGGCCTTTGATCTTATTGAGCATTACTTCGGGACCGAAGATGAAGACAGCAGCATTGCACCCCAGGTTGACCTTAACCAGCAGCAGTACATCTTCCAACAGTGTGAGGCTCCTATGGAAGGTTTCCAGCTTTGAAGCAATACTCTGCTTTCACGTACCTGTGTCAGACCAGGCTACCCAGTCGAGTCCTCTTGTGGAGCCCACAGTCCTCATGGAGCTAACTTCTCAAATGTTTTCCATAATACTGTTTGCGCTCATTTGCTTGCCTTGCGCACCTGCTCTCTTACACACATCTGGAAAACCTCCGGCTCTCTGTGGTGGAATACCCTTCTAATAAAAGGGTAACCAGAACGGCCCACTCTCTTTTACGGAAAAATCCCTAGGCTTTGGAGATCCGCACTTACATTAGAGTTATGGGAATATACACATATTAATGTGGCTCCCTTTTTCTTGTGGGGGAATAAAAGAGGACTCCTCCTCATTCCCTTTAACATGGGGGAAAAAACTGACATTAAAAGATGAGACTAAATCTTTATCTTGAATTTTACACAACTACTTACGACAAGGGAGATGTTTAGACCTGTTGTGTATACTTCAGAGTACTTTTCATGAGTTCTTCCACAGTGAACCCTTGGATTACCTGGTGGCTTTTTCTAGCCAGATTTGCATTAATCCTTACTGAGATTGGATGGTTTTCTTTCCTCTATTGGCGCCATTCTTCAGATATTAAAGTTAAACCATCCACTCCCTCACCTTCAGCCTTCAGTGAATGTGCTTTCTAGTTGTCAGGAATGCTGAAGAATTAACACTTTGACTCCTAAATGTGATACTGGTTTGTAGATTCCCTTAGAGCAGAAAGGAGAGGGGCACATATTAATTTGTATCGCTTTTGCTTCTCTTTGGTCTTTTGTGTCTTAGAATTTGGAAGTGGTTCATTTCTGTTGCTGGTATGAGGATTTCGAATACTTAGTAATCGAAAACCATATCCTGTAATTTAATAAAAAAAACTAAGGACGAAAAAACCCTCCAATTTTCCCAAATGCAATCAGTGTAACTAGGGGCTGTGTTTCTGCATTAAAATAAATGTTTCAGGCTTTGTGGTCCTGATCAAGGTCCTCATTAAAAAATTGGAGTTCACCCTAGGTGCTTTTCCCCTCTGTGACTGGCAGATAACACATACTTTTGAAAGTAACTTTGGGATTTTTTTCTTAGGTGCAGCTCGATTCTAATCTTTTCATGCTGCACACGATTCCTTTAATGTAGCATCCTTATCTGAAAGAAATAACCATCTTCTCAACATGACCTGCTTAACCCAAATAAGAACAGTGATCTTATAACCTCATTGTTTCCTAATCATTTTATTTCATCTCCTGCTAGTACTGTGCCGCTTCCCCCTCCCCCCACACAAAATAAAAACAGTATCTGCCTTCTGGCTCATTTAATGATGACTGCAATCTGTACCTGCAAATGGCGCTTCCAGTACTGTGTTCAGTGATCCACATTTGTGCTTGGACTGGAATGAAAAAATACGCTTAATTGCCAAGACAACTGCAAATGAGTTCAATACGACTTCTCGGTGCTAGTTGGCCATCTTGACTCAATGTTGGGATACACTACCAGAGAAGATTTTTTTGTTGATGTGCTGTTCAAAGTGAATTCTGAAGGAAAAGGTTGCTCACCTCTGTTTCAGAGCATACCCTTTTAAACCTTTTTAGACTTGTCCTCTTCTAGAATTCATTATAACCCCAAAGTGTAAAAACTATTTGGAAGTTGCCCCTGACAAGCTATTATACATCTCTGGTAAATCCTGCTGAATGTAAGGGATATTCAGAGCTTTTCATACCTCATCATGATGTTATTTAAGCAGCCAACTTATGTGACCTGATTTAAACTTTTAAAAAATCCACTTCATTCAAACTAGAAAGAGTCAAAGACAAAGGACATTTATCAGCCAAGAGTGTGACGCATTCTTCGCATCTAGTCTGTAGTAGTGTCTGTGCTCTGGGATGGATACCGTCTGATGTCTGTTTGTTATTGATGGCGCAGCCACTGCAAAACTAGTCAACTCCCATCTATAACTGTTACTTTTTCTAGTGCTGCTTTGTGCTGAGAGAACATTTTAGTTTACTGCACTTGACCTGTAAAAGACTGATTCTTTGTAATTTTAGGGATAAATTAGGTGGTTAATTTAAAGAAGAAATTTCAATGTTGCCTTTACATCACATTAAAATATAACTTCTTTCAGAAGGATAATAGAAGCACTGATTCATAGTAAAAATCTTGTTTTTAGCTTTGACTTTTTTGTGGCTGTTTTTTAAAATTGTAAATTACTAGTAACATGTCATTTCTATAGGATGTTTTAAATTATGTACCTTCCATTGGATAGTTAAAATAATTTCATTTTATAAGCCAATTTGAGTGGGAAAGATACAAAGCACACAGTTGTCTCCCCACATTAGGAAGAGTAGTGTGCATTCAGACATTCGGAATTTTTGCTAGTAGTTGGAGATGTTTCAGTGAGTGAATTAAAACAAAGTCTATTTAACTGACGTGATCTATTTTGTGTCTAAAACAGAGGAATTTATCTTGTCCTAGAAGTTCATGAACTATAAGATCTAAGTTTTTTTTTCTTTTTTAACAATAAAATGATTTTTTCTTAAAGTATCAAAGTTGGAATTGGCTAAAAGTGAAGTAGCATAACTCAGATATGTTGGAACTTGGTACTGAAGCAGGCTTTTTGGTAACAGAAATGACATTTTAAGGGGTAACTGTATATCCTGTTTTTAGTTCTTTGCCTCTCAGATTCTGTTAACTTAGTTTAAATTCACTGAATACCCTACCACTAAGGCGTTGCTCATTACAAAAGCATGTTAATTTCAATACAGGAAAACTCTTTTGTAGTTTTATATATGGATTGGGGAAAGTGACTTTGTTTTACTTTTCCTTTTTATTCCCCTCCATCCTCCAAACTTCCAATCTATATTATTTGTAATGAGAACTTTGGTGGGGGAAAAAAAGCATTAAGAGAATTTTGGATGTAAAGGCATCTGGTATCTGATGGACCAGCAGGTAGATGTGGTTGGATTGAGAAATTTTGGGTAAGGTAGATGATAGAAGAAAGAGATTTTAGGAGACACAGTTCTCTGTGGAACACTTTCTTTCATGTTCCTGTAACTAATTGATCAAGACCCTTTTAAACGCTTATCTTTGTCAGTTCCGCTTTTGAAAAAACTATTGCCCTAGGATTGTTTCTTCCATATGACAGATGAAGGTTATTGGCTCTGAGTCATTTTTGGCATTATCGTCACAGATAAAAAGATTGGCAATTAATCTCATAAAAAATCTGAATTATTCCAGATTGCTGCCGATTTTTGCCTAAGAAACAATATGTAAGTATATTTTATAAACCAAACTTTGTCAACCAATTCTATTGTACGTCTACCCACAGGCAACTTTGAATTTACTTCTCTAGTGCTAAATAAACATTTCAGCGATTTAATCCCCCAACTTGGGGGATGCATTATGAAAAGGTTTTCCTGGAGTCAAGGGGTTTTTCTTTCTCGCTAGTTTTGTGAAAATTTTTATATCAATAGGCAAATCATTATAACTTTTTAGGGGTTGATGGTTTTTAAGTATATTGGAAATTGTGGTGTCTAAGGATGATGTTCAGTGAAGAAAAGGGATCCACTTTTAGAAACCAGCATTGTTTGCTTTCAACTTTCATACTGTATGCTAACTCCTACGTTCCAAAATGTGCTCATTTGCAGACACAGGTATGCCTATATACATGGAAGTCTCAAATCTGAATTTTTATCCATCTCAATATGACCATTTCTCTCTGTTGTGAGCTGAACAGATTAAGTATATATCTGCCAGGTTGGGAAATATTTTGGTCTATCTTTTCCTGTCATCAGAACTTAATTTAAAAAAATTATCAAAGGTCAGATGTGACTACTACAGTAAGTTGGCTATCATAAAGAATATTCCATAAAATGTTTTATCTGCCATACAAAATTACTGGGTTTATGGCCGGATGTGGTGGCTCATGCCTGTAATCCCAGCAGTTCAGGATTACAGGTTATATACAGGTTATAACAATGGATACCAGGACATCAGAATATCTGATAAAGCAAATATTTATATGCTAATTTAAAATATCAAATTGCTACTGGACATAAAATACATCTGGAAGCTTGGGGTAAGAAGAAAGAAAAGAAGTGTTCCGTTCTGTTTTCAACTAAGGGTAAACGAAGTCCCAGAGTGTTTTCCCTGTAGGTCAAATTAAGGTAACATGTCTTTATTTGATCATCTATTGTACACCAGATACCTGGCTAAGGGCTTTCCTTTTTTCTCATGTAGTCTTCCAAATGTTCTTTGATAATTGTCACTATATTATAGATGACAAAGTGAAGACTTACGAGAAATTACTTTGCCCCAAGGTTACAACACTTAGATGGCTGTCCAAGGGCGGGGAAGAGCCCTGCAAATTCTGTGTCTTGAAGAAAGCAGTGGCCACGCAGTAGTTCCGTGCCCAGGATCTCCCAGAACTAGACTTGGCAACCACAGCTGGGCCAGCCTTTTTTGTTAGACCATTCTTCCTGACTCCTGCTTACCATCAGCACCCTTAAAATGACGAAATCAGGCTTAAGTTGCTTTTAGGTTACACAGACTGGAGTGTAGGCCCTCTCAGGCCAAACATCTTTCCTCTTCTGTGGTGCTAAAATTCTGTATGACCAGACAAGTATGGTAATAGGTTTTTTTTTTTTTTTTTTTTGTGCAAATGATTTTGTGTTTAGTAAAATAATGGCTAAACACATGGATCCATTCAAACGCACAAATGTGGAAAGTATTGACACGGAAGGAAAGGCTTTGAAGAATTACTGCCTCAGGAAGCAGTGCCATGGATGCGAATTTAACACAGTCTACTTCTTCCTAAAGGAATATCATCCCAAGGAATGTCAAAAATTAAAATCACCTTTTAATGTACTGGTTGTTGAGTGTTTCTGCTTTACCTCAAGTCATTCTGACCACTCTACATCCTGCTTCAAAGTGTTCTGACACTTAGATTTGGAATGGCTCTAATGATTCTTTGTACTTGAATGTGGTCTGTCAGGCCATGGGTGAGTGCCTTGCACATAGTAGACATTCAATAAATACTAAATGAAGGAATATGCATGCATCTTTGTGATGTTAGTAAAGGGTGCTTGATAAAAGAAAATTCAAAGGAATTCCCTTATGCTGTTACTTGAAACCAGGATCAACATCTTAAGCAAATGTCTCAACGTGTTTTATATGCAGTTACTTTTCAGAAGACATGATTTGACCTGAAGTTTACAAAATCAAACATTGTCATAGCAGAGGTCTGGTATTTAAAAACAAACAAAGTGTCTTAGAAAAGCTAGTGGCCGGGTGCGGTGGCTCATGCCTGTAATCCCAGCACTTTGGGAGGCCGAGGCAGGTGGATCACGAGGTCAGGAGATCGAGACCATCCTGGCTAATATGGTGAAACCTCGTCTCTACTAAAAGTACAAAAAACTAGCCGGGTGTGGTGGCGGGCGCCTGTAGTCCCAGCTACTTGGGAGGCTGAGGCAGGAGAATGGTGTGAACCCAGGAGGCAGAGCTTGCAGTGGGTGGAGATTGCGCCACTGCACTCCAGCCTGGGTGACAGTGCAAGACTCCATCTCAAAAAAAAAAAAAAAAAAAAAAGCTGATGGGTATATTTTACAGTAAAGAAAAAAATTTATTAATATCCAACCGACGTGGAAGCTGCTGGTTGCCTTAGGCTATTACACAGGGATTTTTCCTTTTTACATATTGTATGTATTGCATAAGTGACAGATGAGTAGAAACAAAGATGATTTATTTCTTCACTCCATGACTGCTTCTCTTCTATTTTGTTGAAGAGATTCCACTGACCAAGTATTTTATTCTGAAAACAAAGAACATTTGAGGCAAAACATAGCCTTAGTTCCTGCAGACTACATTGTTTTATAAATCGTACAAAATTACTGGGTTTATGTCCAGACGTGGTGGCTCATGCCTGTAATCCCAGCACTTTGGGAAGCCAAGGCAGGCAAATCACTTGAGGTCAGGAGTTCGAGGCCAGCCTGGCAAACATGGCGACACCCTGTCTACTAAAAAAAAAAAAAAAAAAAAAAAAATTAGCCAGCCATCGTACCACAAGCTTGCAATCCCAGCTACTCAAGAAGTCGAGGCAGGAGAATCGCTTGAATCCGGGAGGTGGAGGTTGCAGTGAGCCAAGATTGCACCACTGCACTCCAACCTGGCTGACAGAGCAAGACTCCATCTCAAAAAAAAAAAAAAAAAAAAAAAAAAAAATCACTGGGTTTACAAGTTTATTAAAGATAGCTTGAATGATTGTTGCCCCATTTCACTTGCATTTTGAAGGAGTCATTGTTTTCTCTAATTTTAAATTAATATACAGTCATTTCTGTGTTTTTTTGCAGAAAGTAAAATTACTCATTCTTATTCATATCCACTTAACCTGCAGAAGGCCAATGTAGTCCGCTGGGAGTCCTCAATAAGGATCACTGCTTTACCCATCACTTGGGCTGGGCATTATTAAGATACAGTGATGGGTAAGGAGAAAACAGAAACGCAAAAGACCGTAATGGGTGGTGAGAGAACAGTACCAGGTTTGGGAGAGACCTGCGCAGGCTGAGGTGTAAACTACCAGAGTGTGAAATGGTTGCAAGATTAAGTTACGATTATGAGGAGTGTCCTCTTGGGAAGTCAAAAGTAGTGTCTGCTGGGCACAGCCCCAGTTTACATTTGGAGATCAGCTAACACCTGTGAATTATTTTACTGCCCCCTTTCACTTTTAAAAATGTCCCAGTTTAGATAATGTTACGTGGCCACTCCATATTTATAAAGCCCAACTAGATTTTCATACATTGGCTAATGGTCTTAAGCAACTAGGTATACATAGTTCTATTAATGCTTGATATTGAGACTGGATTTGGTAGTCAAGAATTGCTATGAAGGATGTTGAGACATTCCTTAATGTGGGAATCACTCCCATGCCACGGTTTGGTCCAGCACACATACAAAAAAAAAATTGTTTTTAAATTTAAAAATTGCCCCATTTGTGGCAACACATCTGTTTAGATATTTACAATACTGAGGGGCAAGGGAAACACACCTTTAAACTATATTAAGATAAGAGACTTTCATTTCTTTTTTTTTTTTTTTTTTTTTTTTTTTTTTGAGACGGAGTCTCGCTCTGTCGCCCAGGCCGGACTGCGGACTGCAGTGGCGCAATCTCGGCTCACTGCAAGCTCCGCTTCCCGGGTTCACGCCATTCTCCTGCCTCAGCCTCCCGAGTAGCTGGGACTACAGGCGCCCGCCACCGCGCCCGGCTAATTTTTTGTATTTTTAGTAGAGACGGGGTTTCACCTTGTTAGCCAGGATGGTCTCGATCTCTTGACCTCATGATCCACCCGCCTCGGCCTCCCAAAGTGCTGGGATTACAGGCGTGAGCCACCGCGCCCGGCCTTCATTTCTAAGATGTCTGGGAAATTTAAAGAAATCTAGTTGATTTCTGTAGGGAGGAAACTTCCAAAGCACTTAGATGGTAAAGATTAAGGGCAGCAGAAATAGAAACTGTTAATGAGACCATGTAAGAAATTTTGCTTGGTCAACCCGGGCAATGTAGTGAAACTCTGTCTCTACAAAGGGTTGTTGTTGTTTTTTTTTTTTTTGAGATGAAGTCTCGCTCTTGTCCCTCAGGCTAGAGTGTGATGGCACAATCTCGGCTCACTGCAACCTCCGCCTCCTGGGTTCAAGCGATTCTCCTGCCTCAGCCCCCTGAGTAGCTGGGATTACAGGCGCCTGCCACCACGCCCGGCTAATTTTTGTATTTTTAGTTGAGAAGGGGCTTCACCATGTTGGCCAGGCTGGTCTAGAACTCCTGACCTCAGGTGATCCACCCGCCTCGGCCTCGCAAAGTGCTGGGATTACAGGCGTGAGCCATAGTGCCCAGCCAACAAGGTATTTTAAAAAGTAGCCGGGCATGGTGGCGGGTGCCTGTGGGAGGCTGAGGTGGGAGGATCGCCTGAGCCCTGGCAACGCTGCAGTGAACTGAGATGGCACCACTGCACTCCAGCCTGGGCGACAAGGGCAAAACTCCGTCTCATAAATAAATTAATAAGTAAATAAGAAACCCAAAATGCGTATCTCTTATTCTGCCACTTTGGATTTACCTACATGTATCAGTATTCAGCAAAACTCCGTCTCATAAATGAATAAATAAGGAACCCAAAATGCAAATCTCTGTTCTGCCACTTCGGATTTACCTGTATCAGTATTCCGTGCTCCTGCACCGAAATGTCGCTGATCCTCCCAAGCAAGTAAACTGAAAATCTTAGTTCTAATTTCCTAAGGACTACAATGTTAGGACTACATGTTAATATCAGAACATGAATGAATAAACAATAGAACATAACTAGTTATATTCGCCAGGCGCGGTGGCTCACGCTTGTAATCCCAGCACTTTGGGAGGCCGAGGCGGGCGGATCACCTGAGGTCGGGAGTTCAAGACCAGCCTGGCCAACATGGAGAAACCCTGACTCTACTAAAAATACAAAATTAGCCGGGCATGGTGGCGCATGCCTGTAATCCCAGTTACCCGGGAGGCTGAGGCAGGAGAATCGCTTGAACCAGGGAGATGGAGATTGCAGTGAGCTGAGATCGCGCCACTGCACTCCAGCCTGGGCAACAAGAGCGAAACTCTGTCTCAAAAAAAAAAAAAACTAGTTATATTCATAGCCTTGATTTTGTTTGCATATGTTCCTAATGCTATTTGTAAACAAATCCCAGACATCAAGAAATGGATTTTGTTAATAGGAATTTCTTCAGATTTTAGGAAAATCTGAAGAAAAATAACTTCCGGATCTTCCTATCAACACATCCTTTATTGTGTCCCCCCCTCTCTCTTGCTTGTGATAGCTGTGGTGGGCTAAATATATTCCAGCACTAATACCCTATCCTAGCCTTCATGTCAAGTGTTCACGATTCTTAAATTTTACTCTTCTAGTGCATACAACAGTTACTGGAAAATGCAGATTTAAATTATTTGAAACAATGATTAAATTCTGCTCCTGTGCTCCAAGGGGCTTTTACGTTACCTTTTATTGAGTTAATAAAAATGGAAATAGTTTTCAATTGGTGCAGTTTCTAAACTTCTCAGCAAAAATCACTAATCCAGGCTAATGGGAAGAGAAAAGCAGCAGCAGGGTTTAGTTAGAACTGAACTTTAAGATATGCTGAAGGAAAAAAAATTTCTAAAAGTGTTAACAAGGGGAGGTCCATGGAGACCTTAATAGCTAAAAACCGTTGTAATTTAATGTATAGAAATAAATACTCTAAACCATTTTAGAGTCTTCATTCTCAGGACTACCTCACTGTGTTTATACAGTTAATATGCACTAGCTAAGACTAAAGTATTTGTCCAATTCTTATTTAAATTTCCCCCTAGACTGGTAGGGTCTTAAAGTAATGATATTTTAACTACAGTCGGTTTATTACAGGTGACCTAACGGTGCCTGTTGTGCCTTATAAAGGCCAAGACTTTCAATTATCCCTAATAAGTATACAATAGGATACCCATTGTTTCCAAGTGCTTTTAAATTCTTGACGCTGATGAGACATTTGCATCGTGACCAGCCACCAGTAAAATCTTTTAAGCCACGTTTTTTCTGCTTTTCTTGGGCACTCTTTTTTTTTTTTTTTTTGAGACGGAGTCTCACTGTTGCCCAGGCTGGAGTGCACTGGTGGAATCTCAGCTTACTGCACCCTCCACCTCCTGGTTCATGCCATTCTCCCACCTCAGCCTCCTGAGTAGCTGGGACTACAGGCGTGCGCCATCACGCGCAGCTAATTTTTGTATTTTTAGCAGTATTGGTTGCGCCATGTTGGTCAGGCTGGTCTCGGACACCC
This sequence comes from Homo sapiens, assembly GCF_000001405.40. Classification (NCBI taxonomy): domain Eukaryota; kingdom Metazoa; phylum Chordata; class Mammalia; order Primates; family Hominidae; genus Homo; species Homo sapiens. The sequence continues at coordinate 122,417,162 of NC_000003.12, read as the reverse complement.
GACCTAAAGTGTCCCGCCCGACTGGGCCTCCCAAAGTGCTGGGATTACAGGCGTGAGTGCTCGGCCTCGGGCACTCTTTACTGAGCAACAACAGGTTGGAGAAACTAGTAGGGCTTCCAGTTTTTTGGTAAACCTATTGTTTAAAAGTCTGCCTGGTCATCAGATTCCAGTCGTCTTGTTTCTGCCTCAGATGATAAAACTCTAAAATTATAGGATGTGAGATCTGGAAAATGTTTGAAAACACTAAAGGGGCACAGTAATTATGTCTTTCGTTGCAACTTCAATAGCATGTATATTTTACACACTTTCATGACCATTAATCATCTCCTAAAACTGGGGAAAGCTCTCTAAAACCTCCTTAAGAGTAACCTTATCCGTTACCCTATTCCACCAACCTCTTTGTCCTTTTCTGTTTCAAGCAACTTTGAGATACCGACTTCTCTATGGAAGCTTAAGCCGTAGATGCTAAAACAAACGTTTGCTCGTTACTCCCAGCAGAGCACCGGCTTTTAAAGGACCTCAACAGACACGTTTCTTAACCTTTACGAAACTTTTCCAGGGGAAACTTAAACCAGGAATTTTACAATCTGGCATAAATTCTGTCACCCGCCCCGTGACTCCATCGCCACACATGCCACCTGGCTCCACACCACAACAAACAGGAGGGAGCGGAACCCATGCAAAGCAGGAGCTTCCCCCGTTTCCGGCGTCTGGGTGGATCTACGTTAGCTGCCGTTTAGGCAGCTTACGCGTCAGGTGTGGGCCTAAGCCTGCAGCTAAGGTAGGCATCCGCAAATCTAGTCCTTCTCTGTGACAATTTCCAAAAAGAAATGGTTTTTGAAACAACGATCCACTGCTTCCCACACTATCCAGTTAGGTCCGGGACAGACCCTACCCAGCTAATGCACTCACCCAAGAAGGCAGTCGCTTTCGCATTTGAAGGGCGGGGCGAAAAAGACCGGAAATGAACATTGGCGACTTTTTTGCGCAGGCGCAGATGGCCGTCTCCCATTGGTCATCTCGGCTCGGTAGTGGTAGGAGGGACTTCCTTTGCACATGCGCCAGGCTGCTTTTCCGGCTTTGTTGGAGATTGACGCGGCAGTGCACACCTGCTGGTACGAGCAAAAGTAGCCGACAGGCCAGAGTTTCCAGTTTCGGTGGCTTCGTAGGCTTTTAGCTTCTGAAATCCGCTAAAAGCGGCGGTTCATTCATCTTCAAGTACCTAGCCTGACTGGTAGGGCTGCTCAGCATTCCGAAACATTTCGACCTGGGGAGGGGGGCGGCGGTGAAAGAATACTTTCTGTAGAGAGTGCCCCTCGCGTCGCCCCTGCTTTGAAGGCTTTATGTATTAACGGAATGCCGAACATTTGTGTCCTACTTGCTGACAGCGCACAGGATCCTTCTAACAGTATTTCTCAAGTACTTAACAAAAAGATGAAAACTTGAAGTCCAAGCCGTGCTGCTGATTCCGTCTCACAGTTTAAAGACTGTCCAGAAACTTTAAGCTTTCAAAACTGTACATTTTAAAATCCTGTGCGTTTATCTTCATTTTGCTGGGCAGAAAGCCAAAGTACTGGACTGCCTGGTTCAGGGCTGAACGCCTAGTACACCTGCTAACTTGGAGCTTCAGAGCCATGGCAACCAAGGAGTCAAGAGACGCCAAAGCACAGTTGGCCCTCTCCTCATCGGCCAATCAGAGCAAGGAAGTGCCTGAAAACCCAAACTATGCTCTCAAATGTACTCTTGTGGGACACACGGAAGCAGTGTCATCAGTTAAGTTTAGTCCTAATGGAGAATGGCTAGCAAGTTCTTCTGCTGATAGGCTAATCATAATTTGGGGAGCATATGATGGAAAATATGAGAAAACACTCTATGGTCATAATTTGGAAATATCGGATGTTGCCTGGTCATCAGATTCCAGTCGTCTTGTTTCTGCCTCAGATGATAAAACTCTAAAATTATGGGATGTGAGATCTGGAAAATGTTTGAAAACACTGAAGGGGCACAGTAATTATGTCTTTTGTTGTAACTTCAATCCGCCATCCAACCTTATAATCTCGGGATCTTTTGATGAGACTGTAAAAATATGGGAGGTGAAAACAGGAAAGTGTCTCAAGACTTTGTCTGCTCATTCTGACCCAGTTTCTGCTGTTCATTTTAATTGTAGTGGGTCCTTGATAGTGTCAGGTAGCTATGATGGCCTCTGTAGAATCTGGGATGCTGCATCAGGTCAGTGTTTAAAAACGCTCGTTGATGACGATAACCCTCCTGTCTCTTTTGTAAAATTTTCTCCAAATGGTAAATACATTCTCACTGCAACTTTGGACAACACTCTTAAACTATGGGATTATAGCAGAGGCAGGTGCCTGAAAACATACACTGGTCATAAGAATGAGAAATATTGCATATTTGCCAATTTTTCAGTTACTGGTGGAAAGTGGATTGTGTCTGGTTCCGAGGATAACCTGGTTTACATTTGGAACCTTCAGACTAAAGAGATTGTGCAGAAATTACAAGGCCATACAGATGTTGTGATCTCAGCAGCTTGTCATCCTACAGAAAACCTCATCGCATCAGCAGCATTAGAAAATGACAAAACAATTAAACTGTGGATGAGTAACCACTAATCCCTTTGAAAATCAAGTAGTAGAGCCAAGTTGGCCAAAAAACTTGGATATTTAAAAAGACGGTTTCTTTTAATTTTGGCAGTTTGGTATTTTAAAAATTGTCTATTGTTAAATTTTGAGATTCATACACTACATTTACAAAATGAGATAGTTGAAAAAGCACATCTAGAATTCAGCTTCTGACTACCAATCTTTTTTGAGCAACTTTTTGTAATTTTTATGGATTTATGTCACTTTTATTACAGGGATATATTGCATAGTGGTGAAATCTGGGCTTAGTATACCCTCACCCAAATAGTATACATTGTACCTAGTAAATACTTTCCCATCTCTCACCCCACTCCCACCTTTGAAGGCTCTAGTGTCTATGATTCTGCTCTCCACGTCCAGGTGTACACATTGTTTATCTCCCACTTACGAGAACATGTGGTTTTTGACTTTCTGTATCATTACTTCACTTAATGGCCTCCAGGTCCATCCATGTTGTTGCAAAAGATAAGATTTCATTATTTTTTTTTGGCTGAGTAGTATTCTGTGGTGTGTATGTGTGTGTGTGTATGCATATATGTGTATGTGTATGTATATAAGTATATACACCACATTATCCAGTCATCTGGATATGTATATAAGTATATACACCACATTTTCTTTATCCAGTCATCTCTTGATGGACCCTTAGGTTGGTTCCATAACTTTGCTATTACGAATAGTGCTGCGATAAACAGCACTATTATGAATAGTGCTGCGATAAACAGTGCAGGTGATTTTAAAATATAATTTCCTTTGGGTAGATACCTACTAGTGGGATTGCTGGATCGAATGGTAGTTTTTAGTTGGAAAATCTCCATACTGTTTTCCAGAGGTTGTAAAATGTACATTCCTCCCCACAGTGTATAAGCTGTGCCTTTACTCTGCATCTTTGCCATGATTCTTTTTGAGACAGAGTCTCTGGTGCCCAGGCTGGAGTGCAGTGGCACAATCTTGGCTCACTGCAACCTCTGCCTCCCGGGTTCAAGCAGTTCTCATGTCTCAACATCCCAGGTAGCTAGGATTACAGGCGTGCCACCATGCCTGGCTAATGTTTCTATTTTTAGTAGAGACAGGGTTTCACCATGTTCGAGGCTGGTCTTGAACTCCTGGCCTCAAGTGATCCACCTGCCTCGGCCTCCCAAAGTGCTGGGATTACAGGCATGAGCCACTGTACCCAGCCATTTTTTGACTTTTTAATAATAGCCATTCTAACTGGTTTAAGAGAGTATCTCATTGTGGTTATATTTTGTATTCCTCTGATGATTAGTGATGTTGAGCATTTTTTTGTGTGTGTTTGTTGGCCACTTGTATGTCTTCTTTGAAAACTGACTTCTAATCTTGAGGCCTATTAATAATTTCATTTGTCTGTCACTGGACAATTTCTCATTCCTCTCAGTGACTATCCTAGAGGATCAGTGTATTTGAGAAATATTTAGAAGTAAAGTTGACAGGACAGGATGATTGATTAAAAGAGGGGAGCAAGGGAATTTGAAATAATTCCAGGGTTTCTGGTTTGGGAGATCAGATGAACAAGTGCATAAGCCTGGGATGCTGGTGGAGGACTGGAGAGACATGGCAGATGCTACCTGCACACTTTTGGTAATATTCTGTGTGATGGGATATGAAATGGTCCATAGAAAAAAACCGGAAAAATACGCCAAGGTTAGGTTCATTCTAAGAGTCTAAAAATTTCAAAAACCAAAACAACATTATAAATGGTGTTTCTCAAGGACCTTTCACTACCTTTTTAGATTGTGCTTGTGATTTTCAGGCAAGCTAAATGTCTGATGAAGACTGCTCTTCTTTTGTTCTGTGTCTGACCTACTAATTCCTGCCCATGCTTCAAACTCAGTTCAGAAATCACTGAAGGAACCATCCACTGCCGGCCTGCCTGCAACCACAGCTGACAGCTGAGTTAGTTAGGTTTTCCTGTCCCTATTATTTACCAGTTTGTACTGAAATGCTTTCATGGGCTGTGCTTCCAGATTATGAGTTCTGTGGAATCAGGAAGTATGTCTCTGTATTCTTGTATTCTTTGGCTTTTTTGTGTAGTAAAGGGACTCAAGTAATGTTTGACAGTGAAGGATACAACTTCATTCCTTGCCTGCTTTGATAAATTTTAGTAATAAATTCCCAAAACTATCATGTTGATTAAAAATAAAAAGTAACCGTAACCTCACACATTAACTTTATTCAAACAAACAGCACTTACAGGAAATGTAAAGTAGAAAAAGATTTCTGCCCACTTTACCTACGGAGACATGATAAACACGCAAAAAAAACCTAGAAATTAAGCAAAAAATAGCACAATAATTTAACTGAAAGCAACAAGGGCAAAACTGTCTCCTTTTGTAGTTTGTGGTACCTTATAGTAGTGCTCATTCAGTTTCGTTTGCTTGATAAATCTGAGGACTATGAGATATCAGAGTTACTAGTAGGGTAGGAGTGCTGTAAGGGTACTGGGAGAAGTAGGATTAGTTAGGGGCAGATCTTGAATTCTGGCCAAGAAACTGATATTTAACCCATAAAGAGATAGTCACTATATGTTATCAAATAGGAGAATAACACAAATGAGAAATGACTGTTAATTCCTGATGCATAATAACAGTTGTGAGCTTTAGTTTAATGTAATATTTGTAATAAAAACGTTTGGCCAGGCACCATGGCTCATGCCTGTAATCCCAGCACTTTGGGAGGCCGAGGGAGGCTGATCACCTGAGGTCAGGAGTTTGAGACCAGCCTGGCCAACATGGTGAAACCCCCGTCTTTATGAAAAATACAAAAATTAGCCAGGTGTGGTGGTGCACACCTATAATGCCAGTTACTGAGGAGGCTGAGGCACGAGAATTGCTTGAACCCGGGAGACGGAGGTTGCAGTGAGCTGAGATCATGCCCTGCACTCTAGCCTGGGCGACAGTGCAAGACTGTCTCAAAAAAAAAAAAAAGGTTTCATTAAATTTAAGCTCATAAATGTTACTACATTTATAATGTAAATCTCCAAGATACAACACATTTTTGTTGTATTGCTCTATGAAGAGGATTATTTTTAAAAGAAATTCCACATTAAAATTTATCCACATTTAAAACATTGGTGTAGGTGTCCCAAAATAAGAAAAACTAATCTTCTAAAATGTACAAGAAACTATGCTTTTTGAAAATAAATTTGCAAGTGATAACTTGATACCTACAAAGAAGCTAAGGCCAAATTAAAGTATATAGACAGACATCATAAACATCCTCAGATAGATTATCAAGCTATAGGTAGTATGTTACATTTTACTGGGTATTTTATTTGGGAAGAAAGTGCCCAAACAGCTGCATGTATTTTTAATCTCTCTTATAACTCTCTGAGAACCAGCATGTTGGCATGGCTGTATACAGTAGTCACCCCTTACCCTCTGGGGATATATTCCAAGACCCCCCAGTAGATGCCTGAAACTGTGGATAGTACCCAACCCTGCATATACTATGTTTTTCGTATACATACATACCTATGATACCGTTTATTTTATAAATTAGGCACAGCACAATGCACTTTGAGGCAATTATTAAATAAGAGTTACCTGAACACTAGCACTGATTCCACGACAGCTGATCTCGTAACAGAGACGGCTAGCACATACAGTGTGAATACACCAGAGAGAGGGATGATTCACATCCCAGGTGGATGGAACAGATTGGCAAGAGATTTCATCATGCTACACTGAATGGTATGTAATCTATAACTTATGCATTGTTATAGGAATTTTCCATTTAATATTTTCAGACCTCAGGTAACTGAAACCACAGAAAACAAAGCCGTGGATAAGAAGGGACTACTATAATGGCTTGTCATCCATGAATAATTAAGAAGCATGTGAGAATCAATGTTTAAAATAGAAACCTGTATTCATACCTAAATATGAGACAACTCGATATCCCAAGGTCAAACTGTAAATGAGATATATATGAGGTGCAAATACTTCTAACAGTAATAATACATGAGATTTTTATAATTGAGAAATTTAGTTTCTCAGGTGGTAAGAAAACAGCCAGTTGAGAATTCTAAGGCATGAAGCTAAGAGGTGACTTGTGTTGACCCCAAGCAACTCCATGACGCTGGGATTTCTAAGTCCTTAGAAATTCCTGGCTGGACCTTGTCAGAATGTTTAAAAAACTATTCTCCTAAAAGCCTCCATCTGCCAGCATGTTCAAAGATTATAGAATGTGGTCTGGCTGCTTCTCAGCGCTCGCTCTATTAGGGGGCAGCCTCCCCACCAGTACACCAGGACATTTGAGAAGGCTGGCCCTCCAAGCTGCACCTGGGCCATATACTCAACTGGCCTTCCTTATCTCCTCAAAATGAGTTCGCCTGTGGAGAGGTTACTTTGATAATGGGAAGAGAAGTAAGATATGGTACCTGCTTCTCTGAAGAGTTGGTATTCAAGTTGAAATAAATTGTTTCATTTTTCTCCAAAAGGCTGAGAGGCTACACTTGACTTGGATCAAAACAATAAAACACAGTCATTATTTAAGAAAATTTATTTCTACTTCTACAGCAGAAATACGGAAATGGTACAGGTTTGGGCAAATCATACTTTATGAAATGGATCCTCATACCACATCCTTTTTAATACAGGCACGTTATAACATAATTCCTGGATTTTCAAAATCCAGCCAACACGGATACCTCTGCTACTCTGTTTTGGCCTTCATAGCTGCTTCCTCTTTCAGACGAGCTTTCTTTTCTAAGTTCAAGCTTGTTAAAGTCTCGTGTCTTTGGGCAGCCTAAAGCAAAACAGATTTGAACAGGTGATTTGTATGCTGGTCAGGGGAGGGTGTCTTTACCTTGCACTGATGACAGCAGGTTAACAGAGGCATGGAGGCATGGAGTCCTCTGCTGCTTGCACACTGAGCACGGCAGTTTCCTCTATGTGCTTCAACTTCCTCGTACGCTTCCAAGAACAGCAGCTCATCCACTCAAGCATAAGTAAGAAGTGCCACACCTCTCCTTTTTCTTCCCTTCTGGCCCCTTTCTTTCAGTCTTTATCCTCTCCTTTTCTCTTATACTTTCTTCTCATTCCACCCCACTTCTCTTTTATACTAAATACCTTCTCATTGCCATTTCTATCCCGTTTTTCTTCTTTCACTTTTCTCTGTTGCTGCCATTTCTCCTTCCCCAACTTATCTGCATACTCAGATCCTTCTAGTTCCTCACTTCTCTTTTACCAAAAACATTCAGCTTTGGGAATCCCAGACTTTACCCAAATACTACCATTGATGATTTCCACGAGTATCTGTACTACAATTCCAACCTTTGAGTGGGGGAGGCAACCGTCCTCTTCCCTTGTTTCCCTCCATGTAAACGGTCAGATTTCTATGAAGCTTACATACAGGCCAGTTTCAACACTTTTATACCAAATAGTGAAACTAGCACCCTAAGCTGATATTTCCTTCTATCTGTGTAATTTCATATGTAAAAGAATTGGGTATGTGGCGGGGGGTGGGGGAGCGGGGGGAGAAAGGGAAGTTGATGGTGAGAGCAAAATATACAATGGCTAATTTTTCTCTTCCAAATCACATTGAGTTCAAAAGTTCTCCATTCCAGTAGTATTTATGGAAACAGAAATTCCATAAAACTAAAATGTTACAATTTTATGGTAAAGAACAGGAGAAGAACTCTCTAAAATACACAGCATATACCCCTGGATGATGCTAGAAGAGATTCCAGGTGAATAATTTGCTTCTGGAGTATTTAAACTCAGCTAGTACAATCGAGTATACAAAAGCAATGCAAATTTCTCAGAATCCTAGAAGCTCACAGTCCTGTCCACATGTTTCTGCTGGTTTTAATCTGAGAACTATGCATGAGAGGTCAAAGAGGGAGACAAGAAAAAATGAAGTGGGGTGGGAACAGAGTTTTCAAGAGAACTTCACCCAGCTCAGCACATTTGCCCCTTCGTACTCCCATGAGGTCAGCCTAAAATGGTCAGTATTTCCATTTAACTGCAAGAATGAAGACAGCCAAAAGTACATTTCCTTTTACTCTGGAATTACTGAGGATAAGAAAGTCAGTTAAGAGTGCGTGTATAGAAGGACCTTTTTAGTATCTTAAAGTAGTTGTAAGACATCACTTTCCACATGGAAGCTGTGATATATAGAATTATACATGGTATTAAAAGAAGAATTTGACCAAAGCTGCTGAATATAAAAATAACTATGGCTTAATAGCAAGATAGTATAGTATGAGGTTTGGTAACCTGCAAACTTGGGTCTAGATTTTTATCTTGCCACTTGTTAGCTGTGTGAGTTTGGGAAAACTATTTACCTCTTAGGGTTATGGGGGTGATTAAGTGAGCTTAACAGTGCCTGTTACATAATAAGCACTCAATAAATGGGAGGAATTTTCCTATTACCTGAATTGGGTCTAGGTTCACACTGTGGCTCGTCATTAAGGAGATATGTGGCCTTGGGCAAGTTACTAAAGCTTTCTAAGCTATAGTTTTCCTCATCTATAAATCAGGTCCTAATAATACTTATCTTACAGTGTTTTTGTGAGGTTCAGATGAGATACCAGCTAGAAAAGTACCTGGAATGCAGTGAGTGTTCAATTAGTGATAGCTATTAATTATAATCTGTGCTAAAGATTTCTGGACTTGTATTCCTATGTACTGCTTAGGAGCTGTGGTCCTTAGACACATGGCCCTGTCTGGCTGAGCTTCAAATAAAGAACCCCGCTAAGAAAGCTCACCATGCTGAAGGCAGTTATGGTGAGGGTAAATACACTTGGGTACCAAGAGCACTCTGGAAATATGCAGTGGGTGATTAAATATGCCAGTGTCCTATTTCTTAATTTACATTATGACACCTGTCATCAGAAACACTTTTTAAATTTACATTACACAAAATGAATCTAGTCCTTCTTCACCACGCCAAAGTTAGGATTTGCTATCTATCCCCAAGGATGATATTCCAGGCTTGTTCCCAATATGTCTTATTTTTTTGCTTATCTTTTCTCATGTAATGTAGAAAGTAGCCTCCTCTTCTCAGAGGGTAAATACAAGGGTCAATCCCTGATTTACTCTAGGTTCTTGGTGGAGAACATACATACTGGATAGAGAAGAAACCCCTTCTCACCTTCTTGCCCTCAATAACCATGAAGATGCATCCTACCACCGTCAGGGCAATCATTAGATAGCTGATCTTCACTCGCATCTTGTTCTTTGCAGCATCAAGCATCTCCAACCTAGTAATACAATGAGATCATGAGAGAAAGTTATTAACTTTTCCCTTTCTGAAGTTGCTCAGGATAAAAGGCTGTGTATAAATTCAAAATGTAGTAGTGTCTATAAATATAAATAGGGAGACCTAGAGATCTCTTTAAAAAGGGCCTAGAGATCTCATAGGACTTTGGGGAGGATGAGGCATTTTTCGTAACTCATTTATGTATAAAATACAGGATAGCACACAATTAAGTACAAAAGAAGAAAACAAAAAGAGAAGTCAAGAACAAAGCCAAAAAAAAAAAATGGGCAAGGCATATTAATCTACACTTGCTATGGTGGACCCCAATTTTGGCTCTCAGGTTTCCAAGCAGCCTATAAATGCTAGAAGTGAAACAGTCATTTCTCCCTGAGGTTCTTAAGAAGACATTATGTGATGTAGTCATCGTCTGAAAACATCTCGACAACAGATACTACAATAAGCTTCATATGTTTCAACACAAAGCACAATTCAGAATGATCAAACATTGGAGAAAGTTAACCAATGTGCTCCATATACCCAGCTTTTTGCTCTCTGTCTTGAACCCAGAATAGATTTGAGAATATCTAAAATAGTAGGAAGATCCTTTAAGCAATGCTCCTCAATATTTATCTTTTTAAACAAATGTTTTGCTAAAATTGAGTGACAGTGAACTTGATATTGTGGTCTTTGGCAAGTGCCAAAGTGCAGCTCTTCTAACCTATCTACTGAATACAGACCCATGTGCCTTAAAAAAAAGTTGATGGTTGGTTCATCATTCTTGTGTGAAACCTAAGAGGCTTAATATAGAAGAGTCTAAAGGCCAATCTACCTTGGTGATTTTGCAAGTAGGCAGTGAGTCATGGTTCTATTTTTAATTTACTTTATTTAAAGAGATGGGGTCTCACCATGTTGCTGACTCAAAATCTTAGACTGAAGCGATCCTCCTGCCTCAGCCTCCTGAGCAGCCGGGGCTATAGGCATGCATTGCCACACCTGGTGGTCACGATTCTGTTACCTCGGTGTCTGGCAGAACCTCAAGGCAGGGGATGTGGAGCCCTTATGGGGCCCAGGATTAACTTATGGCCTTCTCAGTAGATGTGTAAATAGGAAGTGATTATCTCTAGATGATGGGATTGAAGTGCTTTCTTTCCCCTGAGATATTTAACATATATTACTTTTAAAATTGGGGAGGGGAGTACTTTAAAAATGCTTGGAAGGAGGCAAAGAGTCTGGGATGTTGCAGGTGGAAGGAGGAAGATGATGAAGCCATGTACAATGTGATGTAGGAGCTGGGACCTGTGAGGCAGCATGTGGACGGGGTTCTCCAGGCACTTAAGCTGGGCCTGCAGGCTGGCAGGAACCCAAGACAACTGCTAAGGACTGTCAAATTGGTCAGTTAGGAGCACCTGAGATTCCACTAACCACAAACTGACTTCCCATGTTGACGGTATTTTATGGGATTTGAAGTGCCATGATCCTCATGAAAAGTAATCCATTCCATAGGGAGTAATAGGAATGGGCAAGTTAAGCAGTGCCTGTTCAGAACTACCAGCACAAGGACAAATGGCTGCCCAGGCCCAGAAAAGACCCTTCCAGAGTGATTCGTGAGGTAGTATTTTGGGCCTGAGGGGATCTTGGAACCAACTATTAGGCAGACTGAGGAAGGTGTTCTATAGCAAAGCCTATACAGCATCTGTTAAGGCCATGGGTGTCTACCAGCTTATTTTCTGCTGGTATAGGAAGAATTAGGGCATAGGCAAGAACCTGATGTCACTGTTATTTCCAGTATTCTCTTATTTCCCAGAAGAATACATGACTTGAGCTAAGAAAAACCAGGGCTTTCCTGCTGAAATAATTCTAGTTAAAGTAATGTGCTATCAATTTGACTGGCAGAAGCAGAAAAGCTCTATTAAAGCTGTTGTAAACAGAAAGTAAATACTACATATTTCCCTGGGAAAGAAATCCTGAATGAGCTCAGATCTTTTTCAATCATGACTTGAAACCAGAGACCAGAAGATCCAGGAATAGTTTCTTGCTGACAGGGAACTTCCACGAGCTTTGTCTGAAGTCCCTGTCCCTGAATAGGATGATGCCTCACAGAGGAGATGACATCTATTTCTCAGAATCTCTTTTTAGCCAAGATGCCAGCCAGTCAGGGTCTTTAACATGAGGCTAGGGCACTGGTTCTCAACCAGGGGAGATTCCCACCCCGCTCGTGCCCCTTGGACATTTGGCAGTGTCTGGAGACATTTCTGGTTGTCAGCACTGCCGCAATGCTACGGGCATGTAGGGGGCAGAAGCCGGGGATGCTGCCAAACATCTTCCAACAAATAGGACACCCCCCTGCCACAAAGCATTATCAAGCCCCAAATATCAATAGTACTGAGTTGAGAAACTGGGTTGGAGGAACCTGCACTCATCATCTACAAACTCTGAAAAAGTTCCATGATCCCAGCCAAGATCCCTTCCCTTAGGTTTAAGGAAGTTGGTGACAGGAAGCACTCTTTCCTGAATTCCAGAATATTGCAATTAAATACTTTTACACCTAAGGTTGAGTACTTAAGTGGATTTGGGGGAATACAGTCATTGTCAATGGTACTTAATTTATATACCTAGATTAAAAACAAACTTTAAAAAAGTCACACTTCTGTAGCCAGGGGATGAAATCAAATAATCAATTGACTTCAGAGTACCTGACAGTTCTTCACCAGTCACTGTGTAACTTAACAATGATAAGACACAGGTTTTCTAGCATTGTTTATATTCCAAGTACTTACCAAAGATAAAACATTTGGAAAAGTGAAAAATGTTTTCAAATTTGGTTGAAAAGTTTTAAACAGTTGGAACTCAGAGGCATTGCTTTTCCCTTAGATCAGTGAGAAATGAAAGCTGCTTGTAATACTAAATTCAGCACTCACGAGACAGTCTCTGGGATTTCATCTTCCTTTTTGAAGCGACCTGACCATATGAGGATCTTTTTCTGCCAATCCGTAGGTTTGTGTAAAGGCACTCTGTTGTAAGTGCCTATGAGAAAAACCAGACAAGAAATTTTATGTGTTTGAGATTATAACTCTCAAATTTAACAACAGAAAAATGGTATTAGTGCTTTTTAACTAGTCACTAAACAGAAACACTGAGAAACCTCAAGTTAATTAGAACTTTATTTGAATGGAATTTCTTAGGATGCTTCATTTTCCAAATAAGATTATAAAATCCCAAGGAAACGGTGAGGAGCTTGTCTGACTTCAGCAGACTAAGAAAAAGTTTGTAAGGTACAATCAGATTTTACCAGATCTTGAATGTCAGGCTAAGGGGTTTAGACTTGATTGGGAACTACTGTACATTTTGAAACAAGGAAGAAACTAATGTTTTAGGAAGGCTTATTATCTGTACAATGGATGGAGACAGAAAAGGGGGACACGGTAGAGTGGGCAAAAAGTCCAAATGGGAGCCTGTAATACCATGGTGAGCGGATATTCTCTGAACCAGAGTTGTCGCAGTGGAAAGAGAGATGAGGTCAGTCTGAGGATGACTGAAAGAATGTGGAGACTGGTTAAGACAAAGAGGAAGGAGTCACGAAGAACCTCAAACTTGGATGACTAAGACAACAGCAGTATTGTAACTAAAAGAAGACGGGAAAAGACCCAGTTGGGGAAGGAAAGAGCATGAATACTACTTAAAGATTTGCTGACTCTGAAGGGAATATATGCCATCTGAGTCATTTCATTAATAAGTCGGGAATAGAGATAAAAATCAGTGCAAAGGGAGAGCCAGTGAGGGTGATAAGGAGAAGGCCCTGCTTATATTTTACCTAACGCATAATATCTTAATTTGGTTCATCTTTAGAGTTCTTTAAAACATAATTTCTGGACTACTATTTACTTTGGTGCATCCATTCTCCTACAGAAAGCTCCAGTCCAACCCTACAGGCAAGAAGATGAAAATGACAAATGCTGAAAATGAAGAAACCACTGTGCATGTGCCCATGACCAATATTAATACAACATGGGAGGTCTGCTGTAGGAACATGGGCCTACGTATGAGTAAAACATGAGAAGTGTGACGTAGGAAGATGGGCCTGCATATGAGTAAAACATGGGAGGTATGATGTAGGAACATGGGCCTACGTATGAGTAAAACATGAGAAGTGTGATGTAGGAAGATGGGCCTGCATATGAGTAAAACATGGGAGGTATGATGTAGGAACATGGGCCTCCCTCAGGCCTCCCATGTTGTGCTCATATTGGTCATGTGCACATGCACAATGTGAACACAATGTGTTCTCTCTACATGGGAGGGTATGATATAGGAACCTCTTCTCTTTTGGGTTCTTTTGATTCCAAGTTTTCCTACTCTTTGGGAGCTACCAACTCCATAAATAGAAAAAATAAAAACTTACGGGATGGAGCTCCGGGACTTTCCTGTGGTTTTGTGCAAAATCCATTTATTCTCTTCAAATCAGAGCTTCTGGTAAGCCTTAGAGATGAGGAAACATCTCTTTCACATAACCTAAAACAGCTTCCTAAAAAAGAGAGGAAAATGTTTCAAAGAAAGAAAGAAAGAAAATGTGATGTTTTCTCAAAATAAGAAATACCCGCAAGTTACGTTTCATTTATAAAAGGTAGTTCATTTAGGAAATGAATTTACTATATGTAAGATACACATAGTATATTTAAAGTGCTATGCTTGATGCTGTTTTAAAATATAAATGTTTTATTGATTAGGAAATTAGGAATTTACAACATAAAAATGTTATCAGCTGTAAATTTTAAATAAGTACTTCCCACATGTGTCTTATCATAACAATGGCTCTGGTGGCAATATTATGTATTATGGCATCAGGGCTGTTTAAGTAAAGATTAGTAACCTCCCAAAAGTGATAAACTAGGTAACCAAGTTGCCAATACGATGCTGATAAACTGGTTAGGGGGCTGCAGTGGTCAGCAAGTGACTCTAGAAAGCCTTGCTCCTTGCAAGCCACAAGTCCTTAATTAGAAATCAATTTTAGATGTAGTTTTGAACTACATATAACTTTAAAACTATATATATAATATATATAGTTTATTTTAAAAATTTAAACTCAAAGCACAGATAGTAGCATTACGAACCCCTATATACTCATCACCCATTTTCAACAATGATCGCTATATGGCTAATAAATACCATTTAACCTCTATAAAAACCCTGGAAGACAACCTAGGCAATACCATTCTGGACATAGGAATGGGCAAAGATTTCATGATGAAGATGCCAAAAGCAACTGCAACAAAAGCAAAAATGGACAAATGGGATCTAATAAATTTAACTTTTACTGTGCAGAAACTAAACAGGTTCTGCACAGCAAAAGAAACTATCAACAAACAGACAACTTATAGAATGAGACAAAATTTTTGCAAACTATGCATCTGACAAAGGTCTATATCCAGCTCTATAAGGAACTTAAACAAATTATCAAGAAAAAAAACACCAGCCCATTAAAAGGTGGGCAAAGGACGTGAGCAGACACTTTTCAAAAGAAGACATACGTGCAGCCAACAGGCATACAGAAGAAAAAGTAACATCACTGATCACTAGAGAAATGCACATCAAAACCACAATGCAATACCATCTCACAACCAGCCAGAATGGCTATTTTTTTTTTTTAGATATATACTATTTTAATCAGACTATACTTCCAACATTTCACAGATGAAATTATAATCACCTGAGCTTTTAAAAAATAAAAATTAGGCACAAATACACTTACTCATAATTGCACTGGCAAACAGTTCTTATAAGATACTTAAATCTTTGCGAAGAGATAGCCCCCTTCTTTTCCCACGTGCTCTCAAGTCAAGCCTGATCTCTCTCCCTGTCACCCATAAAATCTCACTTATGTTCCATTAACCAGGATCACATGAACCAACCTGAAAGAAAAGGAGTTCTCTGTCTATATAATCATGTTGGCAAAATAAATCGACATATGTTTAACAAAAGCACACAAAATAAGAGATACAATCAGGTGAATATTATAAGTCATTCTTTCATCATTAACATAAAATTGTAATTCTACTTTTGTAAATTTTATCAACAGACTCTCAAATGCCACACTTGATATATACATATAATAATAAGAAAAAATAAATGAAAAATGCATTTTCAGATATATTAAAGAAAATCACTGTTTTATGAAAAATAAGCAAAGCAGCATTACAGTTATTACTCAACTTTCAAAAGGTTACACAAGACTCTTGCTGGCAAATATTAGGATAAGACATTTTCATAGAAATATCTTAAGTATATATGGAAAACAAAACATATTTAAGATATTAAGATATAAGATGTATTTATGATTTAAAATAATCTCTACACAATTATTCTGCACATCACGAGAATATTCAAGACTCTATTGACTTTCTCCCCAATGAACATCTCTATATAGTAACGATATTCTCAGTCTTTTTTTTTTTGTTTTGAGATGGAGTTTCGCTCTTGGTGCCCAGGCTGGAGTGCAGTGGCGCGATCTCGGCTCACCGCAACCTCTGTCTCCCAGGTTCAAGTGATTCTCCTGCCTCAGCCT
Organism: Homo sapiens; assembly: GCF_000001405.40. Lineage (NCBI taxonomy): Eukaryota > Metazoa > Chordata > Mammalia > Primates > Hominidae > Homo > Homo sapiens. Next base: position 122,400,722 of record NC_000003.12, on the reverse strand, counting down.
CCCACGTAGCTGGGAATACAGGCGCCTGCCACCATGCCCAGCTAATTTTTTTGTATTTTTAGTATAGACGGGGTTTCTCCATGTTGGTCAGGCTAGTCTCAAACTCCTGACCTTAGGTGATCCGCCTGCCTCGGCCTCCCAAAGTGCTGGGATTACAGGTGTGAGCCACCATGCCCGGCCATTCTCAGTCTTTTTCATTTATCTATTTATTTAAGTTCTAGGATACATGTGCAGAACATGCAGGTTTGTTACATAGGTATACACATGCTATGGTGGTTTGCTGCACCCATCAACTCGTCATCTACATTAGCTATTTCTCCCAGTGCTATCCCTCCCCTAAACCCCCACCCCCTGACAGGCCCTGGTGCATGATGTTCCGCTCCCTGTGTCCATGTGTTCTCATTGTTTAGCTCCCACTTAAGAGTGAGAACATGCAGTGTTTGGTTTTCTGTTCCTGTGTTAGTTTGCTGAGAATGATGGTTTCCAGCTTCATCCATGTCCCTGCAAGGGACATGAACTCATCCTTTTTATGGCTGCATAGTATTCCATGGTTATATGGGCTACATTTTCTTTATCCACTCTATCGCTGATGGGCATTTGGGTTGGTTCCAAGCCTTTGCTATTTAGTTTTGCTCTTGTTGCCCAGGCTGGAGTGCAATGGTGTGGTCTCAGCTCACTGCAACCTCCACCTCCCAGGTACAAGCGATTCTCCTGCTTCAGCCTTCCGAGTAGCTGGGATTACAGGCGTCTGCCACCACACCCGCCTAATTTCTGTATTTTTAGTAGAGACGGGGTTTTACCATGTTGGCCAGGCTGGTCTTGAACTCCTGACCTCAGGTGATCCGACTGCCTCAGCCTCCCAAAGTGCTGGGATTACAGGCATGAGCCACCGTGCCTGGCCAGAATGGCTATTAAAAAGTCAAAAAATAAGGGATGCTGTGGTGAGGTTTCAGAGAAAAAGGAACACTTAGATGCTGTTGATGGGAGTATAAATTAGTTCAACCATTGTGGAAAGAAGTATGGCGATTCCTCAAAGACCTAAAAACAGAACTACCATTAGACCCAGCAATGCCATTACTGGGTATATCTCCAAAGGAATATAAATGTTCTATCATGAAGACACATGAATGTGTATGTTCACTGCAGCACTATTCACAACAGTAAAGACATGAATCAACCTAAATGTCCATCAATGGCAGACTGGATAAAGAAAATGTGGTCTTTTCTTTAGGCTGGGCCCAGTGGTGCATGCCTGTAATCCCAGCTACTTGGGTAGCTGAGGCATGAGAATTGCTCACTTGAACCCCGGAGCCGAAGGTCGCAGTGAGCCTAGATCATGACAGTGCACTCCAACCTGGGCAAGAGTGAGACTGTGTCTCAAAAAATAAATAAATAAAATAAGAAAATGTGGTACATATACACCATGGAATACTACACGGCCATAAAAAAAGAATGAGAGCATGTCCTCTGTAGGAACACTGATGGAGCTGGAGGTCATTCATTATCCTTAGCAAACTAACACAGGAACAGAAAACCAAATACTGCATGTTCTCATTAATAAGTGGGAGCTAAATAATGAGAACACATGGACAAACAGAAGGGAACAACAAACATTGGGGCCTACCTGAGGGTTGTGGGTGGTAGGGAGGAGAGGATCAGAAAAGATAACTAATGGGTGCTAGGCTTAGTGCCTGGGTGACAAAATAAACTGTACAGCAAACCTCTGTGACATAAGTTTACCTATATAACAAACCTGCACATGTAGCCCTGAACTTAAAAAATTTTAAAAATATCGTTTAACCTAAACTCCATCTACTATCTACCCCTTACTAGATTGTTTTAAAGCAAATCCCAAATATTATATTAGTTCATCCACAAATACTTCAGTATGTATTTCAAAATCATATCTGAAATACTAATATAATTTTTAAATGTTCCTTATTATCAGTATATTATGATCAAATCCTATTAAGATGAAATTTCTGATAGGCTCATTTTTTTTTGCAGTTGGCTTATTCAAAATAGGTGCACAAACTGAATATGGCTGATGCTTCCTGAGTTTCTTTAAATCTATAGGTCTCCCCTCTTACTTTTTAAAATAATTTATTTGTTAAAGAAACCAGTCTTTAGTCCTATAGTGTCCCTCAATTTTAGATTTTGCTTATCACACCCCCATGGTGTTGCCCAACATATTCTCCAAACTCCTCTATTCCTTGTAAACAGATTTTTGAGGCTTGAAAGATTTAGATTAGATCTTTTAGCAAGAATGTCATAGGTGGTATTGTGTCTGTCTTATTATGCCACATCAATAGGCATATGCCAATTTTGTCTCTTTTCATATTAAGATTGTTCAGTACATGCTATCAGTCTGATTCACCTTTTAGAAAGTTCCCCATCAACCTTTCATCTATCTTTTTTTTTTAGCAGACAATGGTGATTATTACCTAGATCCATTCATTTCATTAGGGATTGCAAAATGGTGGTATTCTCCCCCTTCACATTAACTATTTGGTTATCTTAAGGCATAAACCGTGCAGAAAATGTGGAATAAATGCTGGATTCTTTCCCTTTATTTGCCAGTTTTAAAATGAACAAATTGGTTTTCTTGCACTTCCTTACGTTGCATTTTTACACATGTGATGTGCTCTAGACTGTTTCAGTTGTTCCTTTTAATCCCATTGGGAACCCTTCTAAGTTGGCTCCCGAGTCCTTTCAACACATCATCAGTGGTCATTGATAGCTTTCTTTCTGACAAGATATTCCAGACTGATTTTAAATGTTTTCTGCCCGAGTTGGAATCACACATTCCTCCCAATGGGCTCTGGTTCTTTTAAAGAAATGTTTTTAGAGACTCCTTAGTGGGGGCTCATTTTTTTTCAGTTTGTCACTGTTTTTGCCTTTTCAGTGAACAAAGCTAGGAAATACCTTCATAAAATAAATACATTTAAGACATTAGTTTTGATTAGCAATTGTTACCTTCAGCTTTAGCATGAATAATTTTAATTAATTAAAATCAGAAGCAGAGACAACCAGAAATAGTTTTGATCAGGTGGGAGAAAAGGAGAGTAATTCTGATCTTGGGATTGTGGTGCAGATGAGGCCAGGTCTGGTACAGGCTCCTGAGAATCAGAAGACACCTAAGAGCCCCTGAGTCCCTAGGATGTGGAGCAGTGGAACAGAAATGAAAGCTGGAAAGGCACCAGAGATAAATCTGACTAGGGCTTTGCCACTATATGATGCTCTAGATGACAGAAATGGAATGTCCAAGACTTGTATTGAATGCAGTAAGAGTGTGCCCTCAGACCTTTGTGGTTAAAAATGAATTTGCTAATAGATAAAAAGACTGTGCCTTGGAAGTTCCAAACTCCCACTTGGGTGTCTTGCAGCCTCAGAGTTTGGAGCAGTAAGGGGAGGTGAGAGAGGGAGTAGGAGTAAAATATGGTTACAGAGGCGGTTTTCCCAATGATGGTGAAAAGCATCATTTCCTTACTTTTCCCCCCTTGCTGTTAAAAAAAAAAATCTTTTGAACATAACAATTTAAAAGACACTACTGTGGATTTCTCATGAAAATATGTTCATGGTTGTTAAGATTTTTAAAATAATACTTTTATTGATACATAATTCCCTACCATAAAACTCACTTTTAAAGTGTGAAATTTGGTGGTTTTCATATATTCACTAAGTTGTGTATTGATCACTAATTCCAGAAGACATTCATCACCCCAGAAAGAAATCCTGAATACATTAGCAGTCATTCCCTGTTTCCTCCTTCCCCCAACCCTAAAAGTCACAGTCTCTATGGATTTACATATTCTGGACATTTTATATAAATGGAATCATACAACATGTGGCCTTTTATGACTGTCTTCTTTTACTTATATTTTCAAGGTTCATCCATGTTGTAGCATTTGTCAGCACTTGATTCCTTTTTATTGACAAATTTTATTCCACTATACCAGAGTTTGTTTACACATTAGTCAACTAATGGACATTTGGGTGGTTTCCACTTTTTGGCTATTATGAATAATACTGTTATAAACATTTGTGTACAAGTTTTTGAGGAACATGTATTTTCATTTGTGGGGTATATACTAAGGGGTGAAACAACTGGGTGATATAATTCTCCATTTAATCATTTAAGGAATTACAAGACCATTTTCCAAGTGGCTGTAACATTTCACATTTCCATATATGAGGGATCCAATTTCTTCACATCCATACCCACATTTGTTATTCTTTTTGATTATAACTGTCCCAGTAGGTAGGAAGTGGTATCTCATTGTAGTCTTAAGTTACATTTATCTAATGAGTAATAATGAGGATCTTTTCATGTACTAATTGGCCATTTGCATATCTTCTCTGGAGAAACATCTATTTAGGTCCTCTGCCTATTTTTTTTTAAGTAGGGTTATGTCTTTTCATTTTTGAGTTGTAAGAGTTCTTTCCTTATCTGATATGTACTTTGCAAATATAGTCTCCCACTCCATGGGTATCTTTTCACTATCTTGATGATGTCCTTTGAAGTACAAAAAAATTTAATTTGGGTGAGGTCCAGTTTATCCATCTTTTCTTTTATTGCTTGAGCTTTTGGTGCCATATACGATATCACAAAGATTTACTCCTATATTCTAAGAATTTTATAGTTTTAGCTCTAACATTTAGGTCTGTGATCCATTTTGAGTTATACTAGTATACTTTCTGTGAAAAGGATCCAAATTCATTCTTTGGCATGTAAATATCCAGTTCTCCCAGCACCACTTGTTTAAAAGACTGTTCTTTTCCGCACTGAGTTGTTTTAGCGCCATATAGAAAATCAATTGACTGTAAATATGAGAGTATATTTCTGGACTATCAATTCTATTCCACCGATCTAAATGTCTGTCCTTATGCCAGCACCACACTGTCTTAATTATTACAGCTTTGTAGTTAAGTTTTTAATCAGGAAGTATGAGTCATCCAACTTGGCTTTTCTTTTTAAAGATTAGTTTGCCTACTCAGGGTCCCTTAAATTTCTAAATTTCTGTATGAATTTGAGGATCAGCTTGTCAATCTCTACAAAGACCCCAGCTGGGATTTTGTTGGGGATTGTGTTGAATCCATAGATCAATTTGAGGAATTCTTCCATCTTAAAAATATTAAGTCTCTCAAACCATGAACATGGGATGTCTTTCCATTTATTTGGGTCTTCTTTAATTTCTTTCAGTAGTGTTTTTGCAATTTCCAGAGTACGTTTTAAACTTCGTTATTCTTTTTGATGCTATTATAAATGGAATTTTCTTCATGTTTGCATTATTTATTGCCCATTTATCTTGCATACTGCAAAACTGTTCAACATTTAGTCTAACAGGGTATGTGTGTGTGTATTCCTTAGGATTTTCTATATACATGATCATGTTATCTGGGAATATAGTTTTACTTCTTTTGCCACTTATTGTTTTTCCTGCCTAAATTCCCTAACGAGAACCTCCAGTAAGTACAGTGTTGAACAGAAATGTCTGTTGAAAATGGACATCCTTGTCATGTCATGGGGGAAACGCATTCAGCCTTTCACCATTAAGTCCGATGTTAGTTGTGGGTTTTTCATTTAATGCCCTTTATCAGGTTGAGGAAGTTCCTTTCTATTCATAGTTTCTGAGTGTTTTTATAATGAAGAGGAGTTGCATTTTGTCAAATGCTTTTTCTGTGTTTACTGATGTGGTTATGTGTTTTTTTCCTTTATTCTATTAACATGGTGAATGATGTTGAGTCAGGAGTCCTAACCTTACATTTTTAGCATACATCCCACTTGATCAGTCTATAATTTTTCATGTCACTGGATTCATTTTGTAGCAGTTCTTGAGGATTTCTGCATCAATATTCCTAAGGGATATATATGGGTCTATAGTTTTCTTGAGATTTTTTTGGGAGGGGTTTGGTATGAGGATAATGTGGCCTCATCAAATGTATTGGGAAGTGATCCCTCCTCTTTTGTATTTTGGAAGAATTTGTGAAAGATTAATTCTATTTTTTTCTTTAAATGTTTGGTAGAATGCACAATTGAAGCCATCTGGGCCTGGACTTTTTCTTTGCAGGAAGTTTTAAAATCACTAGTTCAATCTCCTGTTACAGGACTTTTCAGATATTTTATTTTTTCTTGACTTAGTTTTGATAATTTTTCTTTTTCTAAAAGTGTGTCCATTTCATCTGGTTTATGTAATTTTTGCCATAGAGTTGTTCATAGTCTCTCCTTGTATCCTTTGTGTGTTTGGCCACAGAGGTCTGTCTGGTTATCTTAGTGGTCAGCTAGTAACTGGAGAGACTAATAAATGCCTTTAAGTTTATTAAGTGTTTGCCTACGGGCTGTGTGTGCATGTTGGGGCATGTCTTCTACCCTCAGGCAGGCAGTCTGCAACACTGCCTTAGCCTTCTGATATAGTTTGGATCTGTACCCCCACCCAAATCTCATGTTGAAATGTAACCCCCAGTGTTGGAGGTGTGGCCTGGTGGGAAGTGAGTGGATCATGGGGGTGGATTTCTCATGAATAGTTTAGCACCATCCTTCTTGGTGCTGTCCTCGTGATAGTGAGTTCTTATGAGATCTGGTCGTTTAAAAGTGTGTGGCACCTCCCTGATCTCTCTTGCTCTTGCTCTGGACATGTGACATGCCAGCTCCCCCTTCGCCTTCCACCATGATTGTAAGTTTCCTAAGGCCTCCCTAGAAACTTGACAAATGCCAGTATCATGTTTCCTGTACAGCCTGAAGAACGATGAACCAATTAAACTGCTTTTCTTTATAAATTACCTAGTCGTAGGTATTTCTTTTTAGCAATGCGAGACTGGCCTAACACACCTTCCATTCGTGCTCGGACAGAGACTAAATGTGAGGTGAGAGCTTAGAGACCTCTCAGGTTTTTCCTGGAAAATGTGTCCAACCTTACACATATTACATTCTAGAAATATGTCAGAGCTTTCCAGATGTCAGGATGGACATCTCATTCCCCAGCTTCTTGTTTGACCCAGCTGTTACCCACTCCATGTTATGTCAAACAAGTGCTGCTGATTATTTTCAACAAATGCACCAGGGAAAACACTGTTTGCAGTGAATAAACTCCAAGTCAGGTGAAAAAAGATAAGCCCTGTGAGTGGGGTTTCCAGCGAACTGTCAGACAAGTCAAATAGTAACAATTCTCTGCAGCTGGAAGTTTTGGAAAACTCTTAAACCCATTCTGCCTTCTTCAGTGCCTGCAAGGCTGCTGGTTTTCAAAGTAACTGTGATTTGTGAGGCTGTTGGTTTTCAAGACTATTGTGAAGCTGAAAGAAGACAGGAATAAAGCAAGTTAAAACTCCACAAAACTTGCTGTCCTACCACGATTTCAGGCTTTTTTTTTTGGATAAATGCTCCTCAGATTGTCACAAATGCCTGGTAATTTTCCAGAGTTCTGGAAAAGTTGCTTCTGCCAACTTCTGGCAGTGTTATCATTGCTTTTGGGTAAAAATGGATTTTCAGAGGTCCTTACTCTTGACACACCAGAAGTTGGAATCTCTATTTGTGGTTACCTGGCACACAGTCTTTTTCATAAAAGGCCTCATTTATTTTGTTTTCTAGGGCTATAAATGCCAGAAAGCTTTGCCTGGATCTGGCAAACACAACATCAGTGCCACCTAGTGGAAAGGAGATAAATTAACTGCTTTTAGCTTGTTTCCTCATTTAAAATGTGGATAATGCAGTGTTTCTTGTACCAAAGTTGATTTGAGGGTTAAATGGAAAAGCAAATATGGGAGCATCTGGTAAGATGCTTGAAACACAGCAGGCTCTCTAACTGTTAAGTTTATTTTTTTTTTGAAATATTATGTAAAACATTAACTTTGATAAAACTTCTAGAACACTTTTCAATTTTACCCCTAATGTGGTCAGGATTTCTGACAAAGTTAATTATGCAGTTATGAGGCCATGGGAAAAGTCTATGAAACTCTTCAATAGATTTTCATAGCACTCAGGATTAAGACACAATTATTAAATCCTGTGATCTTCAAATTTTAGTGTTTTAGTGTTTGGTGTGAATCAGAGGAATGCCTTGTTAAAACACAAATCATGAGGCTGTCTACCTCCAGTTTCTGCATCCACAGTTCTGGAATGGAGGCTGGGAATTCGCATTTCTAACAAGTTCCTAGGTGATGCTGCTATGCTGGTTCTGGACTATACTTTGAGAACCTAGGCTTTTCTCTCCCCTAAGATGTGGTTAAATATACATAACATAAAATTTACCATTTTAATTATTTTAAGTGTACAATTCAGTGGCATTAAGTACATTTACACTGCTGTGCAACTATTACTACTATCCATCTCCAGGACTTTTTCATCTCCCCAGAGAACCACTGGTTTAATGTGACCTACAAGGCCCCATCTCACACAATGCTATCCCATTCCTCCTTTGGCAGGCACTTACAAAAGGAACAAGGTTAACCGGCAGCAAGCTAGAAGGACTCTGCTCTTTAAACAGAAAAAGAATCAATAATTATTTCCTAAGACAGCTGTCCTTTCCCATTCCTCCTAATTATAGAACAAAGGCAGTTTAGGAGAACAGAAGACAAACTGCCTCTCAGCTAGCTCAGTTTGAGAAATAATAAAGCAAAAAATGCTAACATGTATACCTACTATCAGTGACATCGATGTATGTTGGAGTAATTCATTCAACAAAGTACTTCCTATGTGCCAGGCATTGTTTTAGGCAATATATAAAAAAGATAAAAATCTGTGCCAATAGAACTTGCATTCTACTGGGGAGAAAGTTATACATATGTTAGATACTAAGTGCCAGAGAGAAAAAAATAAACAATGGGGACATGAAGTATGTGTTTGGAATGGGCTGTGTATGAAATTTTACATAGAGTAGTTAGGAAGTCCTCTGTGAGAATGTCACTCTTGAAGGGAAGCAAGGGCTAGCTATGCAGCTATCTGGTGGAAGAATATTCCAAACAGAAAGAATTATAAATGCAAAGACCCTAAAAGATTCTAGAGCCCATAAAGAGAAGGCCAGTATGGCCAGAACAGAATGAATAATGGGAAGACAAGTAGAATTTGATGTGAGAGAGGTACTGAGGTAGTTATGGAGGGTAAGGACTTGGAGACATGAGAGGTTCACCTAGATCAGACTGTATCTCCCAACTTTTTCTTACTACAACTTCATATTGTATGCTAATAACTTTTACCTCCCTACAGTATAAATGCTGATTAAAACATACACACATATTATCTTATTATAGATATTAGAATAATAGACTAATGTAAATATATTTTTTTAAAGATGAGGTCTTGCTTTAAAAATATTTTTAAAAATGTTATCACTACATAGTGAAACCCCACCTCTACAAAAAATACAAAAACTAGCTGGGCGCAGTGGCATGTGCCTGTGGTCCCAGCTACTCAGGAGGCTGAGGCAGAAGGGTGGCTTGAGCCCTGGAGGCAGAGGTTGCAGAGAGCTGAGATCATGCCACTGCACTTCAGCCTGGGCGATAATGCCAGACCTTCTCTCAAAAATAAAATAAAATAAAATTTTAAATTTTAAAAAGTTATCGCTAAAAAATGTCTGAAGTATTTGATGTGGTCTTGGTTTTTATTTTGCAATTATAACAACATGAAAGCATAAACAAACTTTAATATCATTACTAAGACCTTCGTTTTCTCTCAAAGAGACAGAATATATTGACCAGACGTCCAAGCCAGAAATTTTCCATCCTCTGGTGGATCACGATTAAAAACATACAAACCAAAAGAAAAACAGCCCTTTAACCCTCTAGCTGGACTTAACAGCTTGTCCCTGGCTGACCAATTCTGTGTCTCCAGGGCCCTAGCAGGAAGTTAAGATGAAGCCTCACAGCTGTCTCTAAGGCTCTGGGTGGCAAACGGCTAATCTTAAGAGTAAAGGTTCTTAACTTTTTTATCTATCGAAATCACCTGGGGGACCCTGTGAAACAGATTACTGGACCCAACTGATACAGTCAGTATGGACAGAACCTGAGAATGTGCACTTCTAACAATTGCCCAGGTAATGGTGAAACTTCTGCTATGGGGGACCCATAATCTGAAAACCAGTGCCTTAGAAATATCATTGCTAGCTGGAGGCTATAGTGGTCAGCCAGGGTGAGGCTGGTTGAAGTACCAGCTTCTCTCCTGGTAGTCCCCTCCTTTCCATAAATATCCTTTCCAACCCCATGATAGACAGTGAGGAAAGGTAGGGATGCTTTTTCTTTCTCAGAATCTTTCAAGGTCCTCTTGGAGAAAACCATAGGTGATGTGACTGGAGATATGACAACTCTCTGGGAATCAGAGAATCAATATTACAACCCACTCCCCAGAGTGTCTATCTGAAACTCTCTAGGCCTTAGCTGTTGACCTGGGCTTTGTGACAGAAACAGACTCCCTATATCCGTTTTCTCATCCTTCCCTGCAGGCTTGAAGAAATACCAGTCTTCCTTTATTCTTAAGTAGTAATCCCTCTGCTGAGGGATGTCGTACCAAACTTATCCTTATTTTCCACTGCCTTTTTCCTGCCAAATGTTATCTCCCCCATCTTTAAAATCAAAACTAAAAAACTTATTTTTTTTTTTAGAGACAAGGTCTCACTTTGTCACCTAGGGTAAAGGGCAGTGGAGAGATCATAGCTCACTGTAACTTTGAACCGGGCTCAAGCGATCCTCCTGTATCATCTTCTGGAGTAGTTGGGACCACAGGCAGATGCCACCATGTCTAGCTAATTAAAAAAATTTGTTTTGTAGAGATCGGGTCTCACTATGTAAAAACCTTTGTACCACCAAGTTGTTACACACCATGTTATGTAAAAAGCTTTTAGTAAAACAAACTTTAAATGATAAAAGTAACACTTGCTCATTACAGAAAATTTGGAAGTTAAAAAAAGATGTGAAGAAAAATAAAAGCACTCATAATCATAGCACTTAGGGATAACAACTTGGTGCATTAATATTTCTTTTCAGACCTTTCCTATACTTACATAAAACATATACATTTTTCATAATCAGATAATACTGTATCTTGCTATGTCACAAATACTTTCCAAGATATTAATACTTTTAATAGCTGTATAAAACCCGACACACAGCTATAATCTGAATGTAGTAATTCCCTACAACTTGATTTCTTTCCAATTTTTCAGTGTTATAAGTAATGTTTCAATGAACAGTTCTCTACATACATCTTTGATGGTATTTCTGATTATTTCCTTAGAATAAAATCCTGGAAGTGAAGGGTAAAAGGGTATGAACCCCTTTAAGTTTCCATCTATCTATCTCATCTATCTATCTATCTATCTATCTATCTATCTATCTATCTATCTATCTATCTATCCATCTATACTACTTTCCAGAAAGGCTGACTACTTCTCCAGTAACTTCTACTAGTAGTTACTGAGAATTCTGTCTTATTACTCTACAATAACACTGAAGGTCCACTATGTTGGACAAAGCATTCACTTGTTCTCAACAGGTACTATTAATAAAATTCTTATTTCCTCTTTTTCATAGCTCAAATGATTGAATAAATGGCATGTATCTACTACTTCACTTCACCACCCACACTTTATTTTGCTACAATGTTTCCTTCTCCAATCATTTTACTAAAATTACTCTACCAACATTAGTGACCTCTTTCTAGTCATATGAATACATTTTTTTTTTTTTTGAGACGGAGTCTTGCTCTGTTGCCCAGGCTGGAGTGCAGTGCTGTGATCTCAGCTCACTGCAAGCTCTGCCTCCCGGCTTCACGCCATTCTCCTGCCTCAGCCTCCTGAGTAGCTGGGACTACAGGCGCCCACCACCACGCCCGGCTAATTTTTTGTGTTTTTAGTAGAGACAGGGTTTCACCGTGTTAGCAAGGATGGTCTCGATCTCCTGACCTCGTGATCCGCCCACCTCGGCCTCCCAAAATGCTGGGATTACAAGCTTGAGCCACCGTGCCCGGTCATGAATACATTTTTTTAGATTCTCATCATTAGCCCTTCTGACTCTACTCTTCCCATTTTTGTGGCCATTTGATTCGACTGATCTCATCTTTCTACAAGGATTCAATGCCTCCTTACATTGTACCACCAAATTCTCTCACTTCATCTCCAACCTCTATGACCAATCTTCTTTAATGTCTTCTTTCCCAGTTCCTATTATTTACACCATGTCACACCTCCAAGGCTTAGTCCTTGCTTCTATTCTGTGCTACTCTCTGGAAGGACTCCTCCATTCTGTTTTAAAAATCAACTCCAGACTAATTGCTCCCATATCTTTATCTCCATAACTTTACTCTTCCTTTGCCCTCAGGTCTTCAACCTCTCACAACCTATAACTCAGTGCCACCTAAACCTACTCAATAATGCACCATCTTCTCTGCCAAACTAACACAAATCTTTGATGGCGTTTCTGATTATTTTTCCAACTTTCTTATTTCTGACAATGAGGCAATACTTCTGTAGTCCTCAACATTAAAAAACTTGTCTTTAAGTCCTTCCTTACTCAGTATCTCCAAACTCATCCTTTCTTCAAGACACTTCCTAAATATATTCGTTATTTCCATCATCACCTCACACATCAGTTACTGTAATATCTTCATAGGTAGCAGCAATTCAACTGGTATGTAGTTGCTGAGTTAATTTTCCAGAAATGTTTCTTGTGTTACTTCTCCTGCTAAAAGGTTTTTTTGGTCCAAATTCATTTGGTTCAAACGTCTCCAAACACTACACTTTACCTCCTATTGCCTCCTGATCAAAATCCCTAAGGTAATCTTTCCTCTCTCATATCCTTTTTCAGACTCATTACCGCCCCTACATGTGCTCACAACTCATTACCGCCCCTACATGTGCTCACATCACTCTCACACCCCTTCATTTCAATGGAGCCTTCAAGAATCTCAGAATTCTTGAAGCCAATGGTATATTATATATGTTTGTTTGTTCATTGCAATAAATCAGCCCTAGGAGTGGGGCAGTCCATTCATTTTAGAGCCTTCACAGTATACACACAGGGCATCCATTGTGTACTCAATAAATACTTGGCAAGACCTGGAAAGGAGCAATAAGTAAAGCCAAATGTGGGGGTAGTTAAAATGCGTACGTTCTCATTTAGGTTTGGTTAGCAAGAACAAACAAAAAGAATAAGGTAGCAGAATGTGGTAGAAATAAAATCAGAATGGGAGCCAGGGGATACTGGCTATGTCCCAGGTCTGTACCTGTGTGGTCCTTGGCAAGCTGATTCCCTTCTTGGCCCTTAAGTTTCCTCATCTGTAAAAATTAGAGGACTAAATTACCTGACTTCTAAGATACCTCTCTACTCTAATGCTCTGAGATGTGGGTTAAACTAAAAGGAAGGCAGCCCATAGTCCATTACATTGGTAACAATGACGGTAACAAATTCATTTTCAAATCTGACCAGTCAACAGAGTTTAGGGGAGCAAAACTTTCTTTCAATAAGAAACATTCTTGTAAGGTCATTCCATTCCTTTGAACTAATAATCATTCTGTGGAAAGATACAATATCCTAAAAGTTATATCTATTTTATTCTTTCAGGAGAAAACAGGTGTGAAAACTCACCTTACATTTGCAGCATGTTCCAAGATATTTCCTAGCATCCTTCATCCAAAAAATATGTATTGCCTGTCTACTATGAACTGAACACCAATAAGTGGTAAGGACTGAGTAAAAACAAAACAGAGCCAGTGTTTACCCTTATGAAACCCAGCGTAGTGTGGGTAAATGGCCATTTAGTTCCTAATCATCTGTATCAGTGCTTTTTAACTTAAAGAGCATGAACTGCTCTGAGTAGCAGATATAAAATATGGACCCTCTCTCTCAAAAATGGTATACAATCATAAAAATTTGAGAAGTTCACAGGACCTCTCAAATGTGGAGGTGTCCAGTACCACAAGTTAACAACCCTGATCTGTATCTACAACTACATCTACAAAACAACAAATTCGAGCTCATAAAAGCCTACATTATGTTTGCTATATTGTTTGCTAAGGGAGTATACCAAAGATTTCCAACAGAAACAAAAGTAAAGGTCCATCATTTATAAGGTTAAGTTTTGATCATCTGAAATTTCACTTACCTAGAGAATCTTATTCCAAATATTCTGGATAAGTAAGGTATGCCTAGATTATGCTTCTTTTCTTTTTTTTTTTTTTTTTTAGACAGGGTCTCACTCTGTTGTCCAGATTGGAATGTGGTAGCATGATCGTATTATAGCTCAATGCAGCCTCAAACTTCTGGGCTCAAGTGATCCTCTTGCCTCAGCCTCCTGAGTAGCTGAGACTATGGGTTTGAGCCACCATGCCCAGCTAATTTTTAAAAGTTTTTTTTGTAGAGACAGGGTCTTGCTAAGTTAGCCAGGCTGGTCTCAAACTCCTGGTCTCAAGCAATCCTCCAGTATCAGCCTCCCAAAGTGCTGGGATAGCAGGTGTGAGCCACCACATTGAGCCTACATTTCTATTTGATCTTTCATTCCTTTGGCTAAGGCTGCTTATTAAAGCAGTCTTCTTTCTTGAAAAGCCATTTGCACATGAAGGTGTACTTTCATTTCAGAACTAAATCTGCATTTCATGACTCTTCCATTTCAGATTAATGAGATCCAATTAGTCATGACAAATTCACACACGCACAGCCCCTGAATGAACAGCTTGAACAACAGCAAAAAGCACAAAAATTCCAGAATTAAAGGGTACCCTCTCCTGGCTCTAACATTTTTTGGCAAAGAGATCCTGGACAAGTCATCTCTGACCTATGTTTCTTCATTTATAAAGTGTGGGAGGAATAAGACTTACCTGAGAGGGCTGCTATGAGAAATCCATCCAACAAAATAATGTATATGAAAGTATTTAGCTATGAAGTGGGTGAAAGGTAGTAGGTTGTTGCGGAGTTGCTCACAAAGCATCAGACATTCGTGGAAGATCATATGGAGAGAGCTGCTCATATAACATCCTTAGTGTGCTATTAAAAATTTTATATCTGAAGTAAAATAAATTGTTCTTAAATCACTCAAGGAATTCTGCTTTGGTTAAGTGGTCAATAGTGAAGTTTTTACACATCAGAAGTTTGCAGAGATGCAAAAATATATTTATGCAAGATGCATAAATATATTCTCAAAGCAAGAAGATGAACTACTTACAATATACTCAGTATTAGTTCAAAGATGTCAAAGTAGTTCCAAGATGTCAAAGTTCTTTTCATGCAGTCCATTTTAACTTTTTTACAGAGCAATGATCCTTTCACTTGCCTTGTTGAAAAGCTTCATAATGTTAATAGGATGTACAGAAGATATTTTAGGTGAATTAGTTCAACAAAACTGACAAAATCAATGAAATCATAGTATTGAGGATTTTAGTGGAAGAAGTGTTTGCTTTTAAAGGAAGTAAATATAATAATACTCTCTAGTTTGAGACATGTTTTCCAGTCCATTCTCTACCGGAACACTAGATAAGCTGTGTAAAGGATAATCTTGAGGTGGGGAAGGTTATGTATCAAACTTGTGAAACTATGCAACATTCACTCTTTTTTTTTGCATTACTTCATTTACATTACAATATATATTTATATTATTTGAATAGCCAAGTTTGGGGCTATTTTTCCTTTAAAAATTTAATTAACAACTTTTTAATAATGTAGTGTGTGCCATTGAACAAAAGATCTCTGGTACCCAGAAAAGAGTCAAAATGCAAGCCCTCTGATTTCTCAACCCCTACTATGCCAAGGCTCTGCTGGTTCTCCCAAAAAAAAAGAATTAAGCTTTCATTACCTAAGTCCAAAATAGTCATCACACAAATGTCTACCACCAAAACAAACTGCAGATCCTTCAATTACACACTTCCTCCAAGAAATTCGAATCAATTAATTGTATAAGTGTTTAAAAGTAATGTATCCTCCATTTTAAGAAAACAATTATTATTAATCTCTAAGACCTAAATCCTTGGCCTAATCAGACATTTAATGAGTGGGGAAACTTCAGACTGGAGGTTTTCTGGGATAAACTCCAGAGAGGAAGGAGCAGGGGGAAGAGGGAAGACTCAAGGAGAGCAATAGATAGGGGAGGTTAGGGTGGAAAGCTGAATGCATGGGTAAAGGGGAGGTCTAGGGATAGTAGGTGCTTTACAGACTGAGCTCAGGGGAGGCTGAGGACGGGGGTGGGGAGAAGGGTAGGCGCGTGGGCAGTTAAGTTGGTGGGAGCTGGGTGGATGGAGATGAGGGTAATTCACGGGCAGTCTCCAATGCCTATCAGCAGCTGCTCACCTAGTTCCCTCCCACATGGCTACTAAGTAGGTAGGATTCTGAGGAACCGAGAAAGTGCGTCATGGAATGGAGCCACTCCGGGGCCCAGGAAGGCTTCAGGATTCCCCCACCCGCAGCGGCCGGGCCAGCTCCCCTACCTCCCATATCCCGACCGGCGTCTCACCTGCTGCCAGGCGCAGACCGCTGAGGCTCCCCATGGCCACTTGCTACTCCGCCGACCAGCGCAGAACTTCGCCGGGGACGGTGGCGCTGGTGAGCTCAATGTCACCCAGCGTTGGAGTGGGAAGGACGCAGGCGGCGCCGGGGGGCGGGGCGTGCGCGACGCGGTGTACAGGCCTGCGCCAGTGCGGGGCGTGTAGGACGTGCGCCACGCGCTGGAGACCCGCGGCGCCAGCCTAGTGCCCCTGGCGCCGCATCCTGAGCCAGCCTCGGAGATGGTCCTGTGGAGTGTGGCGCCGTGGGCCCTTGCCCTAGCGGATATGTACCCATGGGAGTACCTGTGTGAAATAGAAAGGAAATGTGCAACTTTCGTGATCTGTAAACTCCCGAAATACACCAGATAAACCAGTATTCCAGTATGCCGCTCTTCCAGTGTTTTCAATGAACATATGCTTTTATCAGAAAACACATAATTGGACTCTGCTCAGTGGCCCTATCTCTTGTTGGAGCATCCCTCAGGCTAATCTGAGAAATTAACATGTATGTTTTCAATTTGTTTTCTATTTACCTATTTTCTAAAAACATTTGATCATCTCCATCCTAAACACTTTACTCATACCCACCCACACTGCCAGAAATGCCGTTTTTTCTTGACGTTTCTTAGTGGTCCCAAATTCTTAACAAAGACCCCCCTGCTCCAGGGTCCGGGGAGGAGGTTAGGCACTGGAGTGAGAGGTATTAGAAAGGCCTCACTTGCCTAGATTTCCTTCAACGACCTGGTAGGGGAACCACAAGGAAATTGTTTCCCTTTTGTGAAAAGATGGGATTGGAGTAAACAGTCCCTTCAAGGTCTGACAATCTTTGATCCATGTATCTGGCCCAGTTCCAGGAGGACATGTTAAAAGGGTTGGGACAGCAGGGTGACAGGTTCCGAGGTGGATGCGGACCACGTTGAACTCAAGCCTTGCACTCAGCTTTCCTAAGGATTCCCCTCGTACTATATTTTTTGTCAGGCGACTCCGCGGTCACCTTTGCTCCGCGGTGATTGGCCTGCAGCGGGGTCCTCGTGTTTGTCCAATATGGCGGCGCCCAGTGGCGGTGTGAACTGTGAGGAGTTCGCCGAGTTCCAGGTGATGGGGTTTTCCTCATGTGGCAGGCATGTGCCTCCTTTTGTCCCCAGACCCTATTCCCTGCTTTGCGAGGGAGTATGAACCAGCTTTGGAAAAAGCGGGCAATTCAAAGCTCTTTTCTCGAGCCATTGGAGGTCATGGGGGGCGCGGGTTTGGCCTTAGGGAGCGAGGCTGCTCTGTAGGAGGAGGGAGGAGGGGGGTCATAGTTCTCTCCGCGGCTCTCCGGCCTTGTCTGGGAAGCTCTGGGTAATCTGCTGTGGTAAAGCTCGGGATGCGTGGATAAGGATTGTAACAATCTTGTAGCAGTTCCCTGAACTCAGTTTCCAGCTTCTGCCATTCCTCTCCTACTTTTGTAAGTAGAGTTTTTGTGGGAGAGAAGAAGGTGCAGAAGAGCTATTTAGTTGATAAAACATACTTGGTGCAATTTACTATTTTTGTGGGACAGGACGTATGGAAGCTTGGAGGGAGGATTAATTATAGTACCTGCTCTAGTGTCATTGCCCATTAGAGAAGATGTAATATTTAGAGGTTTTGCCTTTTTATGTTCAAATATCAGAGACCTAGGGCTAATTATTAACACCTGAATGCAAGAATAGGGATCTGGTTTTGACCAAGTTGCCATTAAAGTTATCTGTTCCAATTCAGTCATAAATGTGCTTCTGTTTAGTTACAAAGTTGAATTCCAAAATCATGATCTTAAATATGTATTGCATTATTAACTAACCCAAGATACTGAAAAATTGACCTATCTGTAGTAAGCTTTGTACTTTGAACGGTTTGAAGGTAGTGGTATTCTTGAATACTGCCTCAGCCTCCCTGTAGCTAGGACTACAGGCACGTGTCACCACGCCCGGGTAATTTTTTAAAAGAAATTTTGTAGCGAGAGTGTCTCACCAAATAATCCTCTTGCCTCGTCCTCCCAAAGTGTTGGGATTACAGGCGTGAGTCACCACGCCCGGCCTAAAGTGTTTAAAATTTTTGCAACTCTTATTTTTTCATTATAAAAATTAGATTTAGTACTTCTGTAAAATATCCTATTTCCAAATTGAAATAAAATCCAGAAAAGAGTGTTTAAAATCGAGTGCCTAGAATCCCATTTTAGCATGCATTCAAGAATTTATTAGATACTGTATTAGTCCGCTAGGGCTGCCATAACAAAATACCACAGACTAGGTGGCTTAAACAATAGAGATTTATTTTTTCACAGTTCTGGAGACTAGAAGTCCAAGATTAAGCTGCCATCAGTTTCTAGGCTATACAGTTTGATTTAAGGGGGGAAAAAGAGTGCCATCAGAATTAGTTATAGTAAGGCTTCTCTTCCTGGCTTGTAAATGGCTGCTTTCTCACCATGTCTTCTCTATGTCACTATCTCTTCTCTGTGCCTGCACCTGGAAGGAGAAGGATCTCTGCTATCTCTTCCTCCTCTTCTTTTTTTTTTTTTTTTTATTTTTTTTTTGAGACAGAGTCTCGCTCTATCCCCCAGGCTGGAGTGCAGTGGCACAATCTTGGCTCACTCCAACCTCCACCTCCCGAGTTCAAGCGATTCTCCTCCTGAGTAGCTGGGATTATAGGCGCCTACCACCGTGCCCGGTTAATTTTTGTATTTTTAGTAGAGATGGGGTTTCACCATGTTGACCAGGCTGGTTCCAAACTCCAGACCTCAGGTGATCCGCACCCCTTTCAGCCTTCCGAAATGCTGGGATTACAGGCGTGAGCCATGGCGCCCAGCCTATCTCTTCCTCTTCTTATAGGGACATCAGTTCTATCGGATTAGGGCCCACCCTTATGACCTCTGTTTAACCTTTATTACATACCTCAAGGCCCTATCTCCAGATACAGTCATGTTGGGGATTAGGGATTCATGAATTTTGGGGACACACAATTCAACCCGTAACAGATACCTACTAGTCTCCTGGCACTTGCGAAACCCAGTGGATGGAGTATAAAACAAGGAACGTAATCTAAGTAGGGCTATAAAATGTAGAAAATATTGGGAAGAAAAAAGAATAAAATGCTGAAAGAATTTAGAGAGTTGGGCCTTAGGCAGGCAGGGACTAGGGGTATTCTAGGCAGAGGCAATAGGATAATAGACAAAAAAGTTTTATGTATTTAAAGGAAATAGAAAATCAGTATTGCTAGAACACATTATTCATACAGGGGCACATTGGGATTACACAAGATTGCAACCAGATTTGTGGAAAGCCTTGTGTGTCACGTGTGAGTTAGGGAGTCCTTTTTGGGCAGAGGGGTGAGATGATCGAAGAGGTGCTTTAGGAAGATTCATCACTACTGCCAGTGGCTTTGTTTAGGCCCGTATCATTTTTGAAACTAGCTTTGCAACAGGCCTTCCTATCTTCTGGCACTTTTTTTCTCTACTATATTCCCCCTTCAATCTAATCTCCATAATACTGTGGCATATGCTATTATATTCTGAATTTTATAATCTAAGCTATGCTTTTGAGTTTTGGGTTCATATGACTAGATATAAACTTCTTAACATGGCATATAAGACCTTTTAAAATCCAATCCCAAAGTGCCTCTTGTCATGTCTCTTATTATTGTCCTCATACGTGTCTCTTTCATCATACCCACCCCCCAGCACTTCAACATGCATGTTTAAATATTAGTATTTCTATTAGGAATATTCATTGACACATAAGTGATTTTTGAATCACATTGTAATTAGGTACTAAATAGGTTATTTTCTAGCATCAATGATGGTTTCTTTTATGCTTACAGGGCTGCTTTCTATTCCTGTCCTGGGGATGCTGGGTGTTAGAGGACTCTGGCAGTTGTAGACAAGTTTGTGTTTCTGGTTTGGGGGAAGCACCGTGGGAGCTTTGATGTAAAAATAGAGTTTGAGGAACCAGATCTGTCTGAAAAGAGCATCATGTAAAAGGGACTTTGATGTCAAGTACCAATGACATTACTTCTGGGTACCATCAGGCAAAGGGAGAGGAGAGGAAAGGTTAAGGGAGTTCCATATCATTCTTTGGAGTACAGTGTATTTTAGTTATATAATGGCCCCTTTCCTACTCCTCACCCCTATGTACCCTAAAAAATATGTAGAATTATAAAATAACTTTACCTGAGAATGAATCTTAGGAATAGACTATAGTATAATTGTAGGGGCAACAGAAAGTTTTCTCTACCCCTTCCCACTACTAAATATAGGCACTCCTTCAATACCTAAATTGCCTTCCAAGAGGATGAGATTTTTACCCCACCAATTACAGAGAAGACATAAAATGCATTCCAAGAAAAACGCCTGCATAATTTCAGAGTCAGCCTACAATGAGAGGTTCATGATATATCAGATCTCTTCTTGTTTTGAGGAGGATGAAAGATAGAAGAAGCTGGGAGTACTACAGAATTTATAAAGTTATCTTTGGCTGTGATTTAATGTTTAGAAGCTCATGAGGGTTCTACACAAGATGCAGCCTTCAGAGAACCATTGAACTGTGTGTATTTCTGTGTTATTTCTGTGGACAGGTGTTGCAGTTTATTGTGTATAATGTCTGTTCTGTTCAGGGGTGTCTTCTATGTATTTTCTTGGTGAATTTCTGGACAGGAGTGTATGCCATTGGGGCTAAGCCTCCGGTAGGTAGTCAGTAATTCCTTATGGATGATCCACATAATTCAATGGCAGCATTTTTGTGCCTTCATTCACCTTCGTTTGCTCACAATGTGTGAGGGCAGCCCGAACTTTTGCCTAGAACCTCTTGGAGTTGCCTTAACAGCTTTGGCACTTTTTTCCCTGTGAAGAAATGTGAGCCTGGTGAGACGGTTTACAGTTCTTTTCCTTCTCCCTTTTCAATTTTGAAAGAAATCACTTCCTGTCTCATTACACCACAAAAACACTGAGGGGCTACTATGTTGGACAGAACATTCACTGTTCTCAACAGGTTCCTATAAATAAAATTCGAATCTCCTTCTTTTCATAGCTGAAATGATTGACTAAATGGCATGCCTCTACTACTTCATCACCCACACTTTATTTCGCTACAATGTTTCCTTCCCCAATCATTTTACCTCCCTTTTTTTCTTTCTCTTTAGCTTTTCTGGTATCTCTTCTGTGACATTTAAGAATGGCATACAGTTTTCAGCAATTCCTGAACAAGTACATTATCAGTTTAGGGGTTGTCATTATATTTTCTAGAATATAGCACTGTCCAGTAGGACTTTCTGTGATGGTGGGAATGTTTTGCATTTATGCTATCTCCATATGATAGCCACTAGCAACAGGTGGCTCTTGAATACTTGAAATGTGACTAGTGCAATTAAGGAACTAAATTTTAAATTGCATTTAATTTTAATTTAAATAATCTCACATGGCTAATGTCTGCCATGTTAAAGGCAAGCTCTAGATCATATATTGATAATTCTCTAGTACACACAGAAAAATTGATACAGAGTCATGCTCCACATAATGATGTTTCAGTCAGTGACTGACTACATATACAACGGTGGTCCCATGAGATTATAACACCATATTTTTACTGCACCTTTTCCATATGTAGATATATTTAGATACACAAGTATCACTGTGTTACAGTTGCCCACAGCATTCAGTACAGTAACCTGCTGTATAGGTTTGTAGCCTAAAAGCAATCATCTATACTATATAGCCTAAGTGTGTAAGTAGGCCATACCATCTAGGTTTGTGTAAGTACACTCTATGATGTTCACACAACAGAATCACCCAATGACACATTTCTCAGAATGTTTCCTTGTCATTAAGCACTACATGACTATTTGATAATCCATAGGTTCCACTGGTAATACAATAAAATTGATGGACTCATTACATAGTTAATGTGGATAGATTCCCATTGCTATGTAAGGAATTTAGTAGTATGTCCAAATTGTTTTATTGGAGATGAATCGGGCTAAAGTGTTCAAACTCAAAACTGGTTAAAGTTCAGAGTCAACACAAACCCCAGGAAATGTCAAACGATGTAATCTTTCACGTGGATTGCTGCAGTCGTCTAACTGATCTTTTGACACCTACTCTAGTTCCTCTGCAGTCCACTTTAATCTAAGCAGTCATTTTAGAACACAGATCTGATCATGTAACCTTAATCACAACAGAAAACACATGTTTGGTTCCCTGTGGGTCTCAGAAAAGACTAAAATCCTATCATATGACCTCTAATAATGGACCTCATGTTACACCATGTTTTATCTTTCTCTGTGTACTTAAGCCACATTACCTTTTCAGTCCATTAAACACTCTATTTATATGGCTCTCTTTAAGGTCACCCTTGATTTCCATCCTGCTAAGTTTAAAAGTTTAATTTCTGTTCATATAATCATTTATTCATTTAAAATTTTTTTGAGACATAGTCACCAAGGCTGGAGGGCAGTGGCACATCATAGGTAACCGTAACCTTGAACTCCTGGGCTCAAGTGATCCTTCTGCCCCAGCATCCCAAGTAGCTAGGACTGTAGGCACATGCCACCATGCTTGGCTAAATTTTTTACTTTTGTTGAGACAGAGTCTTACTGTGTTGCCCAGGCTGGTCTTGAACTCCTAGCCGTAAGCAGTCCTCCCGCCTGAATCTGCCAAAGAGCTGGGATTACAGATGTGAGCTACCACACCTGGCCCCATATAATTCTTGAGTTAGTAACATTCAACACAAATGACCAATCCCTCCGTTAAACCTTTCTTCTGACTTCCGTGACATCACAGAATTTTTCCTTTACTTTTAGATGTAAGAATTCCTTAATCATTGGCCTCCTTCGCTTTCTACAGTCTCCTCCAGTGATCTCTTCTAGTTTCATGGTTTTAAAGAACATCAGTTTATTAATATAACTCCACCCCGATCAGTGTCAGACTGGCATACTCTACTTTCTATTCCACTCTTCTACTCAGATATCTAATAGGCATCTCAAACGTTAACAAGTCCAAAACAGAGCTTTGTTTTTTGTTTTTTGTTTTTTCTAATTTAAAAAATTTTAGATTTGGGGGTACATATACAGGTTTCTTTTCGGAGATGGAGTCTCGCTTTGTCACCCAGGCTGGAGTACAGTGGCGTGATCTCAGCCCACTGCAACCTCTGCGTGCTGGGTTCAAGCAATTCTCCTGCCTTAGCCTCCTAAGTAGCTGAGACTACAGGTGTGCGCCACCATGCGCGGCTAATTTTTTGTATTTTTGGTAAAGACGGGGTTTTGCCATGGCCAAACTGGTCTCAAACTCCTGACCTCGTGATCCACCCACCTCAGCCTCCCAAAGTGCTGGGATTACAGGTGTGAGCCACTGCACCTGCTTGATAGCCTTCTAATTTACCCATCACACAAATTATGAACATAGTACCCAACAGGTAATTTTTCACCCCCCACCTTCCTCCTTACCCTTGCCCTTTGGAGTCCCCAATGTCTATTCTTTCCATCTTTATGTCTATATGTACCCATTGTTTAGCTACCATTTATAAGCAAGCACATTTGGTATTTGATTTTCTGTTTTGAGTTATTTCACTTAATGGCCTCCAGCTCCATCCATGTTGCTGCAAAGGACATGATTTCATAATTTTTCTTCTTTTTTTGGAGACTTGGAGACAGAGTTTCGTTCTTGTTTCCCAGGCTGGAGTGCAATGGTGCAATCTTGGTTCACTGCAACCTCCACCTCCTGGGTTCAAGCTATTCTCCTGCCTCAGAGTCCCAAATAGTTAGGATTACAGGCACCTACCACCACACCCAGCTATTTTTTTGTATTTTTAGTAGAGATGGGGTTTCACCGTGTTGTCCAAGCTGGTCTTGAACTCCTGACCTCAGGTGATCCACCCACCTCAGCCTCCCAAAGTGCTGGATTACAGACGTGAGCCACCATGCCTGGATGATTTCATTCTTTTCTGTGGCTGCATGGTATTCTATATATATGTGTGTGTATACGTACACCATATTTTCTTTATCCAGTCAACTGTTGATGGACACTTAGCTTGCTGCTGTGAATAGTGCTGTGATCAACATATAAGTACAGGTGTCTTTTTTTTTTTTTTTTTTTTTTTGAGACGGAGTCTCTCTCTGCTGCCCAGGCAGGCTGGAATGCAGTGGCACGATCTCGGCTCACTGCAACCTCTGCCTCCCTTGTTCAAGTGATTTTCCTGCCTCAGCCTCCCCAAGTAGCTGGGATTACAGGTGCGCGCCACCATGCCAGTCTAATTTTTGTATTTTTAGTAGAGATGGGGTTTCACCATGTTGGTCAGGCTGATCTCGAACTCCTGACCTCATGATCCACCCACCTTGGCCTCCCAAAGTCAGGCGTGAGCCACTGCGCCCATCCTCTAGGTGTGTTTTTTATATAATGATTTATTTTCCTTTGGGTAAGTACCCAGTAGTGGGACTGCTGGGTCAAATGGTAGTTCTGTTGTTGGTTCTCTGAGAAGTCTCCACATATTCCATAGAGGTTGTACTAATTTACATTTCTGTCAACAGTGTATAAGCGTTCCCTTTTCTCTGCATGCTTACCAATATCTGTTGCCACAACAAAACTTTAAAAAAAAGTTTTATTATACAAGATTTTAAACATAACACAAAAGAAGGCTGTACCACAAACACTCATGTACCCATCCCCCAACTCCAACAACTAACTAATTCATGGCTACTCTTGTTTCATCTGTTCGCTACTACCACATATCCCACCCTAATCCGATCATTTTGAGGTCATCCCAAATACCATATCATTTTTTTCTGTAAAATTTCTGTCTATATCTCCAAAAGATTACAACTTTCTAACACCATACTATTGCCACATACAGACAATGAACAGTAATCACCAGATAGCCTGAGTCAGAATACAACTCTTGATGTTCCTACTCTTTCCAAGTCTCTTCCTTCCCCAGTCTCCCCCACCATAAGTTAATGGCACTTCCATACAATTAGATGCTTAGGCCCCAAGCCTGGAAGTCATGCTATTTTATTTTCTCGTCCCTGACCACCAATTCAGCAATTTCTGTTAGCTCTATCTTCAAAATATATCCTAAGTCCAACTACCTCTCCTTAATTCTACTGCTACCAGTTTTTTTGTTTGTTTGTTTGTTTTAGACAGAGTCTCGCTGTGTTGCCCAGGCTGGAGTGCAGTGGTGCAATCATGGCTCACCAGTGCCTCAACCTCCTCAGCTCAAGCAATCCTCCTACCTTGCCTCAGCCTCTCAAATTGCTGGGATTACAGGCATGAGCCACCACCCCCAGCCCAGATGTTCCTATCGTTGGTTCAATCATGTCATTTAGATTTTAGCGCAAATGTTACATCCTCAGAAAAGCCTTTTTTGATGTCTATCTGAAGTAGCCCCCAAGCACCACTCAGTCACTCTTCATCTCATCACCTTAGTTTGTTTTCTTTTTCATAGTACTTTTTAGTATCTGAGATTATCTTGTTTATAGGACACTTGTTTAATTTCTATCTCCCCCTTCAGGAATTTTGCTCTGTAAGAGCAAGGACCTCTTTTATTCGCTACTGTAGCCTTGATGTTTTGAATGGTGCCTGACACATGCTAGACATAGGACAGTTGGCCCTCCCATATCTATGGGTTTTACATCCATGGATTCAATCAACCGTGGATCGAAGATAGTTGAAAAAAAAGTTGCATCCATACTGAACATGTACAGACATTTTTCTTGTTATCATACCCTACACAATACAGTGTAACTAACACCTATTTACATAGCATTTATATTGTATTAGATATAAGTAATCTAGAGATTATTTAAAGTATATGGAAGGATGTGCATAGGTTATATACAAATATTGTGCCATTTTATATCAGGGACTTGAGCATCCTTGGATTTTGTTAACCATAGGAGGACCTGGAACCAAACCCCCATGGATACTAAGGGATGACAGTAATTATATGAAGAATGAGTTAATAAATAATGAGCTCTGTGATACTGTCTCTTACTGCTGCATTATTTAAAGACAAATATTGCTGAGGGCTTTCATAACCAAGGAAACCTCTATCCAAAAGGCACAACTTAACCCTTGGCCTCAGAAGATCAGTTCAGTTTAGATAGCGAAAAGGAAGGTTTTGAAAGAGAATTTAAAGAGGCTTTTTTTTTAAAAAAAAAAAAAAAAATAGGCCAGTCATAGGAGGTAAAGTGGCAAGGTAGGTCCCTGTCTTCTACTTACCTATTTTTTTTTTTGGACTTCCCAAATAGTACTGCCATCATTTGTTTGGAATTTACCACTTAAGCACAATACATATATCCTTCACTATGTGTGGTGGTTGCCCAATGAATGCATTGAGATTATTCCTTAAGAATTCCAGTTTACAGAGAATACTATTAAAAAAATAGAAAGATACAGGACGAGAAGATAATGAACTTGGTTTTAGACCTGATATTTGCTAGTGTTTTATTAGTCTGAATTATGAGCCTTCTGCAAGCCGTTTCACTTCTAGATTGAGGTATAGAAAAGGCCATTAAATTCACTAATTAAAAATTAGTGGAATGATAGAACAGAATCTAGACTACAGACTTAGATTGAATGGGCTAAATGGTTTATAATTGGAAACAACCTAAATGTTTGTTAATGAGAAAGTGGCCAAATGAGTTGTGCTTGAACAGGATAGAATACTTAAACGCAACTATTTAAAATATCTTCAGGGCTGGGTGCGGTGGCTTTTGCCTGTAATCCCAGCACTTTGGGAGGCTGAGGCCGGTGGATCGCTTGAGTCCAGGAGTTCAAGACCAGCCTGGGCCATGTGGTGAAACCCTCTCTCTACAAAAATATACAAAAAAATTAGCAAGGTGTATTGCACATGCCTGTGGTTGCAGCTATTTGAGGGGCTGAGGTGGGAGGATCACCTGAGCCCAGGAGGCAGAGGTTACAGTGAGCCAAGATCGCGCCACTGCACTCCAGCCTGAGCAACAGAGTGAGACCCTGTCTCAAAAAAAAAAAAACTTTCAAGACATTTCTAGCAACATTATATTATGCTCATAATATAATGTCTTGAAGCCAGATTTTAAAATGTTACATAGTACCTCAGTTGTATAAAAACATTAATAGGTATGTGTAGAAAAAAGACCAAAGGGACATATTAAAATGTTGATAATGGTTAACTATGGATGATTTTTATTTAAAGTTTTTTTCTAACTTTTCTAAAATGAAAGTAATAATAATAATAATTTTTATTTTAACAAATGGACGAGGAAAGAAAGGAGTTGGTTTCAGTCATGGATTTAAGTTTGGCAAAGGTAAGAAGTAGCATAGTATATTGAGGGAAAAAGAATCAAACGTTGCTTTTAATACATATTAATATTGAATATTAACTTGGATGTTTTCAATAATAAGTATATTCCTAGTATTATATAATTCTGTTTTATTTTCATTCGTTCTTTCTTTTTTTAAGAGACAGGGTCTTACTATTGCCCAGGCAGGAGTACAGTGGTGTGATCATAGCTCACTGCAGCCTTGTACTCCTGGGTTCAGTGATCTTCCTGCCCCAGCCTCCCAGGTAGCTAGGATTGTAGGCATGAGTCACCATGTCCGGCTAATTAAAAAAAATTTTTTTTTTGTAGAGACAGGGTCTCACTATGTCTGTCATTAAGGCTGGTCTCAAATTTCTGGGTTCAAGTGATACTCCTGCCTCAGCCTCCTAAAGTGTTGGGATTACAGGTGTGAGCCACCGTGCCCAGCCATTTTCTTGATGCTTTTTAAGTGGCTGTGTTTTGTTGTTGTTGTTGTTGTTCTTGTTCTTGTTTGAATATTTTGTAAATTTGAGAAACTAAAAAGAAAGAGAAAGATATACTGCCAGAAACTTCTCCCAGAGTTTAACTGAAGACGAGATGTAGCTGATGTCCAGCCTTTCTCTAGTGACAAGTGAAAAGAAGTACACTGATCATATGTGGGTAGGAGGGGTTGTGCTGTGTAGGTACTTACTACCAGTCTTTTTAAGTTCCCTGCCCTTTTGATATTATTTTTCTGTTGGTTTTTTTTTTTTTTTTTTTTTTTTGAGAGTTGGAGGCTTTCTGAGGTAAGATGGATCCTTGGAACATATGAGCTATGGTTACTAAGAAAAAATAAAAACTAGTAGTACACTTTATTGGCTGTATGCTGGAGGTGGAAGGAGCATACACTGTTTGCTAAACACCGTGCCAGCAAATGGGATTTCAACATGAGTAAAACAGTCTTAACCCTTAAGACAATCACATTTGAGCCAAGGAGGCAGAGTTGGTGCCCACTGTTAGGATTACCATTACTTAACCTACCTATTGTCCTTGAACATTTTCTTATGGTTGCATGTATTTGGCTTGGTTTCCTCACTCCTGACTTAAAGGATTGTAAAATATCCAAGAGCTTTATTTTTTACTTAAATGCTTATTTTTTGTCACTAACTTTCCATTTGGGTTATATTCTTTTATTTTAAATACATATAGGAATTACTCAAGGTGATGAGGACAATTGATGACAGAATAGTACATGAATTAAACACTACGGTTCCAACAGCTTCCTTTGCAGGGAAAATTGATGCCAGCCAAACCTGTAAACAACTTTATGAGTCTGTAAGTGTATTTTTTGAGTCTTTTGCTTCTTTCATGCCTTTCTTTGCAGGCTGAATAAGAAATCAGTTATCTTGTAACTCGACTGTGACTAAAGGAATGACATCTTTTCTTTGCCTATACCTGATGGTGTATATAAGTTTTGATCTGGTTACTACACATTAAAGAAAATGTGTGACCTTACGCTTGTGAAATCTTACCAAACCTGGGAAGAAATGGTTCTAAAGAATGGGAGCAGTTGTTTTGTAGCCTTTAACTTAAGGAGACCTTATGTACAAAGGAATGAAAGGAGGAGAGTGAAACAGTGAAGTAAAACAGTAACAAGAGCAAGGAATGTGAGCACGTCAGTCCTAAAAAGCCAGGCAGCTGGTACAAGGAAGAATTAAAACCCTTCACACCTTTAAACCTTCTTTTTCTCACTCCTCAGGAAGGGGAATAGAAGCATTTGGCAACTGGGAGAGAAGGAAAGCCAGTGGATCAGTTGTCCTTTCCTGAGGCTTTGGTTTCTCAAGTATACATTTTTCATTGCCCCCCTTTATTTCTCTTTTTTAGTCTCCAAAAGCAGAAGGAAATAATGATGCAGCAAAATCTTTTTTATAGTTTATTTACCTATATTCTTTTAGTAATTTGGAAGCTAAAGTTCAAATGACACTTGCTATTTTAAGCTCTACCACAAGGTTACTGTTTGGATTCATAGTCGTAAAGAAGGCATCCTTAAAACCTAAACTGCCTTTCTCAGATCAGTTTTGGACAAGCTTATCCATGTCAGTTAAATTCAGAGCATTAACTACTGATATTTTTGTTCTGTGTTAAAGTATGTTATTTTAAATGAGCAGGTAAGTCTTCTTTGAGAAAATCATAAGATTGTGGACTTTAATGAGTAGAATTCAGTATTGGGAGTCGACAGGATGGGACCTAGTCCTAATTGGCTATGAGGTTGTTTGACAGTTCACTTTCTTTGGGTACCTCTGTCTGAAGAACTAGAATTTATGGTCACTTTGGTGATACTCCCTCTCTCACCTCACTACTCATATAATCTCCATAATCTATAAAATTGTTTCCATTTACAATCTTCCTATTAACCTAGACGTTTATAGTGTAGTGATTAACAATATGGACTCTAGATCTAGATTAATCTCACATCTGCTACCTCCTAGCTGGGTAACCTTGATTATGTCACATAACCTCTGCCTCAGTTTTTTTTTTTTTTTTTTTTTTTTTGAGACAGTGTCTCACTTTGTCACCCAGGCTGGAGTACAGTGGCAGAATCTCAGCTCAGTGCAGCCTCCACCTCCTGGGTTCAAATGATTCTTGCACCTCAGCCTCCCAAGTAGCTGGGACTACAGGCACACGCTACCATGCCTGGCTGATTTTTTTTGTATTTTTTGGTAGAGATAGGGTTTTCACCCTGTTGGCCAGTCTGGTCTTGAACTGCTGACCTCAAGTGATCCACCCGCCTTGGCCTCCCAGAGTGCTGGGATTACAGGCGTGAGCCAACATGCCCGGCTGTCTGCCTCAGTTTTAATATTTGTAAAATAGTATAATAATGGTACCTAGTTCATAGAGTTGTTGGCGCATTGAATTATAAAGTGCTTACAGTACTAAGTGTTTTGTATACAAATATTGCTGGCCAGGTGCAGTGGCTCACACCTGTAATCCCAACACTTTGGGAGGCTGAGGTGAGAGGATCACTTGAGTCCAGGAGTTCAAGACAAGCCTGGGTGACATGGCGAAACCACATCTCCACAAAAAATACAAAAATTAGCTGGACGTAGTGGTGTGCGCCTATAGTCCCAGCTACCTGGGAGGCTAAGGCAGGAGGATTGCTTGAGCCCAGAAGGCAGAGGTTGCAGTGAGCCAAGATCACACCACCACAGTCCAGCCTGAGTGACAGAGCAAGACCCTGTCTCAAAAAAATGTTTGCTGCTACTGCTATCATTTTTTTTTTAACAGGCCCTGTGAGAATCACAAGTTGTTGTTTTTTATCTCCTTGTTGAATCAGGATAAGCTTGCATACTAAATTTAGAACTCTTCTGTTTTGGAAATCCTGTGTGTGTGTTTGAGTTTTTCTCTGTATCTATATCCTGGAAGGATTCAGCAACATGTATATCAAGTAAAGCTTAATTTTTCAAGTAGCTTTGTGCCAGGGATCGAGCCTGCAGCAGAGTGCCCATACCAATAAGCACCACTGAGTTCCCTTAAGTATTATGTCAGTCAAGAAGCAGAACTCTATGAAATATCCAAGTTGCTCATGTTCACCCTGACTTTAATCCCTGACCCAGCTTCCTTCTGTAGCTGAAGAAGGGATATTTGCCTTTTCAAATAACGCTTCTTCCTAGGAGTTGATCAGTAAGGTTATTATGAAGCACTCATTTTAGAAATTTCAAATCTCAAAAGTATACTCAAGGTAAAACTTGTAAATTTCAATGAGATCTTATTAGAGCATATTCCCTTCAATCTATGACATTTTTCTAGCTTTACATTGTTTATTCCCATGGTAAACATAAAAATCAATACTGAACAATAGAGTCTATGAACTTGAAACAATGTTTAACAAATGCAGATTTTGGGGTATTATCAAAATGTGGCTATGATTATGGAAGTATGTTTGAAACATGACCATGATACTTTAGAATCAAGATGGGAAATAAATGAGAAATGTTTTTATTAATTTGTTGCATTAAGATGGAGGTTATCAAGAGTTGTTCTGTCAGACATCCTTAATTTCAATAAGCACACACAATTGATGCAACCACTAATCTGTGCTTCATATATAAGTTTTCCTTATCAATACTTATATTTTATAATCTTGAAAAGGGCTCTGTCTTGCGAAGGTAAAGGTAGCATTCTTTGTTATTTATTGTAATGAAATCTTCTATACATGACTTAGTTTATAATTTCTTTCACTTGTTGACAATGTGAGACAGGAAAAAATATGAAAGGACAAAGAGAGGAAGAATAGCCGTTTAAGTGGCCAGGTGTGTGCGGGTGGTTGTAGAATAGAGGAACACATGAATGGAATCATGGGGAAAGTCAGTGGTGTAGGGCAGAGGAAACTGAAGTGAGAAAAGCCCAGCTTGGGGAATGCAGAAGGAAAGCTGAAGTCAATACCAGGAGCATATTGAGGAAGAGGACAGCCCCAGACCTCATACCTTCCACCCTCAGAGATGCTGCCAGTTATGTTTTTAGATGAGGTAGCTGATTCAACACAATCTTCTCTTTCATGGTTTCAGTCGTCAGAAATTGTTTTAGAAAGTATTGAATTTCTATAGTCTCAAGGATTTTTTTGAAAAACACTAAAATGTGATAAATTTATGCAGTTTTTTTTTCTCCTTTCATTCCTTTGTTCTTTTAGTTGATGGCAGCTCATGCCAGTAGAGACAGAGTCATAAAAAACTGTATAGCCCAGACTTCAGCAGTAGTAAAAAACCTCCGAGAAGAGAGAGAAAAGAATTTGGACGATTTAACGTTATTAAAACAACTTAGAAAAGAGCAGACAAAGGTAAGTTGAACAGAATTAACATTTCTCAGGCAAAGTTTTTCCAATTGTAGCCTTCAAAGTAAGATTTTTAATATGAAAATTTTGGCATATAATATGGCAGTTACTTAAAAAAATGATCAAGAGATTAGTGCTTCATTTTTAGTGAGCTTTATTTTATTATGTTTAGTTATTAATTGGTAAATTAATGTGCACTTCTTGAACAAATGCAGCATAGCAGCTTTGTCTAAAATAAGCACAGTCATAATTTATTTTCATTTCTTTGTTTCTTTCCCACTATTAAAGACAAGGGATCACTACAGGTGAAGTACCACATCAGAAATTCTGGGGAAATCACATCTGTACAGTATCTGCCTTTTGAGACATAACCTGAGAAAAACATCTCTAATATATTTTGGAAATAGCTCCAGTTTCATTGTGTAGAAATCTGCTGAAATGTAATATAGACTATTTAACTTCAGGATATTACCCTCGTTAGCCATAAAAATATAGTATGATTTAAATATAACCAGATTTACTTGTACCTCATTATAATTTATTTCCCTACTGTGTAAAAGTTGCTAGGGATCTTTGGCTTTTTCTTGGACATGACTTTTTCCCATTTCCTCCCCTATCCCTGCAGTGTTTTTACTTTTAAGAAAATAGCAAGTACCTACCTAGGGATGTGTCAGAGGAAGCCTTATTTTCCCAAATCAACTATAATGTAGATAGGGTGTAGACTTCAGAATACAGTTAATGCAGCAGAACTGTTTCTTTACAGCACTTGTATGTGACGTGTCAAGGAAACAATAGAAAAATACAGCATATTTTATTATGTGGGATTTATTGCTGTCTTTCTTTTGAGGGGACTCTTAGGGGGTAACTTTTTATCTTGTATAATTTCAAACTTACCAAAAAGTTGTAAGAATAGTGTAAGGAACTCCCATGTGCCCTTTACCTATATTCACTTATTGTTTATATGTTGCCCCACCTGCTTTACAGTTCATTCTCTTCACCCTCCCTCTCTCCTTCTCTTCACCCTCCCTCTCTCCTTCTCTTCATCCTTCCCTGCCTTCCTCCCTCTCCCTGTCTCCCCACACACCTGTATGCATAAATACAGTTTTTTCATGAACCATTTTGAGACTATGTTATACACATTGTACCACTTTACCCTTAAACTCATTAGTTATTTCTAAGAACAGGGACTTTTCCTACAGGACCAGTGTACAATTATCAAAATCATGGTTTTTTTTTTGTTTTTTGAGATGGGGTCTCACTCTGTCACCTAGGCTGGAGTGCAGTGTTGCAATCTCAGCTTACTGCAACCTCTGGTTCTGGGGCTCAAGCAATCCTGCCTCAGCCTCCCCAGTAGCTGGGACTACGGGCGCGAACCACCACACCCAGCTTATTTTTTGTATTTTGGGTAGAGATGGAGTCTCACCATGTTACACGGGTTTATCTCAAACTCCTGAGCTCAAAGTGATCCACCTTCCTCAGCCTCCCAAAGTGCTAGGATTATAGGTGTGAGCCATCACACCTGACTTCATGTTTGTATTTTAAGATGGCATAATAGGTGACTTACGGATCCTTGTGGGATTGAGTCATGCTTTTCATACTGCACAGTCATGAAGTTTGCCCTTTGTTTAGTAGATGTAGCTGAACTTTGAAAAGGGGACCTCGTCATCTATTGAAAACTATTAGTAGAAAAGAAAAGAAACCTCTTTCCTTGTAGCTGGCTGCACACAAGGTGAGTAGGCCAGGCTGCTGCACTTTTTCGATCATTCCGCCAATTCTGGATGTCTCACTGGATCCAGGACTCAGCCACTGTCTTTGCTGCTCTCTTTGTTCATGACTACTGCGTCAGGTCTGTATTCCATACCTGCTCATGCCACAGGCACTGGTGGATCCCTTGGACAGTGACCTTATGCAGTGATGTTGATCTTACTCCCCTTGCTGTTCATGAAGGCATATAGATTATTTATTTATTTATTTATTTATTTATTTATTTATTTATTTATTTTTGAGATGGAGTCTCGCACTATCGCCTGGGCTGGAGTGCAGTGGTGCAATCTTGGCTCACTGAAACTTCCGCCTCCCAGGTTCAAGAGATTCTCCTGCCTCAGCCTCCCTAGTAGCTGGGGTTACAGGTGCCTGCCACCACGTCCAGCTAATTTTTTTTTGTATTTTTAGTAGAGACAGGGTTTCACCATGTTGGCCAGACTGGTCTCGAACTCCTGACCTTGTGATCTGCCCGTCTCAGCTTCCCAAAGTGCTGGGATTACAGGCATGAGCCACCGTGTCCAGCCGGCATATAGATAATTTATATAAAACTGGTGAAAGTCTAGTAATTTTGGAGTTTGTATTTCAACGCCCTTGAAGGTGTTGACAAAGGAAACTGCAGGGCAAAGGCTGTTAAATTGGAAACTGAAAAGTCACTGTTTGCAGATCAAGTCAAACAACAGAGTGACTCATTAGTGGAGAGCAAAGTTCAAAACTCTACTGAGTGTTTGGGAATGATTGTGACACACAATTTGCTCAGCCTTGAGATCTGCCCTTGTGTCTTTAGGGCCCAGATAGAATCACCAGGATGACCACTGCAAGGAGGGTTTAGAAACCAATCAGTGAGTTGCATGAGGTTTGCTTTCTAGCTTGATAACATATAGGGTTGGGGGTAACCATGGGGTAGTACATAAGCAAATAAGGAAATGTGAATTTTTTTTTTCAATTTTCAAGTTTGCTATGAAGATTATGGAATCAGAGAGAGCTCTTGGAGATGGTACAGCTCTACCTCTTCATTTTCTATCTGAGGAAAAAGACTCAGAGATACTTGAGATACTAACTGACACCCCCAAAGCCACAAGCTAGTAAGTGGTAGAACTGGGACTTTAACCCATCTCTTCTGACCCTGCATTCAGTCAGTTTCTTTAAGTTGTGACTAATAGTCAGATACTTTAGTGAGTATATTTCATTTATAGACAGATGCCAGTCAAAAAATCCCCACTAGTTTACCTGAATATTTAACTCAAAAAAAGCACCTTCGTTGCTGGACCTCTATAACTGCTGTCACATGTTAGTGGCCTTAAGTTTACCTGTTGAAGACCTACAGTCTCAAAGACAACTGTCTCAAAGGTGACAGTTTGTTGGTAGCACTGATAAAATTGTATTAGAAATTGGCTGTAATATCTGCAATGTTGTAGAATTTTAAAAAATAATCCAAAGGCAGACAGCTCTGAGGAAATAAATCCCACCTACCTTGGTGGCTTTGTAACCTTGTGTATTAATTGTTCTGAAAAGTCTGATTTTGAATCTGTAAAATGGAGTTGATACCTAATAACTTCTTATTTCTGGGGGGCATGTGCGGGGAGGATTCAAGGATGTAAGTAAGAGCTAGCATATTGGCTGCTACAAAGTAGCAGTTTCTTTCCTTTATGAGTCTCTGGGACTCCATATTTGTTGCATTAATCTTCTTTGTCATATCACCAACCAGTGGTTTCTAGCTTTTGTTTCACTACTGCTTAAGGGCAGGGTGTTGTGACAGGGGAGGATTCCCTGTCTCAGTGTCAGGGTATTCTCTTTTGGACAGTTCTAATGTTCGAAGATTTTCATATTGTGAAATTCTGCTCCCATGATATATAAGTACTGCTTCTTAATCTTCTCTCTGGAGTTACCCAGGATAATTCTGAACCCTTTTCTACATAGTATCCCTTTAAATATTTGAGAGCAGTTTTGAAGACTATCTTAGTGACTTTCACACTGTTCTTCAACTGAAATTATTTCTTTGGCAGTCAGTCCAGGCTTTGTCAGAGAAGTGGAGCTTTAATGATTTTGGTCTGTATGGCTGATTAAAATGGGAACTTAGGTTGCATTGGTGGGCTTCTTCAGGCTTGTTACTACTGCACAGCACAGGACTAATTGTCAGAATGAGTCCTTCTCCTTGTTCCACAGTTCTAGCCATATGTACAGGCCTACGCTTTGACGCCAGTTCTGAATCTAAGAAGGGAGTTTGCAAGGAGCCATTGGATCTGTCCGAAGTTCCATTCTTATCGTTGTTGCCACAAATTTCTCAAACCTCCTGCCTGAACTGCGCTCCTGGTTGGCCAGGGTCTTTGGCCTAGGTGTCAGATTCATGCTTGCCCAGATCTTGTTGAGCTTTCTGACATTTTGTTCCCAAATCTGGCCTGGGTTCTTCACTTTGGCCTGAGGAAATCGTCCTGGTGTTAACCTCTTAGTTGGCATCAACCTATAGTTCATGCTTTTTTCTCCTCATTTTCCTGAATATTTTCAAGCCTTCTGCCTGGAACTAGCCAGCTTTTTCCCCTTCAAGTCCTCTAACAAAATGCTACTGGGAGTATGGTGAGTCCTGCTCTCAGGGCCTGGCAATGGAATTGGCTACTTTTCTGTTGGAGTAATTAGGTTGGCAGTTATAAAGAAAGCTAGAAAGACTTGGCATTTTTAGCCTGAGACCTCTGACTGTATGGTTAAGGTGTGAGGAAACGCATGCCTTTCTAGATCACTTCCATGTATATTCTCTTTCCTCCCTGAGGGTTTTTTTTCTTAATTCTCTATTCAGGTCAGGTTTGCACTTCCTTGTCCTTTTTTTCCTCTGTGCTATCTTTGCAAGTCTGTAGTTGTATGATCAATCTCTAGAACTGGAATCCCTGGGTTCAAGGACATGAGAATGTACATTTCCTATGATTCTTGCCAAATTGCCCTCCATAGATTTTGTAACAATTTATACTCTTACTAAGAATATATGAGTATATCTTTTCACGTACCTTCACTAATGTTAGGTTTTATCAAACTTATTCATTCTGCCATGTTATGGCTTAATTTGCATTTCTTTATACTGGAGTAAGATTGGCATTTTGTTATGTTTACTGGCCTTTTGTATG
Source organism: Homo sapiens (assembly GCF_000001405.40). Lineage (NCBI taxonomy): Eukaryota > Metazoa > Chordata > Mammalia > Primates > Hominidae > Homo > Homo sapiens. Next base: position 122,363,307 of record NC_000003.12, on the reverse strand, counting down.
TCTTCTGTGAACTGACTGGCCTTGGGATATTTTTTTTTTAAAGCTCTCAAGGTGATTAGGATATGCAGCAAAGTTTGAGATTAGCAATTGATTAGATATGGGGAAAGCTGATTGTGTCAAAGAAGCTTCCAAACTCTGCCATTAACAGACAAAAATACTAGAGCAGTAGCAGGTTTTGTTGGGTAAACATGAGTGTGGTTTTAGCTCTTTAAATTTTATAACTTCAGTTTTTTTTCTTGCTCTTTAAATTTTATAACTTCAATTTTTTTTTTTCTTGCAGTTGAAATGGATGCAGTCAGAACTGAATGTTGAAGAAGTGGTAAATGACAGGAGCTGGAAGGTATAAAATAATGTTGGTGTTTGGAAAGAAGTAGGAGGGAAACTGAACTAGCAAAGGGAAACCAAGGGAGGGGGAGTAAAGAGTGCCTTGAGGCTGTAAGGAAAGTAGAGATCACTCGTTTACATTTACAATTGAGGATTGTAACCTTTTGGGGTTGGGGGGAGGGTAGGGAGAGCAGGATGCAGTTAGCATCTAATTAGAGCCATTTTATAACGATTAGCTTTACAGGGCCAGGCGAGGTGGCTCACACCTGTAATCCCAACACTTTGGGAGGCCAAGGTGGGTGGGTCACCTGAAGTCAGGTGTCTACTAAAAATACAAAAATTAGCGTGGTGGCATGAGCCTGTAATCCCAGCTACTCGGGAGGCTGAGGCAGGAGAATCGCTCGAACCCAGGAGGCAGAGGTTGGAGTGAGCTGAGATCAAGCCATTGCACTCCAGCCTGGGCAACAGAATGAGACTCCATCTCCAAAAAAAAAAACCAAAACAAAACAAAACAAAATTAGCTTTATAAGCATATGATAGAACTGAATGAGCTGCCATCATAACAGCATTAGAGACATTCTCTATGTCTCCTAACACTAATTACAGGCATGGTTGCTATTTAGAGTTACTACTCAGAACCTTCAAGGAGGCTATTTGTTCAAATTAGCCTTTTTGAGCTCAGTTACTTTCCGTAAGTTTTCCTATCATTAGGTAACCTATACGGTTGCTTGTCTTCTAACTTACCTGATCATAAAACTTGTTATTATATGTAGTTTTACTGGTATCTGATAAGGCTTTTTATTGCTCATAGATTTACAAGCTCCTTATTATCATTGCATAGTTCTTGTTAGGAACTAGATTAGGGGACCAGATCCCAGAAACATATAGTCAAAATTCATGAAACTCTGACTTTAGTTTTCTGAAAAAGTATATCCATTTACCCCTCTCTAAAACTCTAAAAGATTTACGAAGGGCAAAAATCTATTAAATCTGAGAAAATGTACTGAAAATTCTGTTTTATCATTTGAATTTAACTACTGGAATGTTGTTAAACTATATGCTTATAAGAGAGGTTAGCTGAACCAAAACCAGAATGTACCGGCTTGCTGAGACATGAACACATTGCAAAATACAAATTGGCTTTCTTTGCTTTATCACATTTCTCTATCTTATCCTCTTTGCCAAGGTTTCCTATTCCTGCCCTTTCCACCAACATGATAAGGTGTCTGTCACTTGAGAGGATTTGGCAATATTTCCCATTTATATTCTCTGGAAAAATAATATTTACTCTTGGGATTGGATGGGGAAGGGGTACAATGAAACATCTGGCTTGAAAAAACAAGTGCAGAAGTTTATGATATATGTAAAATGTAGTGGGAAGAGTGAACTATTTTGAATTTAATATTAGTTTTAAAGAAAATATGTTCTATCCACTCCACAGAAGATGAGGCCCCTACTTGTTTTAAAAAGAAGAAAATGTAGCCATGGTGCTCTGGTGCAGTGGGCCAGCAGAAGTGGATAGGAAATCATTTGGGAAAAGGATTTGGAGAAGCTCAGCCAAGTTGTATATATCACCCCAACCAGTGTGTCAAGGCCACTAAACTGAAGCCTCCCTCTTGTCTGATTGGGAATTTCAGGGAAATGTCAGGGCTGGAAATGGGTGAGATGAATTGTAAGACAAAAGGGCTAGACAGAGTCTATATAATTTCTACATATTTTCTATTAATTGTGAGATGCATATGCGAAAGATTATGTGACATGTAGAATTTAATGAATATTAATAAAATGAATATTCATGTATCTACCACTCAGCTTAAGAAATTGAATAATAGGTCAGGCGCAGCACTTTACTGGCTCACGCCTGTAATCCCAGCACTTTGGGAGGCCGAGGTGAGTGGGTCTCTTGAGGTCAGGAGTTCGATACCAGCCTGACCAACAGGGTGAAACCCCGTCTCTACTAAAAATACAAAAAATTAGCTGGGCATGGTGGCGGGTGCCTGTAGTCCCAGCTACTCGGGAGGCTGAGGCGGGAGAATTGCTTGAACCCAGGAGGTGGAGGTTTCAGTGAGCCGAGATCACGCCATTGCACTCCAGCCTGGGCGACAAGAGCGAAACTCCGTCTCAAAAAAATAAATAAATAAAAAGAAATAGAGTAACAGTACCTCACAACCTCTGTGTTTAGATTTTTCTTTTATTTTTATAATAGTCAATGGCAGCCAACATAGGTAGTTTGTTTTTTTTTAACCTAAAAAGTGATTTGTTCTTTACATTAATGATGTATGGGGGTAAATTCTGAGAAAAAATTCTTTTCAATTTCAGAATTGTTATAATTGGACACTTAAAATTTTTGACATGATTTAAATTTTTTTAATATTAAAAATGTTTTAAAAATTTTAAAAATAGTAATATACAGTAAAAATTCTGCCTTCTGTCCCTCTCCTTCAGCTACCTCCTACTTTCCCTTCCCTCTGAAAGATGGTATATGCTTTCAGATACTCAAACCTTTTCTAATTTTATGTGTGTGTGTATTTTTCTACCTTTGTTACACAAGTGAAACTGTACTATTCACACTTTTTTTTCCCTTGATAATCTTGGAGATCTTTTTAAATCAGAACATAAATTATTTTTAACCTTGCATGTATTCCATTGAATAACCATACCAAATTTTTATTTAACACAGTTCCATGTGGACATTTAGTTATTGAGCATTCTTTATTTAACTTATTTTAGATATTTTTGTGTTGTTGTTTAAAAAATGTCCAGAATATGAAATTGAAATGTTTGCTAGTAACTAAATTACCTGGCTCTTGATGATTTTTTCCCGAAGTAACTTAAATTTTATTAAAATACTAGAATTGTCTTGTAAATGGATGTCAAGGCCTTCTGTGCATTTGGCACCTCATAAGTCAGTTTGAACTGCTGAGGAAACTCTTCTGTTTCCTAAATCTGTTGACTTAGGACAAAAATGGTAATAGCCTTTTGGAGCCTACTAAATTGAATTTAGTTCCAGGCCTGATTTACGCAGGATAACTCAATGACTTTTGTTTCTGTTTCAATATTTTAGGTGTTTAATGAACGCTGCCGAATTCACTTCAAGCCTCCAAAGAATGAATAAAGAGAGATTCTTTTTTTTTTTTTTTTTTTTTTTTTTTTAAGGACTGGGTCATCTCATAAGAGCTAAGCATGACAGATATCAACAGGGCGGGCTTTCTAGGATGATTTCTGAGCCAACAGTCCAAGACCTTTTGTTGATTTCAGCCCCACTTAGCCAAGACCTCAAGTATAAATAATTCTGATAATTATGGAGAAATCAACTGCTATTTTATACTGATTCTGTAAAAAAAAAAAAAAAAAATTTTTGTAACTATTAAAATAATTTTCTGACTCAGTGTACATATTTATTTGATTGTTTTCTATGTTGAGACAGTTCTCTTTTTATTTATTTATTGAATTTTTAGTTTCTATTTTTTTAATATCCTGTCAGGTTGCAAGACAGTTCTCATAAGATAATTTGCATGCACTTTCAATATCTGATTTGTAGTGTATTTTTTAATTTTTATAAATTTATTGGCATGGATGTGGACCTTTTTGGTTATTGATAAGTTTATTCCTTGATTTATCTTTGTGGGTTGATTATAAAAGGGCAGTATTATAAGCTGGACAATGCCCAAAGAAGTTTTCTTTTAGTACCTTAACTGATCTTATTTTCAGATATAAAAACTAATTTTTGGTGGAATTCTTTCCTGGACAGTATTTCCATGGTCATGGAAAAGGAAAGCAGAAATTCAGGAAAGGGAAGAGCAGGGAAGAGCTTGCATGACAGCAAATGAGTTAGTAACAAACCTGCTGTAATTACAGGATTTGGTCCTTGCAAAAAAAACCACTTTCTAGTGTATGGAGTGGTTATGTTACTAGTTTTCTGTTGCTGCTTAACAAATTACCACAAACAGTATCTTACAGTTCTGTAGGCCAGATGGGCAGATTTGACTGGAATTTTTTTTGTTTAGGGTCTCAAAGCTGAAATCAAGCTGAGTCCCAGGCTGGGCTTTGGTCTGGAGTCTAGGGGAAGAGTCTGCTGCTAAGCTCATTGAGTTGCCAGATTGTTGCATCGTGGTCCTGAGGTCCCCATTTCCTTGCTGACTGTCAGGTACCACTCTCAGCTCCAGGAAGCTACCCACATTTCTTGACACATGGCTCCTTCCATCTTTAAGCTGGGCGTGGTGCATTCAGTTCTTCTCATACTTGGAATCTATCTGACTTCCCTTTCTGCTACAAACCAGACAAAATGATTTTAAAGGGCTTGTGTGATTAGGCCTACCACATCTTTTTGCTTGACTCAAAGTCAACTGATGAGAATCATAATTACATCTGTAAATCTCTTGCCAGATTATGTAATAACCACAGACACCAAGTTTCATGGTCTGAGGGATATCTTGGGGAGCCAATTTAGGACTCTGCCCACCACAGTGATTTAAACAAGCCACCTGGCTCTGGCCCAGTTAGATTAGCCAGCTGGGTCTCTGGTGGGCCTGTGTACATTGACCACCATCAGATTATGCATTTGGAAATGAGTGATAAAGATATAAAGTGCCCACCATTCTTTCAACAAAACGTAGAGCACTTACTGTAGGTCAGACACTTTTTGTGGAGATTATAATCTAGTCTCAACAAAAATTTCCTAGAGGTCTGCAGTAAAAAATGCCTTTATATATAAAGTTGAGTAAGTAATTTTTGGGTAGATAAGTGAGTTGAAAGGATGGATGCAAGAATAGAAAGACAAAGATCTCCCTGATTCTGCTGCTCAGGAGGGAATTCAGATCCTTGGAAAGGATTCATTAACAGTCTTTCCAGATTTTCAGGTCTGCCAAAATACCATCTAGCTAATCCAATTATGTTAGTAGAGTGCCTGAATCATTCCAGTGTAACATATGAAAAATGTGCAATGACGGCAGCATGGAGTGACAGTATAAATGAATAGGTTTAGTGTGATGAATGGCATTTAGAGCCTCAACTAATGAAGGAAGATGGATGACATTGCTTTTGAAAGTTGATTTGCCTGCTGGAAAAGGGTCCTGTGTGTAATTACTGCCTTAGAACAATTTGTTGATTTGCTTTTGTTGCCTGAAAGGTAGGATTCAGCAACTCACACACACAGAAAAGAAGTAGAAGGTGCGAAAATTCACAGATGAGTTTGGCCCTTCCTTGGCAGAACAGAAGACAGCCATACGAAGAAACACCTATGATGATACATTTGCAAATTCTTTTAACAAATATTTAAATGCCTTCCTGGGCACTATTAACCACTATTGTTGCATCACTCAGCAAAACAAAAATACCTGGTTTTAAAGAGCTTATATTTGGTGAAGGAAGACAGTAGTAAGTTATATGGTATGCTAAAATGTGATAAAGTTCTATGAAAAAAAATAGAGAAGGAAATCAGGAATGGGATGGAGAGTGGGTTGCAAATGACTGTTTTCAGCTGACTGGAAAATATAATGCCCTTGTCTTTGAAAAGTTGCTTTAACTTGAGATTGAAATGTACCAAGTAAGTGCAGTAATAAAAAGGGTGTTTTCTAATATGTCATTCTTTTATAAGTTGTTCTCCGAACTACATGTGGTGGTTCATGTCTGCAATCCCAGTACTTTGGGAGGCTGAGTCGGAAGGATCAAGAGCCCAGGAGTTCGAGACCAGCCCAGGCAACACAGTGAGACCCAGTCTCTTAAAAAAAATTTTTAAATGGTGCTTGTCTGTAGTTCCAGCTACTCATGAGGCTGAGACGGGAAGATCTCTTGAACCCAGGAGGTTGAGGCTCCAGTGAACTATGATTGTGCCACTGCCTTCCAGCCTTGGTGGCAGAGCAAGATCCTGTTTTAATAATAAGTTGTACACTGAAGATACCAGTTTGGGAAATGTAGTGATAATGTACCCAGTGCTGCTATAGTAGTCCCTGCTAATGTGCCAGTGTCCAGGAGTGATAAACTTGTCATCTTGTAAAATGGGAGATTAATCAAATGTGTGAGCCCTTTTTAAATCAAGAAAAATGAACATTCTATCTAGAGTTAGGTGATCTAATCAAACATATTAGAGATTACTTAGGTTACTCATGATTTCTGTGTGTATTTAGGCTTGTAGAGTACCCTTGATGAACTTGATTGACCCTTAAAAAAGAATCTTTATTATTGAGCATAAACATTGAAGAATAAAGAAGATAGAAAGTGACCACTCCTGATTGGGGTAGCATTTCCAGGACAAGCCTGATTTTATCCCACAGAATTACGTTGGGAAGGAAATTCCCAACCTCTAAAGAGGTTTAGACAAACATGGCTTCCAGCTTCTGAATGCAATGGCCAGCTGGGGGCACCCCTGTCCAAGGGAAGAGGACTTGGCTGAGGTGCATTTGTGTATCTCCTGGTGCATTAAGAAGGGATAGGTAATCTACTGGCACTTAAAGATAATTGCTGTGATTGAATGATTTTCCCACTCCAGTTTTAAAAACCAGCAAGCAAAATTTCTCCTGCTTAAAAGCCCCCAGTGGCTGGCCGGGCGCAGTGGCTTACGCCTGTAATCCCAGCACTTTGGGAGGCCAAGGTGGGTGGATCACTTGAGGTCAGGAGTTCAAGACCAGCCTGGCCAACATGGTGAAACCCAGTCTCTACTAAAAATACAAAAATTAGCTGGGCGTGGTGGCGGGCGCCTGTAATCCAAGCTACTCAGAGGGCTGAGGCAGGAGAATTGCTTAAACCCAGGAGGTGGAGGTTGCAGTGAGCTGAGATTGCGCCACTGCACTCCAGCCTGGGCGACAGATTTTTGACAGATTTGAGACTCTGTCTCAAAAAAAAAAAAAAAAAGCACCCCCAGTGGCTTCTTAGTGCCTTGAAGACAGGTACAAATTCCTTAAAGTGGCTTAGGAAGTCCATGCTCTGTCTCCTGCTCACCTCCAACCTCACTGCTCGCTATGGTGCACTCTGTTCCCCACTAAACTTCTTTGTGCTGCAAGAAAAGACCCAGTCTCACCTCTGAACATCTGTGCATTCTCTCTCTTCCCTGGCCAACTCCTATCCATGCTTCAGGTCTCAGCTATCATTTCCTTCAGCAAGGCTTTCCTGACCTCTCAAATACAAGTTACGTGTCCCTTTTATGCACATCCACGATAACACCTCCATCACGATCTTTATCACACTGTTACAGTTCCTCGCTTATCTCTTTCCTCCACCTGTTTTTGAGGGCTGGCACTGTGCTTCTCAGTGTCTGAGCTGGATGAGACACTGCTAGTTTCCTACCCTATATTCATTTTTCTCTTCCTTACCAATAGAATCCTGGTTTTGTTTAGGGTAGCATTGTGCCCAGCTTCCCCTGCAGCTCCAAGTATCAGCCAGACAATCCTGACCAATGAGATAGGCTAGGGCATTTTTGAGAAACGTTTACAGTGTGAAGAGAACTGTCCCTTCCTCCTCTTTTCCTCCTTCTTCCTACCTCGAATGTGGTTAGGGTGGCTAGAAGTGACAAGGATTAGGGCTATTTGCCTATGTGGTGACAAAGACGAAAGATGAAGACGAAAACCATGTCTGAACATGGCTGAACAGAAAGAAGGAGAAGGAATTGTGTGTTGTCATTCCAGCCCTGGGCTACCTGCCTTCAAACTTGTTATTATATGAAGGTGGTGAGATGTTATTATCTGTTCATTTGGGGATGTAACAGGGGTGGTTACCCTATTTGGTTAAACCTCTATATTTGGGATTCTATTACATGCAGCCAAATGTAGCCCACAAGTAATATGCTGCTCAAATATTTGTTCAATTAATGAAGATTATAATAATAACCGCTCATTTGCTGAGTGGTTACCACAAATTAGGCTCCATTCTAAGTAATTTACGGCAGATTCTAATAGGAAAATTCTGGAGAATACTAAGCCCTACATGAAGAAATAGGCAGAATTGTGTGGAAGAATTTGGGAGAAATCTATCTTATTTCTCTAAAAGGAAACTTAGCATTAATCGCTGGCCCAACCAGGACCTGTCCATTACTTGGTTCCTAAGGGTGGGGATCAGATCTCTTTAACATATTGCAACGTGTTGGCTGGGTGCGGTGGCTCACACCTATAATCTCAACACTTTGGGAGGCCAAGGCAGGCAGGTTGCTTAAGCTTGGGAGTTTAAGGCCAGCCTGGGCAACATGGTGAAACCCCATCTCTACCAACAATACAAAAAAATTAGCCAGGTGTGGTGGTGTGTGCCTGTGGTCCCAGCTACTCTGGAGGCTGAGGTGGGAGGATTGCTTGAGCCCAGGAGGCGGAGGTTGCAGTGAGGTGTGATCACACCACTGAACTCTAGCCCAGGCAAAAGAGTGAGACTCCATCTCAAAAATAATAATAATAAAAATAAAATAAAATATTTCAACACGTGAATGCCGTTCCCGCCTTGCTCAGTTGTTCAGCCCACAATCTCTCCCTACTTCTCTAAGGACAAATATGCTGGTCAGTCTATCTAAGTATCTCTGTCTGTCTATCTATTTATCTATCTGTCTATCTCTCTCTCTCTCTCTATCTAATATACCTTTCTGCTTTTTATCTACTTATCCATCCATTCATCCATTTGTCATGTGGATCAGATGCCTGCTACATCAGAGCCCTTTCTAAGGAAGACTGACCCACAGCTCCTACTGAAAGAGTGCCCCCAGCTGACCCATTCTGCATTAGGTTGATTAGACTAAGGTTGGGCAGCTCACCCAAGAACTGCCAAACCTTAAGTTGGCCAGTGTCCTATGACATGACTTGGGGCAAAAAGAGGATCTGGGCAATCAAATTTTTCACAGCTTTGAACTGAGAAATACTGAGAGAATTATGTAGTGAGTGGTGCGAAGTAAGGCCTGAAGGAGCAGGGTGATAAGGCACAACAGGGGCCATGGAAGCTCAATGTTCTGAGAAAGCAGAAGCTGTAACAAGGATGTACACTGTGAGGCAGAGAAGAGTTATATAGAGTAGAAGGAAGAACACCAGTGGAAGCTGGCAGAAAAGTAGACACAAAGAGAAGTACAGACAGCTGCTTGGGGAACAGCTGAGACCCATTAATGATGGAGCCCTAGAACAAAAACCCATTACCACAGTTCCTCAGGTTCTTAGAGCTGCCTGGATTCTGATTCTGGCTATGAGACCCAGTTCTGTGTGGGCCCCTTTCCTCTATGAAGCCTGGCTATTTGGCATTTTCTAGATTTCTAAGCAAATGCATCTTTATAAAGAATCCCTGTTACATAAAATAAATTCTCTTGAACCAAAAGAGCCTATCTAAAACATTCCCAGTGAGCCAGTGTCCAAGCAGTATCTCCCTGTTTAAATAATCCACTGACATTAGCACATTATTTTCCTCATGAAATACTTCTCATATTGTTCAGAGCAGCAGGGATGGGTTTGGGTAGCTCCTTGGGTGAAACTCATCACTGCGTCTGAACTTCAAGTCCAACAAGGTAAGCCTCTGAGCCTCCAGGGCCCAGGATGGGTCTCTGGAACTCTCCAAATGAGAAACTAGACAGATGATGATTGATTCTCTCCCTCAGGTAGGGGAGGAAATCTGTTTCCCAGAGAGAACAGAATAAGCCCTGCCCACAGCCCTGGGCACGGTCATACCCTCTGAATCTTCACTTGGCCCAATACCAGTGGCCACACACTGTGCCAAAAACACAGTCTGTGGCAGAAAATTCTAGGAGTGCCTGCCAGAGTACAGATTGAGTCTCTCACCCTTGCAAGGCAAGAGTACATTCTCTGTCTCTCCCTTTGGGGTCAGGCAAAATAATATTTGCAATAGAGTACAAATTCTTGCTTCCAGATTCCATTTCAAATTTGGTGGGGAAAATATTTCAGAGATGTAATTTTTCCTTTGGTTGCAAGAGTACTGCTGAGGGAAGATCGGTCTTTTTTGAGGGGAAACTTGTTCCTTTAACAGCTGTTAATGACGAAGAAACTTCCAAACACTCTTTCCATCAGCAGTTTATCCAGTTGCAGGTCTCTTATTCTCATTACTCTGAGAATCCCAATAATTCTGGAGAATAAGTCTAATTCAAACACCACTTCCTAACCCTTTAAAATAAGCTTTAAAAAAAATAGTCATCTTCTGCAATAAAGTTGTTTTTAAATTATTCCAATTTTTCACTTTTTAACCAATTTGTAATTTGTTATGGTATATATGAAATTTGTATCCAAATTTTTGATTATATTCCAAAATAAAATGCAGTATTTCAACAGCATTTAGTAAATAAAAAAATATTTTTACATTGCTTTTGTTCCATCTGGCTTAAACAAATTTGGCTCACATTTTTTTTTTTCCTTTTGGGGGAGAAGCCTTGCTCTGTCACCCAGGTTGGAGTGCAGTGGCACAATCTCAGTTCACTGCAACCTCTGCCTCCCGGGTTCAGGGGAGGTTCCTGCCTCAGCCTCCTGAGTAGCTGGGATTACAAGCATGCACCACCACACCCATCTAATTTTTGTACTTTTAGTAGGATGGGGTTTTACCATGTTATCCAGGCTGGTCTCTAACTCCTGACCTCAAGTGATCTGCCCACCTTGGCCTCCTAAAGTGCTGGGATTACAGGTGTGAGCCACCATGCCTGGCCTGGCTCAGTGGAATATTTTGTAATACATTTTATACTTTAAGATATATTTTTAATTCCATTACAGCTAGTATTTCCACTACACCTTTTCCCTTTATATCACAGTAGCACTCAACCCTTGCTGACATCAGAATCACCTGGACTATTTTCCAGAGATTCTTTTTTAATCGATCTGCAGTGGTACCCTACCTTGGAATTTTTGGTGTTAGTTTATAAGTTAAGAGACTCTAATATGCAGGCAAGATCAAGAATCCCTGCACACATTACTTGATATTTTTTCCTATTTATTTTTATGTATTGTTACGTTCTCTTTAACATGAAGTGTACCTAACCAGCAACAGGATATGTTTATCTATTTGTTCAAGTCTTTTATTTTGGAGAGTGAATTGTTGTAGAGTCACATGTTACTGAACAATGGGGACACATTCTGAGAAATATGCCATTAAACAATTTTGTCATTGTGCAAACATCATAGACTATACTTACACAAACCTAGATTGTACAGACTACTATACACCTAGGCTATATGGTATAGCCTATTGCTCCTAGGCTACTAACCTGTATAGCCTGTTACCATACTGAATACAGTACAGTATGCAATCGTAACACAGTGGTGAGTATTTGTGTATCTATGTAAACATAGAACAGGCACTCTGGGATACCAAGGCAGGAGCCCAGGAGTTTGAGACCAGCCTGGGCAATATAGTGAGACCCTGTCTCTACCAAAAAAAAAAAAAAAAAGAAAGAAAAAAAATTGGCCGGGCGCGGTGGCTCACGCCTGTAATCCCAGCCCTTTGGGAGGCCAAGGTGGGTGGATCACGAGGTCAGGAGATCAAGACCATCCTGGCTAAAACGGTGAAACCCTGTCTCTATTAAAAAATACAAAAAATTGGCCAGGTATGGTGATGGGCGCCTGTAGCCCCAGCTACTCGGGAGGCTGAGGCAGGAGAATGGCGTGAACCCGGGAGGTGGAGCTTGCAGTGAGCTGAGACCACGCCACTGCACTCTAGCCTGGGCGACAGAGCGAGTCTCCGTCTCAAAAAAAGAAAAAAAAAAGAAAAAAGAAAAGGAAAAAATCAGCCAGGCACGGTGGCATGTGCCTGTAGTCTAAGGTACTTGGAAGGCTGAAAGAGAAGGATCTCTTTGAGTCCAGGAGTTTGAGGTTGCAGTGAGCTATGATCATGCCACTGTACTCCAGCCTGAGTAATAAAGTGAGACTCTGTCTCCTAAAAAAAAAAAAAAAAAAGAAAGAAAGCAAAAAACAAACAAAAAACCCATAGAAGGGTACAATAAAAATCAGTATAAAAGATTTTTTAAATGGTGTAATAAACAGAACTTGCAGGAGTGGAAGCTGCTCTGGGTGAGTCAGTGAGTGGGTGGTGAGTGAATGTGAAGGCCTGAGACTCACTGTGCACTCCTGTAGACTTTATAAACACTGTACACTTAGGCTACACTACATTTATTTTAAATTTTTTCTTTCTTCAACAATAAATTAGCCTTAGCTTACTGCAAAATTTTACTTTATAAACTTTTAAAACTTTTTGGCTCTTATAATAACACTTAACTTAAAAGAGAAACATTGCACAGCTGTATAAAAATATTTTTCCTTTATATCCTTATTCTAGAAGCTTTTTTCTATATTTAATATTTTTACTTTTTGAGATTTTTATTAAAAATGAAGACACAAACACAGAGATTAGCCTAGACCTACACAGGGTCAGGATGATCAATATTACTATTTTCTTTTTTTCTTTTCTTTCTTTTTTTTTTTTTTGAGACGGAGTTTTGCCCTTGTTGCCCAGGCTGGAGTGCAGTGGCACGATCTCAGCTCACCACAACCTCAGCCTCCTGGGTTCAAGTGATTCTCCTGCCTCAGCCTCCCAAGTAGCTGGGATTACAGGCATGTGCCACCATGCCCGGCTAATTTTGTATTTTCAGTACGGACCAGGTTTCTCCATGTTGGTCAGGCTGGTCTCAAACTCCCGACCTCAGGTGATCTGCCTGCCTTGGCCTTCCAAAGTGCTGGGATTACAGGCGTGAACCACCGCGCCTGGCCGAATATTACTATTTTCAACCTCCACATCTTATCCCACTGCAAGGTCTTCAGAGACAATAACACACATAGAGTTATCTCCTGCGATAACAATGCCTTCTTCTAGAATACCCCCCGAAGCATTTGCCAGAGCCTGTTTTACAGTTAACTTAAAAAAAAAAAGTACAAGGAGTATATTCTAAAATAATGATAAAAAGTATAGTACAGTAAATACATAAGCCAATAACATAGCTGTTTATTATCATTATCAAGTGTTATGTACTGTACTGTACATAATTGTATGCACTATACTTTTATATGACAGGCGGCAAGGTAGGTTTGTTTACACCAGCATCACCAAAAACATGTGAGTAATGTATTGCATTAAGTTTTTACTATGGCTACGATGTCACTAGGTGATAGGAATTTTTCAGCTGCATTATAATTTTATGGGACCCCATTGTATATGTGGTCTGTCATTGATGAAAACATCATTATGGCAGTGCATGAGTGTCATTCTCTTTGCATAGGTTTTGTATGTCCCTTATTAGATTAATTTTTAAGCGTGTGATGTATTTAGACTTTCCACCCCAAAATCAGGTTAAAGTAAATCTAATCACCCTAATTATGGTGTTTCCTATATCTTTAATCAACTGCTCTGTGTATACAGCTACCCATGTGTGTGTGTCTATGTTTTTGCATTGCTCAGAAAAGAATTCTTATTACTGGGCCAGTAGAGTTGTCTCTAGTTGTTCTTGTTACCTAAGAGCTCCAGAGTGCTAATACTAGTCAGCCAGTGGAGATCTTTTAGTTCACTTATTGACTGTTTATGTGCTAGGAGCTGAAGGCAGATGAATAGGATAGCTTCTCCATTCTGAGGCATTAAGAGTTAGTAATGGTTATTTAAAAACAACCAGTGTTTCAACACTCCCTTACGTATCTGCTTCAAGGGGTCAGAATAGCTGAGGGAAGGAATTCTGAGCATATGTTAGTAGAGTGTAGGGGTAGAGTATTGGCCCTGGAGGCAAACAGCCTGGGATCACATCCTTACTTCTCTACTAACTAGTCAGGTGGCCTTGCACAAGTAATTTCACCTCTCTATACTCAGTCTTCTGTAAAGAGAGGATAGCAATAATATTTACCTCATGAGATTGTTATAAAAGTTAAATAAGTTTTATTTGTAAAGTCTTTGGAACACTACCTAGACTATGGTAAGCATTTAATATATATTAGCTATTATTATTATTTGGGACAGAGGATTGGCAAGTGGCATTAATGGGGTGATGAGCAGAGTGCAGAGCCCAGAGGGAGACTTTAGAGCAGGGGTGTCCAATCTTTTGGCTTCCCTGGCCACATTGGTAGAAGAATTGTCTTGGGCCCCACATAAAAGACACTAACTCTAATGATGGCTGATGAGCTAAAAAAAAACACAAAACTCATAATGTTTTAAGAAAGTTTACGAATTTGTGTTGGGCTGCATTCAAAGCCGTCCTGGGTGCCTGTGGGTTGCGGGTTGGACAAGCTTGCTTTACAACATCTTTTTTTTTTTTTTTTTTTTAGAGACAGGATCTTGCTCTCTCACTCAGGCTGGAGTGCAGTGGTGCAATCATAGCTCATTGCAACCTCAAAATCCTGTGCTCAAGCAATCCTCCTGCCTCAGCCTCACAAGTAGCTACAGGTGCATACCACCACACCAGGTTCGAGCAATTTTTTTTTTCTTTTTTTTTTGGGATAGAGTCTCACTCTGTAGCCAGGCTGGAGTGCAGTGGTGCAATCTTGGCTTACTGCAACCTCTGCCTCCTGGGTTCAAGCGGTTCTCCTGCCTCAGCCTCTCGAGTAGCGGGACTACAGGCGCACGCTACGACGTCCAGCTAATTTTTGTATTTTTAGTAGAGACAGGGTTTCACCATGTTGGCCATGATGGTCTCTATTCTTGACCTCATGATCCTCCCACCTTGGCCTCCCAAAGTGCTGAGATTACAGGCGTGAGCGACTGCACCTGGCCCCGGCTCGAGCATGTTTAAGACAAGTTTTCTCTTCACTTTGCCTCTCTCATTCTCTCCTTTTCCTTTACTCTCCCCTCCACTTCCTCTTCCTCTCTCCTTCCCTAACAATTTAGCCCCAAATCCATTAAGTAGGGCCAAGGAGAGCAGATATTGGTTTTGGATGGTCTGAAACTAGATGTTGGAGTTGGCTTCTCCATGGGTAGGTGCCCACCCACCATGGTGGAGCATAGCTGGCATGGAGAGGGCAGGTATTTACATAGGGGGATAGTGGCAGTGGTCCAGGACAGGATATAAGAGACTGAGCATTGGGGGGCAGATGAGGGGGTGAGGACGGTGGAGGTGGGAGTCACAAGGGTAGGCGACAGGAGCAAGGATGGAAGACTTTACAAATACGTAGAAATTAAACAGCATACTCCTAAATAATCAATGGGTCACAGAAGAAATCAAGAAAAAATCAAAAGGAAAATTAGAAAGTACTTTGACATGAATGAAAATAAACAACATACCAAAACTTATGGAATGCAGCTAAAGCAATGCTTAGAGGGAAATTTATAGCTGTCAACACTTATGCCAAAAAAGATAATATCAAATCAATAACCTAACCTTTTACCTTAAGACACAGAAAATAGAAGATCAAAGTCAACCCAAAGCAAGCAGAGGGAAAGAAATAATAAAGATTAGAGTAGAAATTAATAAAATAGAGAATAGAAAAACACTACAGAATATTATTGAAATAAAAGTTGTTTTTTCGAAAAGATGAACAAAGTTGACAAACCTACAGGTAGACTAAGAGCAAAAAGAGAATACTCAAATTACTAGAATCAGAAATGAAAGGTGAGACATTAATATTGATGTTACAGAAATGAAAGGATTATGAAGGAATACTATGAACAATTGTATGCCAATAATAGATAACATAGATAAAATGAACAATTCCTAGAATAACACATACTACCAAAACTGACTCAAGAAGAAACAGTGAACCTAAATAGACCTATAATAAGTTTGGATATTGAATTAGTAATAAAAAAAGTTCCCACAGAGAAAAGCCCAGGCCCAGATGGCTTCACTGCTGAATTCTACTAAAGGTTTAAAGAAGGCTGGGCACAGTGGCTCACACCGGTAATACTAGCATTTTGGGAGGCCAAGGTGGGTGGATCACTTGAGGTCAGGAGTTTGAGACCAGACTGACCAACATGGTGAAACCCTGTCTGTACTGAAAAAATATAAAAATTAGCCCAGAGTGGTAGTGAGCACCTGTAATCCCAGCTACTTAAGAGGTTGAGGCAGGAAAATCACTTGAACCCAGGAGATGGAGGTTGCAGTGAGCCAAGATTGGCCAGTGCGCTCCAGCCTGGGCAACAGAGTGAGACCATTTCTCAAAAAAAAAAAAAAAAAAAAAAAGGTTTAAAGAAGAATTAATACCAATTCACCAATTCTACCAAAACCAGACAAAGGTGTCACAAGAAAACTATAGACAGGGTGGACATGGTGGCTCATGCCTGTAATCCCAATGCTTTGGGAGGCAAAGGAGGGTGGATCACCTGAGGTCAGGAATTCGAGACCAGGTTGGCCAAGATGGTGAAACCCTGTCTCTACTAAAATACAAAAATTAGCCGGGCGTGGTGGTGCATGACTGTAGTCCCAACTCCCGACTACTCAGGAGCTTAAGGCAGGAGAATCGCTTGAACCTGAGAGACAGAGGTTGCAGTGAGCCAAGATTGTGCCACTGCACTCCAGCCTGGGTGACAGAGCAAAACGCTGTCTCAACAACAACAACAACAAGAAAACTGTAGACCAATATCTCTTATGAATATAAATGCAAAAATCCTCAACAAAATTCTAGCAAACTGAATGTAGCACGTCTAAAAATAATTATATACCATGACCATACGGGGTTTATTCCAGAAATGCAAAGTTGGTTTCATATAAAAAATCAATATAATATACTATATCGATAGAGTAAAAAACAAAACCACATCACTGTTTCAACAGATGCAGAAAGAGCATGTAATAAAATCCAATGTCCTTTCATAATAAAAATGAGCTAGAAGGAAACTTTCTTTTTTTGAAACAGGGTCTCACTTTGTCACTGGAGTGCAGTGGCATAATCTTGGCTCACTGCAGCCTCAACCTCTGGGTTCAAGTGATTCTCTGGCCTCAGCTCCCCAAGTAGCTGGGACTACGGGCGTGTATTACCATGCCCAGATAATTTTTGTATTTTTCGTAGATACAGGATTTCACCATGTTACCCAGGCTGGTCTCTAACTCCTGAGCTCAAGTGATCTACCCACCTCGGCCTCCCAAAGTGCTAAGGTTACAGGTGTGAGCCACCACGCTTAGCCTTGAAGTAAACTTTCTTAACTTAATACAAGGCATCTATGAAAACTCCACAGCTAACTTTTTACTAAAGGATAAAAAAATTATATGTTTTCCTCCTAAGATCAGGAACAAGACAAGGATGCCTGCTCTCATCACTTCTATTCAGTTTTATATTGAAGTTTCTCACCAGTGCAATTATGCAAGAAAAAAAAAGTATCCAGGTTAGAAAGGGGGAAATAAAACTGCCTCTATTTGCAATGATATGGTCTTGTATATAGAAAATTCTAAAGAATCCACCAATACACAAGGTCATCAAGGTTAAAAAATATAAAATCAATGTACAAAAATCAATTGTATTTCTATAAACTTGCAATACATAAGCCAAAAAATCTCATTTATAATAGCATCAATAAGAACAAAATATTTGGGAATGAATTTAACAAAAAAAGTACAAAATATATACTCTGAAAACTAAAAACAATTGTTGAAAGAAATACAGATAGAAATAATTGGGAAAACATCTTATGTTCATGGATCAGAGGCTTAATATTGTTAAGATGGCAGTATTACCCAAACTTATCTACAGATTCAGCATAATCTCTATGAAAATCCTAGCTGACTTCTTTGTAGAAATTTATAAGCTGATTCTAAAATTCATGTGGAAGTTCAAAGAATTCAGAAGAGCCAAAAAACTCTTGAAAAGGAAGAGCAAAGTTGGAAGGACTCACACTTCACAATTGTAAAACTTATTACAAGGCAACAGTAATCAAAAAAGTGTAGTACTGACAAAAGGATAGATATATAGATTAATGGAATAAAATTGAGAGTTGAGAAATTAACTCGTGCCTGTGATCAACTGATTTTCAACAAGGGTGCCAAGATAATTCGATGGGGTAAAGAAATCTTTTCAACCAATGGTGCTAAGATAACTAGATAGCCACATGCAAAAGAATGAAGTTGGACACTTACCTCACACCATATACAAAAATTAACTCAAAAGGGACAAACGACCTAAATGTAAGAGCTAAAGCTACATATCACTTAGAAGAAAACAGGGGAGTAAATCACTATGAGTTTGGATTTGGCAAAGGATCCTTAGTTATGATACCAAGAGCATGAGGAGCAAAAAGATAAATAGATAATTTGGACTTCATTAAAATTAAAAACTTTTGTGCTTCAGAGAATGCCATCAAGAGATTGAAAAGATAACCACAAAATGAGAAGAAAGTATTTGCAAATCATATATCAGATAAGGGGCCTGTATTCAGAATATATGCTGTGGTTTGAATATTTGACTCCTTCAAAACTGATGTTGAAACTTAATCCCCAATGTGGTACTATTGAGAGGTGGGGCCCTTAAAAGATGATGGAATAATAAGGGCTCTGCCCTCATGAATGGCTTAATCCATTCATGGATTAATGGATTAATGGGTTATCATGGGAGTGGGGCGGGTGGCTTTGTAAGAAGAGGAAGAGAGACCTGATCTATCATGCTCAGCCCCCTCGCCATGTGATGATGCTTGTGCTGCCTCAGGACAGGACTCTGCAGAGAGTCGCCACCTGCAAGAAGGCTCTCACCAGATGTGGTCCCTCAACTTTGCACTTCTTTTTTTTTGAGACAGGGTTTCACACTTGTTGCCCAGGCTGGAGTGCAATGGCACGATCTTAGCTCACTGCAACCTCTGCCTCCTGGGTTCAAGTGATTCTCCTGCCTCAGCCTCCCAAATAGCTGGGATTACAGGCATGCACCACCACTCCTGGCTAATTTTTTGTATTTAGTAGAGATGGAATTTCACCATGTTAGTCAAACTGGTCTCAAACTCCTGACCTCAGGTGATCCACCCACCTCGGCCTCCCAAAGTGCTGGGATTACAGGCATGTGCCACTGTGCCTGGCCCTCAGCTTTGGACTTCTCAGCCTCCATAACTGTAATAAATAAACTCATTTTCTTTATAAATTACCCAGTTTCAGATATTCTGTTATAAGCAACAGAAAATGGACTAAGACAGGTAATTATGTTTTTTGTTATTATTTTTAAATGGCAAAAACTACACTAACTTTTGCATCAGCCTAATACAAATGGCTAATCATCTCATGAAAAGATGTTCAATAGCATTAGTCATCAGGGAAATACAAATCAAAACCACAATGAGCTATTATTTCACATCCACTAAGATGGCTAACCTTAAAAAAATTCAGATAATAACAAGTGTGGGTGAGGATATGGAGAAAATGGAACTCTCATCCACTGTTGGTGAGAATGTAAAATGGTGTGACCACTTCAGAAAACCGTCTGTAAGTTTCTCAAACAATTAAACATAGAGTTAGTTACCGTATGAACCAGCAATTCTACTCCTAGGTATATACCCAAGAGAAATGAAAACCTATGTACACACAAAACCTTGTACACAAATATTTATAGTAGCAGTGTTCCTGATAGTCAAAAGGTGAAAGCAACTTAAATATCTGTCAACTGATTAGTTAATAAACAACGTGTGATATATTGATAAAATGGAATATTTGTCCATAAAAAGGAATAAAATACTGAGACGTGCTACAACACTGATGAATTTTGAAAACTATGTTAAGTGAAGGAAGGCAGTTACAAAGGACCACCACATATTATATAATTCCACATGTATGAATGTCCAGACCAGGCAAATCTAGACAGTAAATTAGTTGTTGCTTAGGAGTTGAGTTGTTGCTTATGTGTGGAGGAGGCTGGGGAAGTGACAGCTAACAGGTATGAGACTTCTTTTTGAGGTGACGAAAATGTTCTAAAATTTTGTGAGGTCTGCACGCATTTGTGAATGTGGTATAAAACTATTCACTTGTACACTTTAAATGGGTAAGTTGTATGTTTCAATTTATGTCTCAATGAAGGTATTAAATAAGAGGAAAATGGCAATTAAATGGAGCAAGTTATTTTGGATTGGATCTTTTTTTTGGGATGGGGTCTTGCTATGTTGCCCAGGCTGGCATGCAGTGGCTACTCATGGGCACGATCATTGCACACCATAGCCTTGAACTCCTGGCCTCTAGAGGTCCTCCTGCCTCTGCCACCTGAGTAGCTAGGACTACAGGTGCTTGCCACCTCACCTGGCTTGGATCTTTTTGTAATAAATGACATTATTGGGACAATTGGGGTAATTTGAATGGTGTCTGGGGATTAGATGCTACCAGTGTATCAGTGTTAATTTCTTAATTGTTTAATTTTATTTTTAATTTTTTTTTTTTAGAGACACGGTCTCTCTTTGTCACCCAGGCTGGAGTGCAGTGGCATGAGTATAGCTCACTGTAGCCTCGAATTCCTGGGCTTAAGCCATCCCCCCACGTCAGCCTCCCAAGTAGCTAGGACTACAGGTGCATACCACCATGCCCAGCTAATTTCTAATTTCTTTTTGTAGAGACATGGTCTCGCTATGTTGCCCAGGTTTGTCTTAAATTCCTGTCCTCAAGCAATCCTGCTGCCTTGGCCTACCAAAGTGCTGGGATTACAGGCGTGAGCCACTGCGACCTGGCAATTTCCTGATTTTGATGGTTGTATTTCAGTTTTGCAGGAGAATATCCTTGTTTGTAGGAAATGCACACTGAAGTATTTGTTGATGATGGGGCATCATGGTAAGTAACTTAGTCTCAAATGTCCAGGAAAAAAAGTGGGTTTTTTTTTTTTGCAACTTTTCTCTATGTTTAAGTTTGTTTCAGAATAAAAATATAGACTGGGCAAGGTGGCTCACACCTGTAATCCCAGCACTTTGGGAAGCCAAGGCGAGCAGATCACCTAGGGTCAGGAGTTCGAAACCAGCCTGGCCAACATGGCAAAACCCTGTCTCTACTAAAAATACAAAAATTAGCTAGGCGCAGTGGTAGGTGCCTGTAATCCCAGCTACTTGGGAGGCTGAGATGGGAGAATCGCTTAAACCTGGGAGGTGGAGGTTGCAGTGAGCCGAGATCACACCATTGCACTCTAGCCTGGGTGACAGAACGAGACTCTGTCTCAAAAAAAAAAAAAAAAAAAAAGTATATATATACACACACACACACACACACACACTTTGTAAAATACTTGATTTAATTTTGAAGTATGAGGGTAGAGATGGAATGTTGGGTTATCAGCAGCCACAGGGAACAAGGAGGCTGGTGAATTGATAGTCCACGATCCAGCCTGCCTATGGTGGGGGTGAGGGTGGTACTATCCTTTAGCCAGTTGCATTAGGCTTGACTAGTTTTTATAAGATTTCCAATTGCCATCAATTTATATGGAGTTTATACTCTAAAGCAATAACACTGATTTTGAGAAAGAAAAGGTAATTTCTGCTTAATACAATAAATGAGAAATAATTGAAGAAATAATTTCTTTGGAAAAGAATGCTTCTTTATTGATGGTTATATTTATCAGCAAGGATCATGACTCAGTAGCCAGTTGAAGGAATCAGAACACTTTGGGTACATGCTGCTAAAAGCCCGTCAGCTCGTCATCCTTGTTTTTGTCAACCTGGTATCCAGTAAGTACCAAGTCCTCATTTTGTCCGGGAAGACTTTTGAATACTTTCAAGTGCATATATTTATTATCACCTGCTCGTACCTGAAAAATATTAAAGAAAGAGAAAGCAAAAGGAGATTCATTCAAATGGGTCTACATCAAGTGAGAGAGCCACAGGTCTACAAAGACTTCTGTCCAAAAAGCTGCTGAGGAACAGCATTGCTAGACCTAGTCCACCATTCTTAGACTCTTTGTATTCATAAATCCACCACCTTATTTTAGGAGAAAAAGAGCAGACTAGGCTGGGTGCCGTGGCTCCCACCTGTAATCCTAGCACTTTGGGAGGCTGAGGCAGGGGGATCACGAGGTCAGGAGTTCAAGACAAGCCTGGCCAGCATGGTGAAATCCCGTCTCTACTAAAAATACAAAAAATTAGCCGGGCATGGTGGTGCATGCCTGTAATCCCAGCTACTCTAGAGGCTGAGGCAGGAGAATCACTTGAACCCAGGAGGAGAAGGTTGCAGTGAGCCGAGATCATGCCACTGTACTCCAGCCTGGGTGATAGAGCAAGAGTTTGTCTTAAAAAAAAAAAAAAATTGTAGACTAATGGCATGGCAAGAGGCATAGGTCCTAGGTTTATTTTGTTATTTTTTTTAGTATAATCTGGGCACAAAGGACAGCATTTTATTTTCAAAGATGCATGGAGCAAGAAAACAAGTGATAGCCTATATTTTTGGTGATACTGTTTTCTGACTCTCAACTTGGGACACTTTGTTTGCCATACAGTCTGATAAGGGAGAAGAAAATCAGAATTGCCCTAGAAAATTTGGGATGCAGGGTTCCCATACCTATATCAGAACCTACTTTATAAACACCCACTGGTAGGATTGAGCAGAGCCCAGGGGGCGGACACCCTCCCTTCTAAAGTGAAGGGGCCAGCCGGGCACTGTGGCTCACGCCTATAATCCCAGCACTTTGGGAGGCCAAGGTGGGTGGATCACCTGAGGTCAGGAGTTTGAGACAAACCTGGCCAACATGGTGAAATCTGGTCTCTACTAAAAATACAAAATTAGCTGGGTGTGGTGGTGCACATCTGTAATCCCAGCTACTTGGGAGGCTGAAGCAGGAGAATCGCTTGAATCCGGGAGGTGGAGGTCGCAGAGAGCCGAGATTGTGCCACTGCACTCCAGCCTGAGTGACAGAGTGAAACTCCGTCTCAAAAAAGAAAAGAAAAAAAAAAGCTAAGGGGTTTTACTAGGAAGTCATTGGTAGGAAGGTTGAAGCAGAAGCAGTAGTTTGGACATGAATCTGAGACCTGGAAAATTATGGTAAGAATTTTTACTTTGGTTCTTGCTGGAGACAATAAATGCTTTGTCTTATACAAATATTTATTGTGCTTCTGATGTCACTTCCTATCCTAATTTTAACAAATGCCATATATCAAATGTTTACTGTGAGCCAGACACTATGATGAACATTTTATATAAATGATTATATTAACCTATATTATAGGCCTGAAGAAAAGTGGAGCAATGAAATTTTTACAGACGTGGAAGCAGAGTAGGAGAGATTAAGTGATTTTCCATAAATCTCTCAGCTAGTCAGTGGCACAGCCAATATTCAAACCCAGATCTGTTAGCCTCTAGCATCTACATTCTTTTCACTCTACAATGTAACATTTTTGGGGGGTACTGATCGGGGAATGAGGCCTGGCTCACAGTGCAGTGGTGCGATCGCAGCTCACTGCAACCTCAAACTCCTCGGCTCAAGTGATCCTCCTACCTCAGCTTCCCAAGTAGCTAGGACTACTGGTGTGCATCACCATGCCTAGGTAATTAAAACATTTTCTTTGTAGAGGCAGGGTCTTGCTATGTTGCCCAGAATGATCTCAAACTCCTGGCTTCAAGCTATCCTCCCACCTTGGCCTCCCAAAGTGTTCGGATTACAGGTATAAGCCACCACACCAGGCCAGTGTAACCTTGTAAAAGCTCTTATTTTGTGCTTTATATTAGAGGCAGCACAGCCAGTAGTTAAGCTCAGTCTATCTGGGTTCAAATCCTGACTCTGCTCTTGTAGTTGTGTGATCTTTTTAGTTTCTTCACCACCCTGGAACTCAGTTTTTTCGTTGGTAACCCAAGAGAAGTGATTGTACTTATCTCATAGATTTGTTGTGAGGATTAAATGAGATAAGCCCTGTTCTTAGAATAGTGCATAGTGAATTATAAGTGCTCAATAAATTTCCAGCTTATTTATTCCTCACAACACGCTGCGAAGTAGATTATTACCCTCATTGTGCAGATAAGGGAATGAAGGCTCAGAGAGGAGGAGGAGCTTCCCATAGAACAAATTGAACAAGGGTTCAAACCCAGGACACTCTGACACCTAAGCTTGTGGTCCTTCCATTCTACCACCTACCTCTTGATAGGTACTTGAAATACATAGAGAAGGTCACATCACTGGCAAGACCTTAAATCTAGAGTGCCTCAGAGCAAAGGGATCAACAGCCAGACTACCAGGAAGTAAAAGGGAACTGGGATCGGTGGCTGAGATCCAGTAGGAAAAGTTTGATAGCAGAAGGAAGAAAAGATGAGAGAGAGAGAGGAGACTGATTAAGAGAGGGCAAAAGGGTGGTCAAGGGAACAAATTTTCAAGCAGAAATTTTCAAGATAGTTATCTGATGAACTGTTGAAGAAACATGTGAGCTGGTAATATGTGAAATTTATGCATTTGAATTAATCATAAATTATTAAATATGTTAATGTTGATGGAATGTTTCCTATCTTTGCACATAATCATTTTTAACTGGAAAACTTTCTTTTCCAGCCATGAAGAAAGCAGATTGAGAATGGAGGAAATGGTGCCATTGTTTTCTGAGGATACAGCAGGGTCCTCTTTCACATGTGTCTCCCCGGGACCTGGTCGTTACTAGGAGCTCACATTTGGCAGAACAGGGCTGATCTGTGTACATAGCTCTGTACTGAAACTTTCTTATGCTGAGCTGACTAGCTCCACTTACTTCACTTACTTTTTTTTTTTTTTTTGCTGAAAAAATCTTTTAAAATGTTTATATTTTAATAGAAATATTTGTTAAAGAGAAATAAGCCACACTGTGCCCTGGTCAAATAGTGAAGTAAAGATTAAGTAAATATACTTGAATATTTGTTTTTATTTTTAAAATCAGCATTATCATCTTCTTAATATATAAGGACAAACATGGCTCTCAAATATTCATGGTTGACTTGTTCAACTGGTTTCCTCTTGATAACTTCAATTAGAACTCGATCAATGCATTGTGTAATTTTTTGACAGAGCTATAAAATTAACTTTTAAACTATTTTAAATACTCCACTCTTTTAAACTATGCCTAGAGTGCCACAAGTTAAATCTAATTTGAGTTACAAAATAGTATTTACATTATATTAATTGAAGGGCAAAAAAGGTTTAAATTATTTTCCCAGCTAATGATTTGAGTCGTTACTTTAATTTATTTAATTTAGACATAGAGAATCATACAGCTTTGAGGTAGAATCAGCTTCAAGATACCATGTGGTCCAGCCCCACACCTTCAGGCAGATGAGACGTGATCCTCCCTCCTTACCTAAGCAGCAGCACAGCCACAAATCCAGCATGCCCTGAACTGTTATGAAATCTTTTTCTATACAATTTCCAGAAATCAAGAATCAATGTAATAAAACTTTCTGAATTCACAAGAAAAAAAATGGTGTCACATCATCTACCAAATTTGAGAGTCCACCACTTGGAAGGAATCATGCTGGGCATCTTAATTTAGGACAACCGTAAGGAAGGAATTATGTGGTAGGGAAATCAGGGAATATTTTACATAAAATGAGAAATACATCTTTTGGCGCTAAAGTAGGTGCTGAACTCTAACCTTAATGTAGTAATTTGTTCCAGCAACAACTTGAGTTTTATACTGCACAGCTTCCAATTTTCCGTAAGTCTCATTTGTTTTTTCTTCAAGCTGTGGTTTAACCTAAAGAAAAGAAAAGAGGAAACAAATAATCAAAGCTATATTAGACTCCATGTATGCAATGTACCCATCTGGGAACCTCATCCTCCTAAAAGTCTTCAAAGATGGTAATGAAATCTATGAACTATTTTTATTATTTCAATAGAAAACACCTGTTTTAATACAATTACATAGGTTAAAAAGTCAAATTTTGTTGCTTTAGGCTGAATTCACATCAACTCAGTGTGGTAATGCAATATAGGAGCGTTTTGACTGCTAAAACTCTAAGAGTTATATGTATCTTTGATTAATAAAAATCAGTGGAGCAATAATTACTACTTGATTAAAACATTATTTTAAAATGATTTCAGACTTAAAAGTTGTAAAATTAGTATAATGAATTCTCTTATATCATTTACAGTTCCCTTAATTTTGCCGTTTTACATAACATAGTATAATCACCAAAATGAGGAAATTAACATGGTATAATACTATTAAGTAGTCTCTAAACCTTATCAGAATTTTGCCAGTTTTCCTGAAAATGTCTCTTTTCTGCTCCAGGATCTCATGCAGGATCCTACATTGCATTTAGTTGTCATTTCTCCTCAGTCTCCTACAATCTGGGTTCATTCCTTTTTGTTCATGGCCTTGATGTTTTTGAAGAATACTGGCCTGTTAAATGGTAGAATGTCTCTCAATTTAGGTTTGTGTGATCTCCTCTTATGTTAGTATTATACATGTTTGTAAGGATAGCACAAACGTGATGTTGTGCTTAAGTGCATCCTATCAGGAGCTACGTTTCATTACTGGTGATGTTAATTTTGATCACTTAGGATGTCTGCCAGGTTTCTCCACGGTAAAGTTACCATTTTTTTCCCCTTTGTAATTAGTAAGTGTCTTGTGAGGAGTCTTGTTTCTCGCCATACTTTCATACATGAATTTTAGCATCCATTGATGGTTCTTGCCTACAACAATGATTAATTGTGGTGTTGGCCAAATGGTAATTAAAAAATCATTTCTTGTGCATTTATTATCTGGAATTCTGCCATAAGGAAGAGCTGTTCCCTCTCTCCTCTTTATGTAGTCAATTACTTATTTTATATTAATATGACTCATGGATATTTCTTTTACTCTGTGGATTACAATTCATTACTCTATTTTGTTACTCAAATGCCCTAGATTTGGCCGTTGGGAGCTCCTTCACCTGATGCCTGTGTTCTTTCAACATGCCTCCATCATTTTATAAGCACTTCCTTACTTTCTGACTCTACAAAAGTAGAGTCAGATGTTCCAGGTTTATCTTGAAGTTTCCTTGCCTCCTCACTGGAATCAACTATTTCTCCAAGGAGTCCCTGCTCCTTTTATTGGAGAACGGTATTTAAGACCCAAGATTTGGGTGCTGTGTCTCTTGTTACTAAATGTCATTGCTTCTAGGCCCACTCAGTGGAAAGGGCTACAAAATAATATGTGTACTCACACATGCACACATCTTTACGCATTTGTGTATGTGTGTGCATATATACACACATTTATCTGTGTGTCATTATATATATACATTATATATGTGTGTGTACGTGTGTGTGTGTGTGTGTGTGTGTGTGTGTGTGTGTGTATTCCTCTGATTAAAATCAAATACCACGGCCGGGTGTGGTGGCTCATGCCTGTAATCCCAGCACTTTGGGAGGCAGAGGCGGGTGGATCACTTGAGGTCAGGAGTTTGAGACCAGTGTGACCAACATGATGAAACCCCGTCTCTACTAAAAATACAAAAATTAGCTGGGCGCAATGGTGGGTGTCTGTAATTCCAGCTACTCAGGAGGCTGAGGCAGGAGAATTGCTTGAACCTGGGAGGCGGAGGTTGCAGTGAGCCGAGATCACACCATTGCACTCCAGCCTGGGCAACAAGAGTGAAACTCTGCCTCAAAATACATAAATAAATAAATAAATAAATAAATAATAAAATAAATCAAATACCACAGGACTCATTTAGCTTTTCCCTTTTCCTTATTATAACTCCTTTCTCAAACACTGAGGAAGAATCCTGGTTCTTATTATTTGCAATGTATTCGCCTATTTTCTCAGTTCTAGCATATACATAAAATAATTTCAGAATTGTTGACCTATACCCCTGTGGAAAACAATATACTAACTAGAGTGCAGTATTTGGGTATAATTCTTATAAAGACCCTGTGATTGCATGGGCTTACCTGGATAATCCAGGATAACCTCTCCATCTCCAGAGCCTTAACTTAATCACACCTGCAAAGTCTCTTTTGCTGTGTAAAGGAACCTAGTCACAGGTTCCAGGGATTAGGACATGGACATCTTTGGAGGGCCATCATTCTGTCTACCATGGAGGGATATGGGTTGGGTTTAAATGTCAGCATTCCCGAACCCAGCATGAGAAGGGAGACAGTCCCAAATTCAATATGTAAACTTTTACTGAGCCCATCAACTTTCTGTACAGTGCTTCATTCCCACTCTCAGCTGGGCCTGATATGCAAGAGTCTACTATGAGCTCTTGACTCAGTTCCTGCTAAGTGTAAAGCTCGTCTTCTGCCGGGGTGGAGGACAGTGAGGGAGAAGGAACTATGGGAGGTCTCACTGTCCTTCATACAGATCAGTCCTCTTGCTTTTGGTCTGAGACCTTACTCCTGGCTACGACTTTTTGGTGTTGCTCATGCCTGCGCCATTGTGACGTTCTGCAGTGTGAATCTGCTTGCTTCTGGCTTAGACTTTCCCCTCTATGGGCTTAGCTTCTGTTTAGACTGCTCAGCATTTTCCATTGTTCATCTGTTTTCCAACTTCCAAAATTTTATTGGTATTTCTGAGGTGGTACTTGCCTATCTCCTGTTGTCTTTATGTCTGTGGATTTGTCCTTCAACCCCAATTCTTTTCTGTCTTTTGGAGGAAAAAGGATATAACTCTCTGTGTTGAATGTACCTTGTTTATTGAGAACTTGCTTTTATGCCCTTCATGAAAGCATTGCATGTCCATACAACTTCAATCAGGCCTCCAGTCCATCTAGGATTCTCCCAAGGCAGTCCTTCCTATCAGTGGGCAGGTTTTTTTTGTTTTTTGTTTTTTTAAATTTAAGAGACAGAATCTCCCCCTCACCCAGGCTGGAGTGCAGTGGCGTGATCATAGTTCACTGCAGCCTCGAATTCCCGGACTCAAACAATCCTCCCTGGGCAGATGTTTTGAACCTTTACTACTGATGCCTCAGTTTGAGTACCAGAACTGTTTTCAAAGATGTAGACATATGCAAACTGTGAGTTCTCAGACCATTTCTGAAAGGCCAAACACTCCACGGACCACCACTCAGTTCTCCTGTAACCTTGAGAATAGACGGGAAAAGTGTGATTGTTCTGTTGAGATGGAAATGAAATTTCAAAGTGGAGAAAGGGAGAAGACAAATAGTGAGGACAAACCAGAAGTGGGAAGAGCTAGGGGCAGGAGAGCGGAGAAAGGATGCACAGAGAAGTAGAGTAAGGAAACAGGTTATTGTCTTAGGGTCCCTTTCCAAAGCCTTTCAAAATTCCAAAGGAGGGATGGCCAGTACTTGGCACCAGTCAAGTTAGGAGCTGAGTTTGAAAGAGTTAATCTCTACACTAACCCCCAAAGTATCCATTTAAACCTCATTTTATGAATGGAGAATGTAAGGCTATGAGTTGAGCATGACTGCTTAAAGTTGAAAAATTATTCAACATAGTTATTTTAAAGTCCTTGCATGATAACTTATATATCTGATCTGTGTTCCTTCTGCTTTTCAGTCATGTTTCTTTTTAAGCACGTATCCTAAGCCAACCAGCCTTTCTTTTCTTTTCTTTCTTTCTCTTTCTTTCTTTCTCTTTCTTTCTTTTTCTTTCTTTCTCTCTCTCTTTCTTTCTTCTTTCTTTCTTCCTTTTTTCTTCCTTTCCTTTCCTTTTCCTTCCTTCCTTTCCTTTCCTTTTCCTTCCTTCCTCTCTCTCTCTTTCTTCTTTCTTTCTTTCTTTCTTTCTTTCTTTCTTTCTTTCTTTCTTTCTTTCTTCTTTCTTTTCTTTCTTTCTTCTCTCTCTCTTTCATGGAGTCTTGCTCTGTCACCTAGGCTGGAGTGTAGTGGCACAATCTCAGCTCACTACAACCTCTCCCTCCTGGGTTTAAGCAATTCTCCTGCCTCAGCCTCATGAGTAGCTGGGACTACAGGCATCTGCCACCACTCCCAGCTAATTTTTTATATTTTTGGAGAGATGGAGTTTCACCATGTTTGCCAGGCTGGTCTCAAACTCCTGGCCTCAGGTGATCCACCCACCTTGGTCTCCCAAAGTGCTGGGATTACAGGGGTGAGCCCCCATGCCTGGCCCTAAGTTTTTATTTCTATCTGTCCTAGAAATATATCCAAATCTTTAACTTTTCCATCGTATCTGTGTAATCCACAAATGCAGAATTTTCCATGAGAGAGGGGATTTAAAAGATCTGGTTTGTTTCTTGAAGTGTTCTGGCACCTGTCAGACTGTGGACCTTGATTTCTGGTTCACTCTACTTGTAACTTGCAGCCTCCCTCCCTCTTCCCAGTAAAATAGATTTGCATGGTTTAATGTTAGATGACATGGACCTGAGTGATGAGATTTGAGCTGAGGAGCAGGGAAAGGGGCAGAGTAGGGGAGCTTGTCAGTGAAACTTAAGTCTCAGAAGGTAGCTTGGTGCTGAAAGACTCCCCAGGATGGGCACTAGGAGGATGCAGGCCAGCTGGGAACGGTGGTGGGAGACTGGCGGTGAACGGACACATCTCCTGCTGAATGCAGTTGGCCTTCACCTTTCTCAGTCTGCCACGCGTGATGGTGACGGGAGCTCAAGGAATACAGTGGAGGTTTGTCGCTTGGTCTCCAGCCGGGGAGGAGGCTACCAGGGAGAAGCACCTGGTATAATGCATTTAACCCAGAGTTCTTCAAGCATTTCTCATTGCTACTGAGCATGAATCTTGGTGAGGTGTTTATTCTCTGAGATCTGAGGATTTGAGCCATGAGGCACCCAACACTCAGGCTTTTCCCCTAATCTGTAGTCATTCTACAGAAACAATAGGACTGTGCCTAATTTAATAGAAAATAGATAGAAAGATATTGATGGCAAAGTGGATGAATTACATTTGGGGGAGATTTAGAGAGTAAGGAAGGAGAGTTTGAATAGTAACATGAAAGGACAGTAGGGCCAGTAAGATGTGACTTGTGGACATTTATTGTCTAAGTATGTTTTGAAGGAAGAAGGAAGTATGGGACAAGGCATTGAGGATGCAAGAAATGAAGTCACCTGGCTAAGAGAGGAAGGACTGGCTGAAGAGAGGAGAATAGAGTCTAGGGAGGAATGAGATCCAGCAAGAGATAGGGTCAGCTGGGGCATTTTCTTACCAGAGATCTGCAATCTCCTAAGACAGGTGTTCCCAACCCCTGGGCTGCAGACCAGTACCCATCCATGGCCTGTTAGGAATCGGGCTGCACAGCAGGAGGGGAGCAGTGGGCCAGTGAGCATTATGGCCTGAGCTCCGCCTCCTGTCAGATTAGCGGCAGCATTAGATTCTCATAGGAGTGGGAACCCTATTGTGAACTGCATGCAAAGGATCAAGGTTGCGTGCTCCTTATGAGAAAATAATGCCTGATGATCTGAGGTGGAACAGCTTCATCCCAAAACTATCCCCTCCACCCCATCTGTGGAAAAATTGCCTTCCACAAAGGTACCAAAAAGGTTGGGGACAGCTGGCCTAAGAAGAGTAGGAACTGAGACATCCTGCTGGAGGGACCATGGGGGTGGGAGGCAATGAACAACTGAAGAGAGATTTACATTTGTGGGGTTTCTAGAAAAAGACCAACAAATATGACTGCAAGAATGTTCTGGCAGCCCTGGGTCCTGTCCGGGTTGTTAAGCATTAATCCACAGGTTTGTAATGGTGAGTTTTCTGTGGTTCTGCACCTCGCTTTGGCAAAGTTCTTTGATTCTGGAACAGTAGTAGCTGCATAGAAAGTGGTGGCAGTGGGTGTGACCTTTAATTGAGAATTAGAATGTCAGGAGCTCCCAGGGTCAAGGAAATCATCATGAGTGGAGGAGTATTTGAAGCTACCCTCCTGTCATGGGGTCCAGGCTGGATGAGAGACTCAGTGGGCCTGGGCATGTTCTCATGAAGTTGGGAAGGTAGGTGCCTGAAGGATTCTGGTGTGGCTGAATGACAGGTTCTTTGGGTGTGGGACAGTGGGAGAGGCGACTAATAAGGAGGCTGTGGTCAGAGAGGGGAATGCAAATTTGTGGATGGGGTGAGAGCCATGACATGCTAAGTTCCAGGGTGTGCCCAGGATGGTATGCAGATGAAGTGTTTGTGCGGTGTCCTGACTGACAAAAATCATGTTCTGTGTGTTGGCCAGGAATAGTATTCAGCAATTAGGTTTATGACTAAGGGGAGTGTGTGTGTGTGTGTGTGTGTGTGTGTGTGTGTGTGTGTTTGTTGTGTGCATGCACATTGCATGTATAGTAGCCCTTACCTCTAAAAACAATTAAATAACATTTCTTTCCTTCTCATAAATATGCTCACAATTCTCATCAAAATGCTTATTAACATATTATATAAGATAATGGATCAGCAATAATGATCCGGAGGCTTTTGCTGTTGGGCCATTCATTTATTTGGTTCTTCGTTATACAGATTGTGGCTTTTCATGAATGGGCCTGTGTATGGCTCTGTCTTTCTGGATGTGTCCCTCTTAGCTCCATTCTATTTTATTAATTTCCCAAAGGGCAGGCACTATTTTATGTCCCTGCTACCCCCATAGCAATTCACACAGTTCTGTCTACCTAATCAATGTTTTCTGAATGAAAAGACCACAGTTGTTTTCCATCCTGACAACTTGTCTCCCCAAATAGGAAAGATGAGTATAGCAATGACATCAGCTAATACGGAGAATCTTGGAAGAGGGTTTTCTTCCAAGTGTACTTTAGTACATGGTGCTACAATGACATGTTCAGTCTCTGTTATCTTCAGAATGGGAAAACTCATTTCTCCTGCCTTCAAAAACATTCAAGTTTTCTCAATTGCCATCCCTTGTTTGCCTTTCTTTTCTTTCTGCCCTCATCCAATATTCCTCTTTCACTGTGATATCAAATTCCTTGGTCATGCAGTTATCATTTGTCTTTGACACTCTTCCCTTTTCTATGTGATGATCTTTTTCTTCCTTCTTTCTCTCCTTCTAATGGGGTTCTTCAGTTGGCCTTCCACTAAGAAGCTCTCTGAGAAGTCCAAGGAAAGCTGATAAACTTCAGCTCCTCTGAGAATACTTCCACTTTAACAGGTGATTTTAAAAAACAGAGATACATTCAAAAATAAAAAATAATAAAACTAGCAAGTAAGTGACAGGTAGTGGAGATTGTCCCTAAATTACTAGCATCTATCCATTTTCCCTATTCCTGCATGGGGACCTAACTGTAATTTTGGAGAAGGAATTGACTCAAGTTTCTCACCTATAAAGCGGTTATAATAATACCTGCCTCTTGGGGCTGTTTGTAGGGGCATAAATGATATAATTGACGTGAAAGTGCTTCCTAAACTACAAAGAGTTTTCCAACTCTTCCTCTACCTTCTAACACTGAATTGGAAATTGTGCCCTAAGGCTCACTCCTGCAAGAGAGGGCAGATAAGTGATAATTGGGGCTTTAACACCAGAGGAGCTGAACTGCCTCACAGTAATTATTCACCTGAAAGGAAGGAGGTTTGACCAGCAATCTCTAACATCTTTTCTGGTCCAAAACCTGTGATTATAAAAAAAGCACTTAATTGGATATTGTTTTATATTATGTTCCAGATATCTCGATTTTCCCAACTACCCTGTAAACTCCTAGAGGCCAGGGGCCATATCTTATAGACCTCATGTAGCTTCTATAATAATTAGCATAATGCTAGACACCTAGGAGATATACAAGAAATGCACCTACTATGAAATGATTCAGTGATATTCATTTCCTGTATTTATTTATTTATTTATTTTTTGAAACAGAGTCTCGCTTTGTTGGCCAGGCTGGAGTGCAGTGGCGTGATCATGGCTCACTGCATCCTCAACTTCCTGAGTGCAAGTGATTCTCTCACCTAAGCCTCCCAAGTAGCTGGGACTACAGGCGTGTACTACCTGGCTATTTTTTTGTATTTTGGAGGGGGTAGAGACAGGGTTTTGTCATGATGCCCTTGAACCACCCAGATCAAGCAATCTGCCCGCTTCTGCCTTCTAAAGTGCTGGGATTACAGCCGAGAGCCACCGCACCAGTCCTTCTAAGGAGTAAAAAATTTTATTTTGGCTGGGCGCGGTGGCTCACGCCTGTAATCCCAGCACTTTGGGAGGCCAAGGCGGGTGGATCATGAGGTCAGGAGATCGAGACCATCCTGGCTAACATGGTGAAACCCCGTCTCTACTAAAAAATACAAAAAATTAGCCAGGCATGGTGGCGGGCGCCTGTAGTCCCACCTACTCGGGGGGCTGAGGCAGGAGAATGGCGTGAACCCGGGAGGCGGAGCTTGCAGTGAGCCGAGACCGTGCCACCGCACTCCAGCCTGGGCGACAGAGCGAGATTCCGTCAAAAAAAAAATTAAATTTTAAATTTTTAATTTTTTTTTACTTTTTGAAATGGAGTCTCGCTCTGTCATCCAGGCTGGAGTGCAGTGGCACAGTCTCGGCTCACTCCAACCTCCACCTCCTGAGCTCAAGCAATTCTCCTGCCTCAGCCTCCTGAGTAGCTGGGACTACAGGCGCCCGTCACCACGCCCAGCTAATTTTCTAGTTTTAGTAGAAAACTAGAAAGTAGAAAGCTATGTTGGCCAGGCTGGTCTTGAACTCTTGACCTCAGGTGATCCGCCTGCCTTGGCCTCCTATATGGACTTAACTGTGAGGCTGGTGCTTCCACTGAGAAGACAAACTTACCACACTCTCTCCATTCAGTGTATTTCCGTTTCCTAACAAAGCTCCTCTGTGTTCTGCCACTGTGTGGTAGAGAGGGCAGGCAGTCAAACACTGGGGGTGAGCTAACTTCTTAACTAGGTGACTCTTTTTTTTTTTTTTTTTTTTGAGATGGAATCTTGTTCTGTGGCCCAGGCTGGAGTGCAATGTCATGATCTTGGCTCACTGTGGCCTCCGCCTCCCGGGTTCAAGTGATTCTCCTGCCTCAGCCTCTGGGTAGCTGGGATTACAGGCACCTGCCACCACGCCGGGCTAATTTTTGTATTTTTAGTAGAGACAGGGTTTCACCATGTTGGCCAGGCTGGTCTCGAACTCCTGACCTCATGTGATCTGCCCGCCTCAGCCTTCCAAAGTGCTGGGATTACAGGCTTGAGCCACCATGCCCAGTTTAATTAAGTGACTCTTAATCTCTTTGAATCTTGGTTTCATCATCTGCAAGATAGACACAATATCTTCCCTGCCTGCTCCAGGGGTTATGAAGATGAAATCAGAGCTCGAATGGAGGTCAAGCTTTTAAAAACTGCAAAACCCCTTTCTGGGGTGAGGTAGCTGTTCTTAATACTTATCTCTCATTCTACCTCTCTGATGACATTGGAGCCAAAGGGAAGCAGCTTCCTCCCTGCCACACACACACTTTCAAATTAATTTTATAATTTAAGATGGGGCTCACAGATAGGTGTTATTAGCAATGCAAGGCCTTCTGGTAGCTTCTTATTTTAAAAATTAATAATTCTTGCTAATCGAGTGATAGATTTTTTTAAAAATCATTAAAATTTTCTGTACTGTCTCTATTTCAAATTTATTTTTCCCTATGTTCCTACAGCTCTGTTCCTTAGAGAGTCTCAGGGGGATTTTTTTAGGGTCAGGGATGCTTTCAGCCACAAATTTGAAGTAAACAATTGTGATACCTCACCTATGCACATTTCTTTTTCATTTTCAAGTCATTTTTATGCACATTATCTCACTTAGTCCTTACAGCTCTGACATAGGTAGGGCAAGAGGTGTTACCTTCATTTTTCAAATGAAATAGACAAATTTTATTTTGGCACCCTGACTTTTTTTTTTTTTTTTTTTTTTTTGAGACGGAGTCTCACTCTGTTGCCCAGGCTGGAGTGCAGTGGTGCAATCTCGGCTCACTGCAAACTCCACCTCCCGGGTTCACGCCATTCTCCTGCCTCAGCCTCCCGAGTAGCTGGGACTACAGGCGCCCGCCACCACGCCAAGCTGATTTTTGTATTTTTTAGTAGAGACGGGGTTTCACTGTGTTAGCCAGGATGGTCTTGATCTCCTGACCTCGTGATCCACCCGCCTCGGCCTCCCAAAGTGCTGGGATTACAGGTGTGAGCCACTGCGCCTGGCCCTTTTTTTTTTTGAGACAGAGTCTTGCTCTGTTGCCCAGACTGGGG
Source organism: Homo sapiens (assembly GCF_000001405.40). NCBI lineage: Eukaryota > Metazoa > Chordata > Mammalia > Primates > Hominidae > Homo > Homo sapiens. The sequence goes on along the minus strand of NC_000003.12, from coordinate 122,327,201 downwards.
TGCAGGCACTATCTTGGCTCACTGCACCTTCTGCATCCTGGGCTCAAGTAATTCTCCTGCCTCAGCCTCCTGAGTAGTTGGGATTACAGGCACCCACCACCATGCTCGGCTAATTTTTGTATTTTTAGTAGAGATGGGGTTTCACCATGTTGGCCAGGCTGGTCTCGAACTGCTGACCTTGTGATCCACCTGCCTCAGCCTCCCAAAGTGCTGGGATTACAGGCATGAGCCACTGAGCCCAGCCTGCACCCTGACTTTTAAAGCCCCATCTCCCACTGGCCTTGTAGGATGCCATATATCTCTGGTCCTGCCAGCAAGCAAGGCCATGGGTGGCAGCAGCAGCAGCACTTGGGAGTCTGGTAGAAATGCAGAATCTCAGACCTACCCCAGGTCCCCTGAATCAGAATCTAAGGTTTATCAAGACGTGCAGGTGATTCATGTGCACATTCAAGTTTGAGAACATTGATCTGATCTGGGGATTCACATGAAGACATTACTGACTTAATATCATCTCCCAGGAAAAAAGCTCCAAGATATTTATTTAAAAAAAGAACTCTTGAAAGAGAAATAATTAGTCCCCAAGAATGAGTGATGGGATTCTAGGCATCTGGCCCCTTAGAGAGCTTTCTAGTTCCCAGAATATACAGGATCCCAACTCTTATAATCACACAAAAAGCTGATCTTGTTTTCCAAGCTGTCATAGAATGATGTTTCAGAGAGAAAAAATAAGAAGGAATAATATAAGAAAATAAGGCAACAAACTAAAAACCTAAAGTAGTAATTTGTACATGTTTTCCTTTCATAAAATATGCAAATAAATGTTTACTACATAGCTAGATGATAGCTAATCACACAAAGAAAAATATATCAGGGATGGGTGTGGTGGCTCACGCCTGTAATCCCAATACTTTGGGAAGCCTAGGTGAGTGGATGGCTTGAGCCCAGGAATTCAAGACCAGTCTAGCAACAGAATGAAATGCCATCTCTAAAAACAAAACAAAACAAAACCCCCCAAATCAGCCAGGCGTGGTGGCATATGTCTGTAATCCCAGCTACTCAGGAGGCTGAGTGGGGAGGATCGCTTGAACTCAAAAAGTTGAGGCTACAGTGAGCCGTGATCAGACCATTGCACTCCAGCCTGGGTGACAGAGTGAGACCCCATCTCTTAAAAATGAAACAAAACAAAACAAAAAAGAAGAAGTGAAAAACACATCAATCTGCTAACAACATTGAGTTCTATTTTTCCATATATAATTTGGTGCCCTATGACATTTCGGAGTCACTATAGACTGTCACCTCTGTTCTATTAGTTGAATTACCTTTTAACTATGAAAAGACTAAAACACTATCTATTTGGGCAAAAGTGTATGAAGTTTGTAAGTAGATTGCCTTTACAATATTATTCTTCATTCAATCTATTTAAAAAAATTTTCCCTGCAGTGCATTCCAAGACTACTTCATCAAATTGTTAATAACCTTAGACTTCAATTACACGTTGGCTTCACTTGGTGAGATTAGAAAAGTTTCATCAGAAACTGAATTAGTAATTCTAGAATCATATCTTGTAAGAGCTTTAGAGAAGATACAATACAAATTCTTTTACCCATGGAGAAAATGAAGCTCAGAGAAGAAATGTGATTTGCTCAAGGTCACACTCACAGTTTGGGGATTATTTGAGGCTTCATCTGAAAAACTCTTATTTCATCTTAGTTGTAAAGAAACCTGAACAAAGCCACAAACATCCTAAACTTCTGGTTTTCATGTTCAACCACAGCCTTTCCACAGGGACAACTTATGAATCAAGATTTTGGCTCAGACTTTTTCCTGAATGGCATCAACTCACCTTATCAACAATCTCCTGGATTTCTGGAGTGGCGGGTTTGGCCTCAGATAAGCCTCCAGGTATCATTTTGGCTGATTGCTTCTTTGCTGGACAGGATGCTGGAACCAAAGTGAACAGGGAAGTGTGGAGACTCGTGTTTTAAAAGAGGCGTTCACTAGCTCCGCCTATAGAATGCTTTATTTTCCACAAACAGCAAAGAGGCATGGGGAAAATGAGTATGCCGCCAGGCAAGTCTTCTTGCTTCCTGGAGAGAATATGCTACATGGAATTTGGAAGAAAGAGGGGTTGGAGGATGAACAAATGGGCAAGTACAGGAGTCATGTCCTAACAAGCATCAAACGTCCCTGCATTCTCTTTGACAATGGTTCCATCCTGTTGCATCATCTGAATTATGAAATCTGAAGCCGCAACTAGAATTTCCAAATGTTTTAAAACTTCTAACACAAAATTTTATTTTTTTTAAAGCAAAACTTACTAATAATGTCAAGGTTAGTTTAGAATTTACTTGACTTTAGAAAGAAAGCAAAAGGATCTATCTGGAGGACCTTGGCTGGATGTGTCTTCTTTACTCTTATTTAAATATCTGGAAATGTTTAACATACGGTAAAACACAAAGAATAAAATAACAAACATCTATATTTCTATCACTCAGAATTAAAACTTTTAACCCTTTTGTCATATTTGCTTGCTGTTTTTTATTTTTGTAGTTATTTTTAGGAAATAAAATATTACAGATATGGAGGAAGCCCCACACCCCACGCAACCTTGCCTTCCAGAAGGCAAAGTACATGGTGAATTAATATCCTTCCAGGCCATTTTTATATGTGTGTCTTTAAAATTAAAATATGTCTTACTTGGTGTGTCTTTAAAATTTCACTTAAATTGTATGCTAAATATATTCTATGTTATGTTCCTTTTTCTATTCAACATGTTTTTGAGCCTTTCTATGTTGATATACACATAGATCAATCCACAGATAGATCAATCCTGTTCATTTCCTTTAACTGTGATATGCTATTTTATGCTAGACCTATCTATTTAGTCTACCTATCTAATTGCTATATTCTAGTTCATATTTTACATACTCATTTCTCTATTGATGACGATTTTCGTTGTTTCTGGTGTTTCATTCTTACAAACAACGTTGCATTTTTTCTCCTTTTTACATGAGTGAGGGCTTCTGCAGACAACTTATCTAGAAGCAAAATGGCCACATTGTGTGAATATTTATGTATATTATTTTATTCAATTTTGGGAATATATAATACATACACAGGATAAAAATGTTTGGAAGGAACCAGGCTTTACAATATAAGGAATTATTCACTCACTTAATTCCTCAGACACCCTTCTACTCTCCAGAGACAATTATTGGCACCAACTTCTTCTGTATCCTTCAGAGACATTCTTTACACATACAAATATAAAAATAATTGGAGGCTGGGCACGGTGACTCACGCCTGTGATCCCAGCACTTTGGGAAGCCGAGGTGGGTGGATCACAAGGTCAAGAGATTGAGACCATCCTGGCCAACATGGTGAAACCCCATCTCTACTAAAAATACAAAAATTAGCTGGGCGTGGTTGCGTGCGCCTGTAGTCCCAGCTGCTCAGGAGGCTGAGGCAGGACAATCGCTTGAACCTGGGAGGCAGAGGTTGCAGTGAGCCAAGATCGCGCCACTGCACTCCAGCCTGGTGACAGAGCAATACTGTGTCTCAAAAAAAAAAAAAAAAAAAAAATTGGCTACACACACACGCACACACACACATAGATACATATTCATCTATATAGGTTTTCTTTTATAAAAATGGTATCCTACATAAATTATTATACTTTTTGTTTTATTCCTAACAATATATTTTGGAGACTGTTCTATATCACAATACAGGGAGGTGCTTGTTTCTTTATAATGATGTTTGGTGGGTGCTTGGCAAACTCTTGGAGCTAAGTGAGTGTCTTACAGGCTAAACTAAGGGGTGCTACACAAGTATCTCTCCATAGAATGCCTTTACCCTGTGGATTAAGAAGAACAGCGAATGTGGATGACAAGGTGCTCCCTCAAGAGGCCACAGGTCATCTGAAGACTTTGGCTCAGCTTTCATAGGCCACTGGTTCTACTCATCTTCATGTGACCTCCCCAAGTCAAGTCCTTTCATATTAAGGCCCCTGACGTTTTTCCAAGCCTGAAGCCCATTTTTAGTTGTCTGCTGACATCCTAGTCCAGGCCATCCTTATTGAATCTCCCCAGTGGTAAGAGATATGGTAAACCACAAGTCTACCCTTCTCTTTCTAGGGTCTATGCCCTGTACTTTCAGCTTTTTCCTATTGATTCTCAATAATTTATTTTAGAAGTAAAAACTTCCCCAAAGCAAATATTGCTTTTGTGTTTTGTATTCCTCCTATAACAATCCTAGTTCTTCTCAAGAGTAGTATGTGTGCCTCTGATTGACAGGGAAAGAGTCGCACACAAGGAAGTGCAAAAGAGAAAAGCACAATTCATATCTCTGTATTAATTGTTTACTTAAGTTAAACAAACAGTTGATTAAATACACATTTATTTTAAAGGTACCTTTAAGATTGCTTTTTGGATTTTTTGGTATGAATTATGCAGACTGTGTTTCTGGAGCTAGATATCCTCATATATTTCATATTTCTTGTCTGTGAGCTCATCTGCCACAGGAGTTATCTTTTATGTGAGTTTTCTCTTTTGTGGCTGGTTTGTGGGGCTTTCCTATGGGGTGGTTTCCGCTACCAGGTCCTAGGAGGTACACAAGCCCCAGCCCAGTTCTTACTTTACTGTTGGCTTAGAGCTCTTGCACCATAAAGATACTGAGAATTTGGGCTTGTCTCCAGCTTTAGTTACAGGCCTGGGCTCTGAACTTCCCCAGCTAATTGCGCTTCTACCCATTGCCAGGAGTAGATGTGTGGATGCATACACTTACCATGCAACCCACCGTTCCTACTGCTAGCTATTTCCCCAGGAGAAATGAAATATGTCTGCACAAAGACTGGCATATGAATGCTAACAGCTGCATTATTCATAATGATTCAAAACCGAAGAAAACTCCTTGTCCATCAACTGGTGAATGGTAAGAATAGTTGTGGTAGAGTCACAGTATAGAATACTACTTAACAATAAAAAGGAACAAAATAGTAATACATTAAATCACATAGGTAAACCTCAAAAACAAGACAATGTAAGAAGAAGTGAAAGAAAGCAAACACAGGAGGCCATGGACTATATTATTCCATTTAGATGAGACCTTAGAAGAGGCAAAATTATAGTGACAAAAAGGAGATCAGAGGTTGCTTGAGGCTGAGGTGAGGGATGGAATGCACTGTAAAGGGGCGCAAGAAAACGTCTTAGGGAGATGGAATTGTTCTATACATGGATTGCGATAGTGGCTACACAACAGTATATGATTACCAAACTTCATCAGATTGTGCACTTAAAGTGGGTGGTCTTGTTTCCACACCAAAAAAATAAAAAAATAAAAAAGTGGGTGGACTTTATCATATGTAAGTTACACCCCCAAAAAGCTAGAATATAAAAGCACTGCCTTTTGAATGCCTTCTTTGTGTGTCTCTTGGTCTCGCTGTTATACTTCTTCCTCTAATGTTTTTCATTAGAGTCTTAACTCCTACTGCACCAATACAGTGCTTTAAAAATGACTGTGAAGGCCCTATTTGAAGTGTGTGTTCAAGGGAGGACATAGTTATTCCTCCTGGCTATCCTTGTGGTGAAGAGGGAAAGTGGGGGGCAGGGTTGACTGAGGACAGGTCATGAAAAACAGGTGAACGATCTTACACTTTAGTTGTTAGGTAATGGAGGTCACTGAAAAGTCAGAGCTATAGAGAAGCCATTTGTGCTTTAGGAAGATAAAACTGGAGGCAATGTGTAGACTGGTATATTAGGAAAACACGAACTAACTCCCTCTCTTCTACTAAACCCTCAACACTCAACATGCTCTGGCCATCATAGTGCATGGAAGCTGAATCCCTGTACCCGCATTGTTGTCTGGCTTCCTGGCTTGAGAAAAGCAGAGTTTCTGTTCCATGTTGAGGAGGGGAGAGACAGTGCAGCCAGCGGGATGGCAGGAGAGCAGCCCATACTCCATGGCGAGACCCCTGCTGCGACGCCAAGCCTGCAAAAAACTAACTGGACTTGCTAAAAGCTTAGCATGAGGGTATTTATTTTTTTCAGGGTCAAGGAAGAGCACACTAAGTTCATGCCTGAATCACTGTGGAGCAAAACAGAGTGATCAGAAGAGAATCAAGAGAGCCAGACCTTAGAGATCAGCCAAACTCTTGGGGAGGCCTAGGGTTTCCCTTCTCTAAACTGGAGGACGAGGTAATTCTACCCACATATTTGTGGCTGGGGACTTCCTAGTTCTTATTTGGGTTACACGTATTTTAGGAGTCCAGGTGGAATTTCTTTTCCTTTTTGAAAACTGAGGCATAATTTATGCATAGTAAAATGCACGAATTTTAAGTGCACAGCTACATAATATGTTCCCACATTTTTTACAATTGTTATATATAGAACATTCCATCACCCCAGAAAGTTCTCTCCCATCACTACAATGTGCTCAACCACTAGTTTTGCCTGTTTTTAAATTTCATATAAGTGGAAGTATGATGTAGGTGCTCTTTGTTTCATCTGCTTAGCATAATGTTTTTGATATTCATCCATGTTATCAGATTTATTAGTAGTTTGTTCTTTTTTATTGCTGTGTAGTATTCCAGTGTAATAACATGCTATGTTTGTTTCTTCAGTCTCCTGCTGATAGCATTTGGATTGATACTAGTTTTTGGCTATTAATAAATCTGCTATCAACAAGTCATTAGTCTATATATCTAGGAGTGGAAATTTTGGGACAAGGGCAAAGTGTATGTTGAACTTTATTAGAAACTACCACTTTCCAATGTGGTTGTATCATTTTACACTCCATCAGCAATTCATAGGAGTTCTAGTTGCTCCATTCTCTCCAACACTTGATATTATCAGTCTTTTAAATTTTAACTACTTAATTTTAACCATTCTTGTGGGTATACAGTATATCGTCCGGTGGTTTTAATTTGCATTTCTCTGAAGAGTAATAATTTTTAGCCCATTTTCATGTGTTTATTGACCATTTGGATTTTTTAAAATGAAATCCCTATTCAAGTCTTTTGCACCCCACCTTTTCCATATTGAAAAAGTTCTTTATATATTCTGGATGTGAGTTCTTTGTCAGATTATACATATATATATATATTTCAGAGTATATATTACATATATATATATAATATTTTCTCTCAGTCTGTAGCTTGCCTAATATTTTCTCTCAGTCTGAAGCTTACCTTTTTAATTTCATAATGAGTGTTTTTTGATGAACAGAAATTTCTAATTATGATGATGTCCATTTCTTTCCTTCATGGTTATTGCCTCTGATATGTTTTGCCTGCCTTAGGGTTCAGGAACATATTTCCTATATTTTCTCTTAGATACTTTATGGTTTTAGCTTTTACATTTAAATGTATGACCCATCTCAGATTTATTTCTGTATGGTGTATATGGTGTGAGGTAGGGACTAGGGGATTCAAGTTTCTTCTGTCTTTTCTTACAGATAGCTAGTTGCTGCAACATTACTTACTGGAAAAAAACAACAATAATCCTTTCTTTCACACTGAATTTTTTCAATGCCTTTGTTGAAAATGTTTATTTTATACAAAAATTTATTTTCAACAAAGGCATATGCACTTAGTATTATCAAGTGCCTTTCCCCTCCAAAGCCTGATAAGCCAAGAGAAAGGGGAAACAGGCAGTACACTTCAGGTATCATTCCAAGGAAGTCTAGATTCACAGAAAGGCATGTGGAAGCATATGTTATATGGTTGTTACATTTGTCTTTCCTTGCCCTTAAGAACAATATTCCTATTTTGTACAGATGCACCTTGACTTATGATGGGTTATGTCCTGATAAACCCATCATAAGTCAAAAATATCATAAATCAAATATGCATTTAATGCCCTCAATAAGCCCATTGTAAAGTCAAAAAATTGTAAGTTAAACCACTGTAAGTCCACATGTTCCTGAACTTAAAATGAGGTTATGTCCTGATAAACCCATCCCATAAATCAAAAATATAAGTCAAAAATGCATTTAATACTCTGATAAACCCATCTTAAAGTTGAAAAAGCTCAAGTTGAACCACTGTAAGTTGGCGACTATCTTCTTCTTCTTTTTTTCTTTTCTTCTTCTTCTTCTTCTTCGGCACATTTATTCAGCATCATGATTGGACTATTATACTTAGCAATCAACAGCATGGGTGTAACAATAAATGGATTAATTAAGAAATGGACATTAAAACCTTTTGTTGGAATGCTTTCTACTTTCCACAGAACAGAAACTAGAATAACCTGCTATACAATTAGTCACAAATACACTCCTCGAGGTTTTTTTTTGCCGATGCACATGAGTATTGTCTAAAATATGCCTTCTTTGTAGCAGCTAGGCCCTGCCACCACTATGCTTGGCTAAGCTCACAAATCTATTGTAACCTGTAAGCTCCCTGTCACTTCTCTGGCTCTCCTCTCCTGCTAAGCTGTGTTTTCTGGCAGGAATTGAAGTCTTCTGCCATTGCCATAGCTACTGCTGTTGCTGGAGCTGCCATAGCCACCTTGGTTTTGTGGTTTGGCAAAGTATTGGTCTCCACCACCATAGAGATTCTGCCTCCAAAGTTCCCTCCCTTCATGAGTCCAAATTTTAAGATTGATTGTTGTTTTTTCAGAAATAACTGTAGCTTCCACCCCCTCCCAAATTGCTTCCACTCTCACCACCAAAGTCACTTACGCCTACTCCATTGTTATAGCTGTCATGGCTGCCACCCCCATCATAGCCACTGCCCTGGTTTCCAGAATCCTGTCCACCACTTCCGTAGCCTCTGCTTCCTCCAGAGTAACTAGGGCTGCCTCCTTCATAACCACTATCACTACCAAATCCATTATAGCCATCCTTATTGCCACCATATCCACCATCACCACAGCTGCCACCAAAGGCACCATAACACTGAAGTTTCCTCCGTGACCAAAGTTGTCATTCCCACCAAAACCACCTCCATGACCACCACCAAAGTTTCCAGAACCACTGCAGCCTCTTTGGCTGAACAAAAAACTAGCCATCTCTTGCTACTACAGGGCTTTCTTTACTTCACAGTGGTGGCCATTCACAGTATGGTATTTCTGAATGACAGTCTTATCTACGGAGCCATGATTACAAAAACAAAGTCCCTCTTTTTGCCAAAGGTTACAAAAGCAACGCCCCTCTTTTTGCCACTGTCTCGTCCAGTCATGATTTCAATCACTTCAATTCTTCCCATACTCTTCAAAATAATCTCTTAGGTGATGTTCTTCAGTGTCTTCTTTAATGCCACCAACAAATATCTTTTTCAGAGTTAAGTGGGCACCTAGTCTCTGAGAATCTTCTCTTGAGACAGCTCTCTTTGGTTCCACAACTCTTCCATCCTCCTTGTGTGGCCTTGCATTCATGGCTGCATCTACCTCCTCCATAAGGGCATATGTGACAAACCCAAAGCCCCTGGAGTGTTTGGTGTTGGGATCTCTTATTACCACACAGTTGGTGTGTGGTAATTGTCCCCATTGCTCAGAACGGCTCTTCAGAGTCTCGTCGGTTGTTTCAAAGCTCAACTCTCAGATGAAGAGCGTCTGCAGCTGTTTGGGTTCTTTAGGAGACTCTGACTTAGACATGACAGCAGTGGGAAGAGAGACTTTATGCTTCTTCGGCGGTGTCCATTGGCATAAAAGACTTAGCTAATGGATGAATCTGTGTATATAATTCTTCTGTTGGTAAAGCAGTTCCAAGCTTAATGAATTTATGGATTGCTGAAGCCAAAACCATCAGGCTCTCAGATTTCCATCCTTTCCCCAATCCCCATAGATGTATCTGTCCTCTTCTACTTTTCCTATGTCATCTATTTAAATGGACTCTTACTGAGTCTAAAGGATATGAAAAAAAAAATAGAATGAACTCTTAGAAAAGACTGCAAATCTTTTGCAAAACGGTACACATAAAAAAATCTTATGGGTATCTACATTTTGACGGAGTAAGTGCTTTAAGATGAAGAAATAGAATGGTGAAATTTTATGGATGAGGTGAACAAATACATTTTGGGAAGTAAGGTGGTTTATAGCATCTATGCATCACATCAATTAGATGATCACCTCTCAGTTTACCTGTAAAACTGGTGTTTCTTTGATTTAAAAACTTGTTCTGATTTGTTAAACCACAAGAGTCTATTCTACTCCCATACTTCTCTAGGAACCTGCCTGTATCCATTTCAACAGCCTGAAGTTGGCAAGGGTGGCAGTTCAGAAGTTGCTGCACAAGGCAGGAGGAAGTTTTATAATATGGGAAAAATAATGTTGGAGTAAATAATTCTAGAGAAGTGTTGAGAACTTAACAAAAATGTATCTAAACATAACTATTTATATTTACTTACATTTTCTCTAGATTATAAACTCTTTTTAAATATACAGTTCATCTAGGAGCAGGGGCTCATACCTATAATCCCAGCACTTTAGGGGGCCAGAGTGGCAGGGTTGCTTGAGGGCAGGAGTTTGTGACCAGCCTGGGCAACTTGGTGAGACCCTGTCTCTACAAAAAACAAACAAAAAAAGTAAGCCGGTCATGGTGGTGCATACCTGTAAGTCCCAGCTCTGCAGGAGGCTGAGGCGGGAGGATCGTTTGAGCCCAAGAGTTCAAGGTTACAGTGAGCTATGATCACACCACTGCACTGCAGCCTGGGCAACAGAGTGAGACCCTGTCTCAAATACGTATACACAGTCTGCATTAAATTTTCTTTAATGATTATCTTTAATTGAGCCGATAGTTATTTCTCAAAAAGTATAATGTACATATGAATTTACATCTCTTAGCTAACCACATACTAATTATTGGGGTCATGGTATTCTAGTCACTTGGAGTTTCTTGGCCATCCTTGACTTCTCTGGCTATAGAAAATTCCTAAAAGTACAGGAAAAACTTTTTTATTGTAAAAAGTGACAAAAATTGTAGCCAAGACAAGGCAAATTTAAAAAACTCATTCTGGCCACAGAGTGCTCTGGCTTTCCACTGGGGCTGGTTGTCAGTAACAGCCAGGGAGTGAGGCCATAAGGAGATCCCCAAAAGGTGAGTTCTGAGCCTCCGTGAGTTAGAGGTTAGTACTTTGCAGTGAATTAGGGATGGAGATGCTTTAGGCGAAAGGAAGGCTGGGATTGGAATGTGAGGGGATTATTTAACCCATATGTGCTTCTACGGTCCTGGACTTGGCTAACTTCAATGAGGCTTATGCAGATGCACTGAGAATGAAGATGGAAGATGGGATGAACATAACTAAAGCCAACAAGGCTGGGGGTGTGCCTGCCCTAGGGCTCCCCTCTGGGTGCCAGGACATAGAGGGTGAGCGGTGGGAGTGAAACGGGAAGAGTTCCCTTGTCCCCCTCACAGGGCGTGTGACAGGGGGAGTGGCTCACTTCTTCAGTGCCCAGCTGCTCAAACCTCTAGGGGGAGCATGCAGAAGGGTAGGTTGTGGGGCTCCGACCCCACAGCAGCATCTAGGGGTGAATGCTTACAGCTCCTGAAGCCCCAGTGGGTGTGTGTTACAGAGTGCTCTTTTAGCTTTGCTGTCTGTAGGTGGCTTGTGTCAATCAGCTCTATTAGACCCTCTGCCTTATAAGGACAGAGGGCGTTCTGTATCCCGGGGTTTTTGCCTTGGTGTACCAGAAGAACCAGATCACATGTGGGCTTGGAGAATGAGTGTAAGGATTTTTATTGAGTGGTAGCTCTCAGCGAGGTAGATGGGAAGGCCAGAAGGGGGCTGGAGTGGGAAGGTGGTTTTCCCCTGCAATCGGGCTTCCGGGCAGCTGGGCTCTTCTCCGACCACCCCAGCCAAACTCTGCATTGTTCCACCAGTCGATGGCCTGCCGAAATCTGTCAGTGCCTGTGGGTGTGCTCTTACGCGGGTGTGTTCCTCTCAATTTCCAGCCGCTTGTGTCCTCAACCATTGGTGTGTTCCTCTTGATGTCCAGCTGCTTGTGTGTGTGCCCGCTAGGATCTTGGAGTTTTTATAGGCACAAGATAGGGGTATGGCAGCCCAGGGTGGTCGTGGGAAATGCAATATTTGGGCATGAGAACAGAAATGCCCATCCTCACCAAGGTCTGTGGGCACAGGTCTGGGGCTGGATCCCCAGCGAGGGACTACGCCTTTCCCTTCCCAGCACTTTCCCGCCCCACTTGCCCCACTCTGTATCAGGAGCATAGTTTGCAGGGCTGTAGGAACAAAGAGCTACCCAGCATCTTTTCAGAGTAAAATTTTCAGCCACCCGCAACTTTTCTCACTTCAAAGTGAGTGTAGCAGCAATCATTTCCCTCTCTCTTCTCTTCAGGACAAAGAAACCAGTGGTCTCAACAATCCCAGTGGCTTTTGGGTGCTCTCAGAACAATGTAGAGAAGCTTGTATGGGCTCAGGGGTCATTCAAACCTCTGCTCAGTAGCCTGGATTGTGAGTTGAGTTGCGTTTTTGCCCTTTAGGGGAGAAAGAAGTTGTTGTAGAGGCCTACCCACACTGAATACTCATCAAATGAACCAGCAATACTGGAGTTGCCTCAGTTTTTATGACTAATAGTAAATTCCAGGGTGGAGTAATGTTATACAATCAATGTTGCTGTGCCTGTCAATATAGAGAAAATTCTGCCCTGCCAGAAATATACACGGATCATAGGCTCTCCCAGTGTGACTTAGTATCAGTTTATGCCCTAGGAAAAATGAGCCCTAAGACTCATACATAATCATAGAACCAAGCTCTCAAAGGCTTCTTGATAAATGTTAATTTATGAGTTTGGTTTTAGCATGGATTAATTATGCTGCTAGGTTCAACTTAGCAGTGCTCTGGTAAGTTGGGCTGGGAACCACCCACACCAGAGTCAGCTGGGATGCCTGTTCAGTGCAGATTCCTGAGTCCCATTCCTAGATTCATTAAATTACAATCTCTTGAGGGTGGGCTCTAGAGTCTGCATTTCAAAAAGAGCTCCCAGGTGATTCTCATATGCATTACATTTAGAAGCCTAGTAACTTACAATGTTGGTGTCCTAAGTTTATAGAGGCAGGAGGGAGGTGAAAAGGTGGAAATCTGGAAGAGTAGTCCACTGCTAGGTGGAAAACATTTTTACAAAGAGAAAACACGTGAAAACAGCTGAAGAAAGAGCCAAAGCAGATGTTGGCAACACGTGCTATCCATATTGAGGTGGGTGCAGGTGGATTCTGGGTTCCTGTTGCAGCACATCTAGTATATACTACATGGGGGCCTATAACATGTCAGTCCTGCAAAGTTTTGTCCTAACCCAGTGGCCTACCCCCAATCCTAGCTGAGGATGCTGTGCCTAGGCAGGTGGAGCTCTTTAATCAACAGGGACAGGTGGTGGCTATAGCTTCACCACTTCATGGGAGTGTCATTATCTTCTATGTCATTTCCACCTGGATCCTTCTAGTGTTCCTTTTCCCCTGCACTGACACAGCCACCTGGGAGAGAAGGGAAGGGAGAGTTAAACTTTAAAACTTCTATTTATTTGTATCCATTGATATTTAGAAACACTGGATTCTTACAGAGGAAGTTTTAAAGACTGAAATAGCGTATTAGCAACCCAAACCTTACATTAAACTAAACAAATGAGGTCTTGGCATAATACTTCTAAGATGTTGGCAATTTACAACTTAAAAGCTCATAGCATAGAAACTGAGGGGGAATATTGCCAGGAATTATGCAAACATACTGGCGGTGATGACTTTGCAACATCTTTCAAATTCACCCTTCCTTGCTGTTTTCATAGCTATCACTCCCTTAAAGCTTTCATCACCCTCTTATTGGCTTATTGTTGACACTCCCTGGTTGGATCCTACCCTTCTAGTTTCTCCTGAAAACCAAGCTCTTTCTCATACACTGAAAAAATATTGCTTCCTAACTTGGGTACTTCCTGTCGTCTATCAAATTCATTTACAATTTTAAGAATAGCCTCCAAGTACTCACAGGTCTTCCTGAACCAGATTCTCTCTCAGAGTTTCTCTCTAGCTGGGTCCTCTTAGATCCTCTTGCACCTCTTTCTCATTCTCATTCTTGCTCCTGTCTCCTTGTTCATACAATGCCCCTTGAAAAGGATGTCATTCCTTCTGTTCTCCATTAATCTACATGCAATACTGCTTTCAAAAACCACACTACCCAAAGCCTTCTGTGGTTTCCTCTAGTTCTTGGTTTGTACTACATATTCCTGTTATCTCAGTTATTACACATATATTTTCTGTTTATCTTCTTGCTGATCTGATTATAATCTCTTCCATGGCAGAAACTGTTGTCTTGATTGTTAGCCATCACATCTCCCAGATTATGAAACACAGCAGCTGCCCAGCAAATATGTGAACAAATTCATAGATCTCACCACTTTCTCATTGGGAGAAGAGGGCAACCAGCCAACATGGACTTCTGGAGTCCTTGAAGGGCATTGGATAAACATGTCTTTGTCAAGTTTTAGGCCAGGCGCTGTGGCTCACGCCTGTAATCCCAGCACTTTGGGAGGCTGAGGCGGGTGGATCATGAGGTCAGGAGTTCAAGACCTGCCTGGCCAACATAGTGAAATCCCGTCTCTACTAAAAATACAAAAATTAGCCGGGCACGGTGGCGCCTGCCTGTAGTCTCAGCTACTCAGGAGGCTGAAGCAGGAGAATCGCTTGAACCTGGGAGGTGGAGATTGTAGTGAGCCGAGATCACGCCACTGCACTCCAGCTTGGGCAACAGAGTGAGACTTCGTCAAAAAAAAAAAAAGAAAAAAAAAAAAAGAATCCAAAGTAAAGAAAATACAACAGAACAGCCAGGAGTTCAAGGTTATATTCCCTGATGATCACAGGGCTCCAGTTTCTCTGCATTGCTGGCCAAGGGATGGCCCAGATGCTTGGACAGTTTGATCAGTAACTTAACAAGTCTGTTCGTATAAGTGAGTTGGTTGGCAGTCTCTATACATGGCCTGAATTAAGCCTGAGGCCTGGTAGTTTGATCCCAGCCAGCACAGTTATGGACCTGCTGGGTTGCACAGTTCCAGGAGCATTATTCATACCGTATTCTAAAATGGAGCTCAAGTTCGTGGGATGTTTTACTAAGAATATTTTATTATTTTTCAGTAAAAAAAGGTATGAAAAAAAGAAGGCTTTTGTGGAATGGCTTTAACTTCATCCCAATTTTCAAAAGAGGGCTTTCTGGAGGTAGAGTACCACAGCAGTTAACAGGGTAGTGCAGGCCAGATGGACAGAAGTGAGGGGAGTCGGTGTAACTGACAAGCACTGGGAATTCCTGAATGAGAGAGCTGAGCATGTCCCTTTGGAGTGAGGGACAGCTGAATTCAATAATCTGCATAGCTGTGTAAACCTGGGCAGGTGACTTCACCTTTCTGAGCATCTGTTTCCTTGTCTGTAAAATGAAGATAATAATAACTACCTCACAGGGTTGTGAGAATTAAATGGAAAATGTATGTAGAAAATTTAACTCCGTGTCTGGTATATATGTAGTTAGTGTTCCTAAATGGAAACATATTTTTGTTTCCAGACACCTTATAAACTATAGCAACCATCCTTACGTTTTTTGTCCTCAGCTGCATTGTGAAGGGTCTAGAAATATAAAGGGAGATGAAGAAAGTAAAACCGGATAGAAGGATGCATTTCGATTTTTGGGTTAATTTTTCAATATTTGAAATAGAAGAGATAAAAGTCTCATCACTATAACCAAGCCAGGTTGGATACCTAAGTAGTTTTTCTTCTTTCCTTTCATAATGTAAAATGTGGCACTTAGTAGAGATGTTGGGTGGATAATATTGGGTGGTCTCTTGGTTACAGGGTCTACTTCTGACTGACTCCTTTACCTTCTCCTGTATATTGTCATCCTTTCACAGTCCATGCCTTGGTCTTCTCATTTCCCAAGTCAGAAAGATGGGTGTTATCCTCCAGTCTTCTTTCATGCTCAGCTCTCTCATCCAGGAATTCCCAGTGCTTGTCAGTTACATCGACTCCCCTCACTTCTGTCCATCTGGCCTGCACTACCCTGGCTCAGGCCATGGTTATCTCACCGCTGAAGAACAGCAATAGCTTCCCCTGGCCTCCTCCTGCAACCATGCTCCTCTTTCTACACACAATATCCAAATATTTCTTCTAGAAAGCAAAGCCAATTGTATTATTTCCTTAATGAAAGTCCTTCAATAGTTTTCCGTTATCCTTAGAGTGTACTTCTCAGTCTTTAGCACAGCCCTCTCTGACCTGGCTCCTATCAAGTTCTCCTAAGGTGCCCTATTCCTCTTGCTTCTTTGCTTAGGTTGGAAACACTTCCTTTTGCTTCCGTTTGCCAGCCTGATTTCTATTGATCCTTCATGCCTGTTATGGTTTGAACTGTGTCCCCACCTAAATTCATATGTTGAAGTTCTAACCCACAGTACCTCACAGTGTGACCGTATTTGTGTGCCCAGATTTGGCAATGACAGGGGAGCTCTTCTTCATCACATTCAAAATTTTTCACTAGTTATGCCTAAGACCAGTGCTGTTCCTGCTTCTGATACCATTCCTCTACCTTATCTGACCTACAAGCCTATGTGAGAAGGTGAGGCTGTCAGATTTCTCCTGAAATAAATGAGACAGAGCAGAGCCTGAAGAGAGAGGGTGGGGTCAGCAGTTACGAAGTCTAGGACAAGTAGTTAGACCAGATGTTTACACAACAGGTTCTTCATGACTGAACCTGTGAGCCAGGACATTCATCAACTATATAACATATCAAGGTTATTTCCTGGTTCTGTAGTCATTTGTGGGGTGGTAGTACAATCATAGTACAGTCTTCTCTTTGGATCAGTAATTAGTATATGTATGATTTGAAAAATATTTTTATTAAGCACATTAATATCTGAGAATTAAAACAATAAGTACATTTTCCATGGGACAGACAGGAAATTTAATTAGTATAAACAATTTCCTTGGTGAGCAAGAAAGCCCAACCAGAGACTGAGATAATTTCAGGGAAGCTTTCTTTTCTTTATTATTCTCGTCATTGAAGATCCCTGCTCTTGTTTTTTTAAAACCATTTTTTGAAGTACAGCATATACATAGTGTACAAATCATACTTCAATAAATGCTTTTAGTTTTAAAAATATTTCTCTAATTATAAAAATAACACATGTGCATTGTAGAAATGTAGCTGCCCAATGTGTTCACCATGCTCGCTGTCTAGACAGAGCCCTATCAAGACAGGGAAATTGTAATGGAGAAAGAGTAATTCACATAGAGTCGGCTGTGTAGGAGACCACGATTTTATTATTACTCAAACCAGTCTCCCTGAGCATTTGGGGATCAGAGGTTTTTTTTTTTTTTTTTGAGACGGAGTTTCGCTTTTGTTGCCCAGGCTGGAGTGCAATGGGGCGATCTTGACTCACCGCAACCTCTGCCTCCTGGGTTCAAGCAATTCTCCTGCCTCAGCCTCCGGCATGTGCCACCACGCCCGGCTAATTTTTCTATTTTCAGTAGAGACGGGGTTTCTCCATGTTGGTCAGGCTGGTCTCGAACTCCCGACCTCAGGTGATCTGCCTGCCTCGGCCTCCTAAAGTGCTGGGATTACAGGCATGAGCCACCGCACCCTGCAATAAAGTTTCCCCAGGTAAGTCCTACACACATTAAACTTTGATAAGTATTGTCCTTTGTTTTTTGAGATGGAGTCTTGCTCTGTTGCCAAGCTGGAGTGCAGTGGCATGATCTCCGCTCACTGCAACCTCTGCCTCCCGGGTTCAAACAATTCTCTTGCCTCAGCCTCCCGAGTAGCTGGGACTACAGGCACGCACCACCATGCCTGGCTAATTCTTGTATTTTTAGTAGAGATGGGGTTTCACCATGTTGGCCAGGATGGTCTTGATCTCTTGACCTTGTGATCCGCCCGTCTTGGCCTCCCAAAGTGCTGAGATTACAGGTGTGAGTCACCGCGTCTGGCCAAGATCAGAGTTTTTAAGGATAATTTGGTGGGTAGAGGCTTGGGAAGTGGGGAGTGCTGATTGGTCAGGTTGGAGATGGAATCACAGGGGTTCGAAGTGAATTTTTCTTGCTGTTTTCTGTTTCTGGGTGGGAGGGCAGCACCGGTTGAGCCAGATTGCCGGTCTGGTTAGTCGAGTGCAGGGTCTCCGAAATATCTCAAGTACTGATCTTAGGTTTTACAATAATGATATTATCCCTAGGAACAATTTGGGGAGGTTCAGACTCTTAGTGCCAGAGACTACATGACTCCTAAACTGTAATTTCTAATCTTGTAGTTACTTTGTTAGTCCTACAAAGACAGACCGGTCCCCAGACCAGGAGAGGGTCTTTTCAGAAAGGGCTATTATCAATTTTGTTTCAGAGTAAAGCCATGAACTGAATTCCTTCCGTTAATTTGGCCTATGCTTAAGAATGAACAAGGACAACTTAAAGGTTAGAAGCGAGGTAGAGTCGGTTAGGTCTGATTTCTTTTACTGTCATAATTTTCTCAGTTATAATTCTGTAAAGACAGTTTCAGAAATATCCAAACATATGAAAAGAAAATCATTATTACCAATAATCCCACTTGTAATTTCGCCACTGAGGGATACCTTTTAAAATTCTGGTGAGGAATTTTGCAACCTTTTTTTAAAGGCTATATTTAAGTATATACATTATAAAATTGTGATTGCACAGTTCCTTTATTATTGCATACACCTTTATCATTTTTATAGTGAATATTATCACATAGTCTTCCTCAATGTGACATTTAACAGTTGCATAAAATTTTTCAAGTGATCTTACTCTAATATGGAAACATAGGGCCACAGTAGAGAGAAGTACTCAGTTGAGGAAAATGGGGTTAGAAGTAGAAAGTGTATTTGCCAATTAATTTCAGTAGATGGGGTGATGATTATAAATATGAAATTGTGCAAGCAACTCATCTAAGAACCTATATAAATACTGAAAAATAAACATGTGGCTGGATAATATTTCAGGCATTTACCTGCACTTTTATTCTTCTTAAACTTCTCCCTGGCCTTTCCCCCATTAAAGCTAGTGGTCAGTCTGTCCTCATTGTCACAGGAAGGAGATGTTGCATGTTAGAAAGCAGAAGTCTGCAAGTCTTTCTGTTTTCTGTTTTTAAGACATGAAATTCTAGAATGGAGAGAGTGTAGAGAAGATGTCTGCATGTAATGGAAGTAAGACTTGAGAATATTGTCCCAGCTAAGTGGAAGGAAATAAATGCACAGAGAACTCTGAGGCCTGGAGCAAAGGAGGGTGGTAGTAAAACTCCAAAGGTGAAGTTGCTTCCAGCTGTGTCCAGGAAGATGATTCCTCAGCTGTCCCAAAGGTGTTAATAGTCCCCACTGACTTCACATAGGAGAGATGCTGTGACCAAAGGCAGCATGGCTACCGGCTTACTGAGGGCACTCAATGTGCATCCCCCCAGGGCTTCTCCTCTTTAGCAGTGAAGCTCCTTAACCTTGAAAGACTTATTTATGGAGATGGGGCATTTTATAATCACTGTCTCCTTCTAGGAGTTGCTTTAAGGCGGCCTGTCACCAGGTATGGGTCTAAAAGCAGCTATCTTCTTTCTCTTCTCTACCATTTACAGGCATTTTTGCACAGACTGACCATAAGTATACATTTCCAACATTGTATTCTTGTAGCTATTAGAACCAGTTATGTGGCCATCAAGCTGATCAGATCTTGGTGGAAAGATGAGTGTTCTCACGGGTGAACAGGGGAGAAGAATGAATGCATGGATTCCTGTTTTGGCTCATACTTCAGATTCTGACCGTGTGGAAGAAAGGACTAACAGAAGGTCAAGTAGAGCTCTTACCTGGAACTCGCTGTTCCATGAAGTAAGTCTAAGTTAGCCATTCTCATTTACAGCAGAGTTAGTGGAAAACTATTTTTTTCTTTTTTTTAACAGTAGAAAAGAGAAGTGAGGTTTTCTGGGGGCTTCCCAGTTGGGAATTTTCACGTCTAAACAACAGTAAGGCAGTGATTCTTAGACACATGAGGATAACTGTGGGAATCTGTGGTGGAGGAAGGCAGGGAGAAGGACATGTAAAATTTGGAAACCCACATACATATTTGGAAGAACAAAGATTACTTTTCAAATAATATGAGCTGTATAAAAGATGTGACATCTTTCAAATTCTTGTTTAATGGGGATGTAAGTAAATAAAGTTTGAGAAACTGCTTTAGGCTGTAGAAAAATGTGCAAGATAGTGTAAAAGAAGTATAAACCTAGTGTTAGCTAAATAAGGAATCAATACCAGTTTAATCAACAGAGACACAAAGCTGGAGTTTAGAGAACATCTAGCCCAATGGTTTGCAAACTACAGCTCCGTGAGTCAAATCTAGTCCAGCTGCTTGTTTTATTTTGTTTTAAATAGCCCTCAGACAATGGTTTTTACATTTTTAAGTGTTTGAAAAAGAAATTAGAAGAATAGTATTTCATAATGTGTGAAAACTATGCAAAATTCAAATTTCAGTGTCCACCAATAAAGTTTTGTTGGAACACAGCCATGTATTGTCAATTGCTGCTTTCATGCTACAATGACAGAGTTGAGAAGTTGCAACAAACAACGTATGGCCTGCAAAGTTTTTTCATTTAAAAATGTTCTTTTCAGAGACAGAGTCTCATTCTGTTACCCAGGCTAGAGTGGAGTGGGACAATCATACCTCACTGCAGGCTCCAACTCCTGGACTCAAGCAAGCCTGTCACCTCAGCTTGCTGAGTAGCTGGGATTACAGTGCCAGCCACTGCACCCTGCTGGTCTGCAAGGTTTTACCTGGTACTTTACAGAAAACATTTGCTGACCTCTGAGCTAGCTCACAGTTCAGGCAAAGAAATCGAAGCCCTGAAAGTTTAACTGATTTGTTCAAGCTCAGATGACTACACACAGTGGTAGGTTCTTAATATTATTAATGAAATCTCTTTACAGTCTATGTATTTTTTGGTTATTGCTACTATGTCAGCAGTTTTACTTTCCCTCTGAATCTTTTCTAGCTCCAAAGATATTTCCTAATAGAATTTCCTAGAGAGTACCCACAAATACTTTTGGCAAACACAAGGTATGTTTTGCTTTGCTTCTAATGCACCTTTAAAGGATATTAAGCATTTAGCTGACCTTTCCAACTAAGGCACCTGTAAACTGCTTGAAATGTCTGCATAAATTAGCTTCCAAGTCTGTTAGCATGCTGTTTATTACCGTTTCAGAACTTTACACGCAATTAGGATGTATTGCCACCAAGTGGCCAATGGCACCTCTGTTATGCTTTCTCCACTGGGCTATCACAGAATTATCATAGTTTCACAGGATCTAGTGGTTGGAGGGAATCTTAACTCCAGCCACTTAACAAGGAATTGTTGCTTAAAGAGATCATTATGCTGTCTGGTCAAGTGTTAGAAATAGAAAGAGTTGTTTTTTCAAAGTTAAGCATACATTCTTACTTAGTCACTTTTAAGGCCAGATAGAAAGAAACGCAAACTCACAAATAAGATTTGGTGTTATCCTGAGACTTCAATTGTTATTAATCACTGATAAAACTAACCCTGTTGTCAGGCTATGTAGCAGCTTCCTAACTCAGTTGGTTATTTTCAATTAAGTATCCCTCAGAGGTGTCTTAAAAAAATCTGACATAAAAGCCCTTGCAGCCTGATTATTTCTCTTTTTATTAGAAGAGAAATGGTGCTAACTTTGCTTATAACCTATCAGGACAAGAGCCTGCTCACCTTCACAGCCTTTTTCTTAACCTCATGTAATGGTGTGTTGGTGTCTTTTGCCCATTTTTATATTGAGTTTTGGGGTACTGCCCATCACCTATGACAGATGTTGCAAATATTTTTCTCTCAGTTTGACTTTGCCTTTGGTGCTCTTTTTTGTGATGTGCCAATTTTTTATTTTTACATAGTCAAATTTATCAATAAGTATTTTCTTTTACTGAGTCTGGATTTGGAGTCACAGTTAGAAAGTCTTTCCTCAGGTTAATAATTCACCATTGCTTTCTCCTTGTATTTATATGGTTTAGCTGCTGCTTCTTTTTTTTTTTTTTTTTTTTTTTTGAGACAGAGTCTCGCTCTGTCGCCCAGGCCAGAGTGCAGTGGCATAATCTCGGCTCACTGCAACCTCTGCCTCCTGGGTTCAAGTGATTCTCCGGCCTCAGCCTTCTGAGTAGCTGGGACTACAGGCACGCGCCCCCATGCCCGGCTAATTTTTGTGTTTTTAGTAGAGATGGGGTTTCAACATATTGGCCAGGCTGGTCTTGAACTCCTGACCTCGTTATCTCCCAAAGTGCTGGGATTACAGGTGTGAGTCACCATGCCTGGCCAGCATCATCTTTTAAGTTTAGATCTCTGATCTATTATGAGGTTATTCTTATTCTTCTTCTTATTTTTTTTTTTTTGAGATAGGGTCTCTCTCTGTCGTCCAGGCTGGAGTGCAGTGGAGCAATGTCGGCTCACTGCAACTTCTGTCTCCTAGGCTCAAGCAATCCTCCCACTTCAGCCTCCTGAATAACTGGGAGTACACATGCGTGCTATCATGCCTGAGTAATTTTTGTATTTTTGTAGAGAGCGGGGGTCTCACTATGTTTCCCAGGATGGTCTGGAACTCCTGAGCTAAAGCGATCAGCCCACCTTGGCCTCCCAAAGTGCTGGGATTACAGGCGTGAGCGACCAAGCCCAGAAGAATTTATTCTTATGTATAGTTTAGAGTGTGGATTCAATTTTATCTTTCTCATAATGGCTATCACGTTGTCTTCCCACCATATATTAAATAGTCATATTTGCCCCAGTGATTTTTTTAGATGCCATATGATTTTTTTTCTACCATATTTTAAATTTACATTTATATTTAGGTTTAATTCTGGACTTTGAATTCATTTACACAGATCTATCTATGTATGTGCCAAAACCAAACTTTCATTATGGAGCTTTTCTTTTTCTTTTTTATTTTATTTTATTTATTTATTTATTTTTGAGACAGAGTCTTGTTCTGTTGCCCAGGCTGGAGTACAATGGCACTCACTGCAACCTCCACCTCCTGGGTTCAAGCAATTCTCCTGCTTCAGCCTCCCAAGTAGCTGGGACTACAGGTGCCCCCCCACCATGCCCGGCTAATTTTTTGTATTTTTAGTAGAGACAGGGTTTCGCCATGTTGGCCAGGCTGGTCTCGAACTCCTGACCTCAGGTGATCCACCCGCCTCAGCCTCTCAAAGTGCTGGGATTACAGGTGTGAGCCCTCACATCTGGCTGGAGATTTTAAAATATATTTTAATGTCTGGTAGTGCTACTTTTCCCTTATAGTTCTTCTTTTTCTTTTTTCTACCCACCTGACGACTGGCCTTATGGTTCTTTTTCAGTTTTTTTTTTTAAAGCTGTTCTTGCACATTTATTTTTTCACATGAACTTTAGTATCAACTTATCTAGTTTCAAAAAATCTTCTTGATATATTTAATTGTGAATCGACTTGGGAAGAACAGACATCTTTTGAATGTGATCCTATTCAAGAACATCTTTCCATTCATTCAAGTCTAGTTTTTGGTATTTTAGGAGTGTTTCAAAATTTTCTTCATACCGATTTTGCACATGTCTTGTTAAATTTATTCCTTAGAATTCATCTTTTTTTTGTTGTTATTGTCAATAGGACTTTCTCCTCTATTTTATTTTCTGATTGGTTACTGTTAGTATTTCTAAAGGCTGTTGATTTCTGTTATGTTAGTTTTACATCCTGCTAACTTTAGAATTTTTTAATTGCTTTGTTAGTTTTACTTTGTTTTTCTAAGATTTTACAAATATTATGTCATCTGTAAATTGCTAGCTTTAGGACTGAGGTGTATATATTTTATTACATTAATAAAAAAATACATTAATTCCTACATTCTTGAGTGCTTTTTTGACAGCATTGCTTCATCAGGTGTAGTGGAATGGTGATTTTTCTAGTCCTGTCATTACTTTTGCTATTTGTGCATGTTGTTATATTTAGTTTTTGACAGTTTTATTGTGGTATATAATTGATGTACAATACACATATTTAAAGCATACAATTTAATTAGTTTTGACATACTTATATAGCTAGATAGGTTATTATATAGTCTGTTACTAAATTCTGTATATTAACTGAATACTTACATAAAGAAGAATTTTCCATCATCAATGATTTGATTACCCTAAAATACAGTTCAAGTAGAGAAAGGAAGGCTAAATGCTTACTTCTTTCTCTTAATTAATCAATGAACAAATAATAACTTATTGCCCTGAAACTTCCAATTGTGAGAATTAAGTTTTTTAAAAATTCTTTTTTTGGGAGGATGGGGTTTAAGAGAGTGGTATTATGAACTAATGAATTTTTATATATTTAAAATGTTTCAGACAACCTACAGAATGGGAGAAAATTTTTGCAAACTATGCATCTGACAAAGGTCTTATATCTAGCATCTATAAGAAACTTAAATCTACGAGAAAAAACAAACAACCTCATTAAAAAGTGAGCAAAGGACATGAGCAGGCACTTTTCAAGAGACATACATGCAGCCAACAAGCATATGAAAAAAAAAGCTCAACATCACTGATCATTAGAGAAATCCAAATCAAAACCACAATGAGATACCATTTCACACCAGTAAGAATGGCTATTATTAAAAAGTCAAAAAATAACAGGTACAGCCACGGTTGTGGAGAAAAAGGAATGCTTATACACTGTTGATGGGAGTGTAAATTAATGCAGCCATTGTGGAAAACAGTGTGGTGATTCCTCAAAGACCTAAAAACAGAACTACCGTTTGACCCAGAAATTCCATTGCTGGGTATATCCTGAAAGGAACAGAAATCATTCTGTCATAAAGACACTTGCATGTGTATGTTCATTGCAGCACTCTTCACAACAGCAGACACATGGAATCAACCTAAATGCTCATCAATGCTAGATTGCATAAAGAAAATATGGTACATATACACCATGGAATACTGTGCAGCCATAAAAAGAACAAGATCATGTCCTTTGCGGGAACATGGATGGAGCCGGAGGCCATTATCTTTAGCAAAGTCATGCAGGAACAGAAAACCAAATACCACATGTTCTTACTTATAAGTGGGAGCTAAATAATGAGAACACATGGATACATAGAGGGGAATAATAGAAACTGAGGCCTACTAAAGGGTGGAGGGTGGAAGGAGGAAGAGGGTCAGGAAAAATAACTAATGGGTACTAGGCTTAGTACCTGGGTGATGAAATAAACAGAACAACAAACCCCCATGACATGAGTTTACCTATATAACAAACCTGCACATGTACTCCTGAACTTAAAAGTTAAAAAAGTTTTCAATCAATTACAATCATCTTCTTTTACTGATGCTCATATTGTTCCATCTTAGGCTTATAGAAGCCCCTCAAGTTGGCTCTTACGTGTTTTTGATATAATTACAGTGGACTTTGATAGCTTCTTTGTTTTTTGGCACAATAACATATCATAGATTCAGCTTGTATATTTCCTACCACAGCCATGGAATCAATCATTTCTCTAAGAAGTCCTGGTTCCTTTTAATAGGGAATGGCACATAGAACTATGGGATATTTGTATATTCTCAAAAAAACTTTCTAAAATTATATGTTGGTTCAGTAACCAATGATGTACATTAATGACATACATTATTGGGATAATGCTTTTTAAATAAATTGTCTAAGTTAATAGTGTTTAGTTTTGTCTTTTTTATATCAGAGCCGAATAATTGATTTCAAGTAATATTATTCTATTTTGCCTATTATCTTTACTGATGATCTATATTTACTATGATCTATATTTACTTACCACAAAAACTGTTAAGAAAGGGAACTAGGACCAGCTAACAGGGAGGCCTGAGGACTTAGGCTCACTCTTTAGGTGACCAGAAACTTGAGCAAACAACCAGGTCTTTCTTTGTTTCTGACTCTTTGTCTACATAGGCAGGGGTAAAGGCAATGACCTGTCTTTGTGAATAGTTGGCTGCTGTGTATGTTACTTGGTCATTTGATGTTAGCAACCTGTTGGTCTTAGCCAGAGAAGCAAAGGCAGCCAAGAGAGGCCTATAAAAGGGGCCAGATAAATGAGAGACACTTTCATCTTTCAGACCCAGAAAAAGGAAGTGGGTATGAGTGAAAAAACAGACCCTGGCCATTCCTCACTTAAGTCTCTTAAGAGAAAGTTTTCTTGACAGAGTGATGGGGAGGAGAAAATGTGAGCCTTAAATTGGATTAGAAACTCAAGTTTTGGCTGGGCATGGTGGCTCACACCTTGTAATCCTAGCACATTGGGAGGCCAAGGCAGGCGGGGGGCAGGGAGGATTGCTTGAGTCCAGGAGTTTGAGATGAGCCTAGGAAACATGGCAAAAACTTGTCTCTACTAAAAAAAAAAAAAATTAGTGGGGAGCAGGGTGTGGTGGCACACCCCTGTAATCCCAGCTACTTGGGAGGCTGAATTGCTTGAACCCAGGAGTCAGAGGTTGCAGTGAGCCAAGATCATGCAACTGCACTGCAGCCTGGGTGACAGAGCGTGACTCAGTCTCAAAAGCTCAAGTTTTACACTAGACAAGACTTCTTTTTAATAAGTGAAAATGACTGGAAAGATGTAGGTTCTACCCAAAATTCTGGTAAGGGATGGGAAAAAAGATTTGGCAAAGCCTGGTCAAAGGCAGTAACTGGAGGAAAGTAAAACTATTTGAGTTTGTAGCCCACAATGTTCAATAAACTGGATATATTTGGTAACCATAATGGAAGACGTCAAATTTTTGTGCATTAATATAAGAAATAAAGATTCTGGAATGAAGACTTAGGTAGGATTTTTATTTATTTATTTATTTTTGAGAAGGAGTCTCACTCTGTCGCCCAGGCTAGAGTGCAGTGGTGCGACCTTGGCTCACTGCAACCTCCGCCTCCGAGGTTCAAGCAATTTTCCTGCCTCAGCCTCCTGAGTAGCTGGGATTACGAACACCTGCTACCATGTCCGGCTAATTTTTTTGATTTTTTTTTAGTAGAGACGGGGGTTCACCATTTTGGCCAGGTTGGTCTCAAACTCTTGACCTCAGGCGATCCGCCCAACTCGGCCTTCCAAAGTGTTGGGATTACAGGCGTGAGCCACTGCACCCGGCCTAGGTGGGATTTCTTTAAGCTAGATGTTGACAATCTCTCCTACCCTCTCATCTCAGGCTTTTACTGCAATTCAGTTATGCTCCACCAGGTGGTAGCAGATATCTTGGCTCTGTCATCCACAATATGATCAAATTATAATTTTCTGTATGAATTCCATTGTAGATTTAAACTATATATTTTCAAATAAAAATTAAAAACTAACCATTTTAATAAAAACTTTTAATCATTAAGTATTATTTTAGTACTTAATATCTAATATATTTATATTACTTATTTTAATAATATCTAATATATTTATATTAAGAATTATTTTAATATAAATAGAAATCAGTATTGACTAGTCATATTTTCTCAAGTCAAAAAGGCAAACTATATAAAAGTATTTTTCATTCTATCTCTAGCTAATCCTGTTCTTGTCTCTGGGCTTACTAGAATGATACTGTTTAATTTTTTTCTCTGGTGTTCTCTTGTATGTCCGTAGAAAATGACTGGCGCAGCTCTGGGACTTTAGTCAGACTTAGAAACACAAATTTCTTGCAGCCTCCTTCTGCTACTGGTTGTAGGATGTTGGTGTTTAGGGAATAATTTTTGTGCCTGCCTTCTTTTACTTGGCAATAATTTTCTATTTATCATATTCAGAGTTTCACTTTTATCCCTTCTGTTGGCAAAATCAAGAAATGAAAATCTCTGACCTGCTCAGACTAAAAATCCCCATTCCACCAAGTGAGGCTTTCTTCAATGAGAGGGCAGTAATTTCCCACTGATTCATAGAAGAACATCACTTTTTTTCCCATGAGCTTTTTGACTGGAAACTTATCTAAACTATTTTACATAAGGTGGTAGTTATCTTGCCACAAATCTGAGTTGCTACAAAATAGCTTTAAACAGTTCTATACAAAGGGAGCATCTTGAATCCAAAATGTAAAGTTTCTGAGCAAAAGTTTAACAAACATTTGTAAAGAGTTTTTAAAAACAAATCCCCCAACTTTTTGTTACCAAATTTCTAAACATTCAGAAACAGTGTAGCAAACACCTCTATATCACCACTCAGATTACATAATTATGAGCATCTTGCCATATATTTTAACATATATCTGTGTCTATTTTTTTGTATAAAACATTTAAAATTGAGTTGCAGATATTGTGACCAGTTACCTCAAAACTGTTTGGCATTCATCCCCTAAATATAACGACATTTTGTTACATAACCACATTATCACCCCTAGGAAAACTAACAATACTTCCTCAATTTTATCTAAAAATCAGTTCAAATTCACATTTCCCAAATTTTTCTTTAATTCAAATGTTATAATTATATTTGGTTGCTATATCTCTTTAGACTTGTGTATTAGAAATGCCATATATGTGTGCCATGTATGTGTGTGTGTATCTATCTATCTATCTATCTATCTATCTATCTATCTATCTATCTATCTACCTACCTACCTAGATACTGACCTTTTGATGAGACCAGAACAGTTGTCCTATAGAAAGAATTTCAGTATGTTGGATTTGTCTGATTTTTCTCTGTAGTGTCATTTAATCCTAACATCATATTGTCAAATGAATTTTATGACAACCAATTCCTATTACCATGTGAAAGTTTTCAGAAGTTGCAGTGGTTTGAACACACAAAATCTTTGTGGTCTGAGAAAGACCTGATTCTTTCACGGTTCAGGAAGACTCGCAACCATAGAATGTCAGAGCAGAACCACCCCTGCCTCCCCCAGTGGACACATTAGAAAACTGAGGCCTAGAAAGGGCAAGTGTGAAGGTGTCTGTTCTATTGCTGTTGTAACAGATGACTGCAAATTAGTGGCTTAAAACAACACAAATTTGTTACCTTATAGTTCTGGAGGTTGGAAGTCCAAAATGGATCTCACTGAGTTAAAGGTACTGGCATTTCTTTCTGGAAAGTTTAAGGGAAAATCTGCTCCTTGCTGTTTCTAGCTTTCAGAGGCCACCTGTGTTCCTTGGCTTCTCGTCACTTCTACCATCTTAAAATCTCTCTCTGACTCTGACCCTGACTCTCCTGCCTCCCTCTTCCACTTATAAGGACCCTTGTGATCCAGCCCACCTGGATACTTTTCCTATCTCAAGGTCATCTGATTAGTGATCATAATTCCATATGCAACCTAATTCCCCTTTGCCACAGAACATAGTTACAGGTTCCAGGGATTAGGACATAGACATATTTGGAGGCCATTATTCTGCCTACCACAGTAAGTGACCTGACAAAAATTATACTGCGAGTTACTCGCAAGAATCCTTTAGTACACTGCCATCTGAAATGTTTGTTTGTTTTGCACTGGAATTTGGTAAAAGGTGATACTATATTGAACCCTGTTCAAGAGAGTTTAATAAAAGAGGCATTAAAGGGATTTTTTTTTTATTATAGAATGGCATTTTTTTTTGAGACGGAGCCTTGCTCTGGACGGAGTCTTGCTCTGTCGCCCAGGCTGGAGTGCAGTGGTGCTATCTCCGCTCACTGCAAGCTCCGCCTCCCGAGTTCACGCCATTCTCCTGCCTCAGCCTCCGGAGTAGCTGGGACTGCAGGCGCCCGCCACCACGCCCGGCTACTTTTTTGTATTTTTTTAAAGTAGAGACGGGGTTTCACTGTGTTAGCCAGGATGGTCTCGATCTCCTAACCTCGTGATCCCCCCACGTCGGCCTCCCAAACTGCTGGGATTTAGAATGAGATTGTTATAACCAGGTGGATGCAGTTTGGTTCTGGAGGATAGTGCTAATTTGTGTATCTGATACATCTGAAGTCAGATCGTTTTACCCGCTAGTTTTGTTAAGGAAGCTGAGTGTTTTCTTTGACTATAATTAGAGAATCCAAATCACTTGAATCTTACTATTAACTTCAACTTGACATCCTAAATTCTATTTGCCTTCTTTTATCAAGCACAGTGAAAGAATCCAAAAATGTAGGAGAGGCATACACACCTTTTGTGGGTTATCTGCTCAAATCAAATCCAAGAGGATCATCCATCAATGTCCAAACTCACACGATGTCAAGACTTACTGCTTTACTAAAAGGTGAGTCTCTGCCGTGGTCTTAGATCCTTTCAAAGTCCACAAGGCTCTGTGGGGTTGACTCTTGTTAGGATAATTTCTATAACTGCCAATGTTGCAAAGAAATTTTTGTTTCTGGCTCGAATAAATATTTTCTCCAGATCAAAATTTTTGTTTCTGGCTTAAATAAATATTTTCTCCAGATCACACTCATTGATGTCTCATGAAATGCAATAGAATATGTCTCATTGATGTTGGTGGGGTTTTTCTGAAGTGGCAAATGAAAATCATTGAATATTGTTGATCAAGTAGGAAAATCCAGTTTATTGGGAAGGGTGAATTATGAGGTTATAGTTAACAGAAGTGAAATGTTTTAAGTTAGTGGTTTTAGATCACATATTGGGGGGAGTCAGACAAGATAGGAAGGAAGAAACTACAGAATCTTGCCTATATAACAGAACAGGGAGTTGAGCCAAGAAAATAGCTAGAGTCAAAACCAAATGTGTCGAGGGATTCAGTTGAACTTTGAAATCTCTACTCTTGGGTGTCCTGATTATGTGGCTGACTCCTTAAGGGTATTATAATGAAAAAAGCCACAGCTCCCACCTTAGGGGAATGTCTGGAAGGAGTCTGGGAGGGGGCTTGGGACCAAGGAAGTGATGTTGAGGGCATGATTTTGAATTTGAAATAATGGTTGTTAAAAAAAAGATTACCCAAGCACTAGGCAAGATGGTCAGGCAGATTTTACTGGAGGGGGCCATGGCAATAGGTGTAGGGACCACTGCAACAGGGTCTTGCCAATCAGACTTAACTCTGACCCCAACCAGTACAAGTGGGGATTCGTAGCGAAGGAGCAGGGTGGTGACTGTGGGTGGAAAATGACTAAGAGGAAACATCAGGGATAAGGGGTGTCTGGCTAAACTAACTTGATAGGATTCTTGCTGCAGGCAGGCCAGGGTGATAAGATATTGAGGGTGGTCAGATACCTAGAGTGGGGGATTTTCCCTAACCTGACTTAACAGGATTCTTGCTCACATTTGATTCAGCAAGGACAGGGAGGGAAGCCCAAGGTTGGGCCTAGTTATGAGGAGCACTCAGAGGAGCTTGACTAAAGTTTTGGTCAAAGGAAAGAGTCTTTGTCCCTGTTATTATTCACACCTGGGAACTCAAGAACTTTTTTTGGGCCTTTCAGCTGTGTTGAATCTTCCATGGAAGTGGCTGTCAGGGGAAGTAAGTGGAGTGTTTCTGTGTATCTGCATTGCGTCATTTATTTTATCCGGTGGCCCTTGCTGCCTGGAAAAGAACCCCAGGGCAATAGGAATTTAGAGTTTATTCTTTTGCATGTTCTTAGGTCCTGGTCAAGAGGGTTGCCTGGAGGGGCAAACAGAAACTAGGTATATCAAAAGATGCTTCCAGGTGAGGAGAGTATATCACCCCCATTAAGGAACCTGGAGGAGACAGGTCTCCAGCAATGGAAGAAGGCTCCAAAGAACACATGAAAGTACCCACAAGCAAAAGAGTCAGCTGTAACTTACTTTCCTTCCTCCCTGTGTCCCAGTTTCGGAGGGATTAACCACGTGTGCACAGAGGAAAGGGCACGGCACAAATGGGGTGAAGGGGGAAATGGCTAACCACACCCTCTTCTCTGACTATAGGCTTGTTCATCTGCAGGAGGCCTGAGCTGAGGAAGGGGAAGAGGCCCAAATGAAACTGTGTTCAGAGTTTTGACTATCACATGAAAGTGTACAAAAGTGAAGTTACTTTAGGATTCTATCCCAAGAGCTTTGCTTGCTCAGTAAGATTGTTACAGTTGTGATGGTCCAGGCTGGAGATGTCTGGGGCCTTCATTAGCATGGTGGGAGGTGGAGGAGGATGATGAGGCACAGAAAGAGGAGACATTGAGCAATGCTAATAACATTTGGTCTGTTTTGTGTTTGGTTGCATAACAAAGTGATGTTAAAAAATTGTTCTTTGAATGTTTTGTCTTCCACCTTATCACAGGTCACCTAATATTGACCAGAGTGTGGGAAATGAATTAGCACTCTCCATAGCCTATCCAGTCAATAATTCTGCTGGATTTACCTCAAGAGCCCAAAAGTGACTTCCTCTAATCTCCTGTCTCCTAGAATCTTGGCTTTCTTAGCCCTTAAATCACAGTTAAAATATATATCTCAGATCTCAGATAAGGCTTTCTTCTGTCCTCCCTTCTTTTCTTCCTTCCTCCCCTCTCTCCTTCCTTTTTACAGCAAAGTTATGTAACTTTACAAAAGAAAAGCAAATGAACAATAAACTCAGTTTCCTCCATCCTATTCCCTCGTTTTGCTTTTCAGTGAAATTGTATTCATGTTATCCTGTGTGGATATCCTATTCTGTGTCCTGTTCTTCCCTAAACATTATTTCTTGAACTTGATTGTGTTTTGACATAGTCCACATGTTTGCACAGCTAATGTCTGTGGGCTCCCTGACATGGAATTATAGCATAATTTCCTTAGCCTGGGTGTTGGGCGCTGGATCCTCTCCTGTTTTTCTCACAGGACGTCAGCAGTTGCCAGTGCTCCCCGGGTGCAGGCCTACCCTCAATACGGCCCAGACAGGTTCTCTTTTAGCCTGAACACGTTGGTAACTAATTAATTTTGCTGCCTGTTGGATTATTTACTTGGGACTGTGCATAAAAGAGAAATTTCTGGCACAAAGGCTAAGAAGGATCTGTTAAGAAATTTTTAACATTTTGCCAGAAGACGATAAAAAATGTGAACCAGCCAAGAGTTGGTTCACCTAAGGATAAGATCATAAATGGATGAAATGTTAGAAGATCCAGGGGACTTGTTTTTCATTAAGCTCCAGGAAGGCCTTTCTGATATAGTCCAAAGAATTACTTTTTAACCTTGTTGTAAAAGTCTTAATTTGATTTTAAATTTTTTGCTGTCCAACTACAATTTTAGCTGCCTGGCAGACTTTCAGGTTCTCTTTTTTGTGAGTGTTTGACAAACTTTTCTTGTGGCTAATTGAACCAGTCAAATCAGTGAAATTCTTTGGTGTGATTTTTTTTTTTGACTAATAGTATTTTTTATCCTTCCACTGCTTTTTAACATTTTTTATTATGGAAAAAAATTTAAAACTAAAAAAAAGAAAGGGAAATAGAAAAACGAACCTTCCTTTACCTGTCACCCAGCTTCAATGACCATAATTTTCTGCTCTTCCTGTTTTATTTCTCTCCCTTATTCCTTTTTTCCTCCCCATTCTAGTATTTTAAGGCAAATCCCAGACATCATATGATTTCATCCATAAGTACTTAATGCGCATCACATTTTTTTAAATGACCATGGCACAAAGGACAAAGCAAATGGGCTAAAATGTAAACAGTAACTGAATCTGGGCAGTGGGGATTCAAGTGTTCTTTGTACTACTTTTCCTTTGGCAAATTTTCTGTAAGTCTGAAATTATGTCCAAATAAAAGCTTAAACAAATGAACAAACCAAAAACATGACCATAATATTGTCCTATCTGAGAACTCAAGTGACAGATTTTTCTTGTTTTACGATACATTACGCTCATGGAAAGAAATTAAGGAACAAAAGCTCAGAAAAATATTACAAAGAAAATACAAATCACTAATAATTCTAACACCCAGACATAATCACTATTAAATCATTATGCATTTTCTCCAGGCTACTAAATAGACACTTGTTGTACTGGACCCGTATTAACTGCAGTAGGGATGGCACCAGGTTCAAGAGGCTGAAGAAGAGACCTGGAGCCAGCAAAGCAGGCACAGGGTTTCCTGAAGGGGACTTAAATACAGGGCAGTTCAGTGGTGGTGGACTGGATGGGAGAACCTCAACCTCTTGTAAAAAGCATGCAGTTCGCATAGCATGTTCACTTAGCACTCTCCCCCCAGCAACCTCCATCTGGAAACCGTCATTTCTTGTTAACTTATTACTATCAGGTCGGGTTACCATACAACACCAACACACACAAAGACACACATACAAACATATGTGTGTTATTTAAAAAGACAAATAGTACTAATTGGCTTATAATAAAACACACTTGTTGCCACACTCCCCTGTAGCACCCTCCCCTGCAGTGCAAGTTCCCGCTGTCTTTCCATCTCCTCTGCCAGCAGGTTCTCCCTCATAGTAAAATGCCAGGTGTAGTTCAGCCTCCAGCACAGCATCTTGTGGATCTACCACAGCTGTGGAGATAAAAATAAATCATATTTTGCTTATATTTTTCTTAAGAGAGTGTGTTTTTCATGTTGTGTTTGATCTTAAAAATCTTTGTTTTGGGGTGGTAGACACTGCGGACGGGCTTGTTCAGTAGCCACTCTGACCCTCTTCTAGCAGGTCTTCCTCCACTATAGAGGCTGGGAAACAAATGCTACATTTCCAGACTCCTTGACAGCCAGGGCTCTGCATGTGGCTGATATGAGACTTGGAAAGTTGGTGTGAGTGGGGCCAAGCACAGGCAGAGGGATTTGGTTCCTCCAGCTTCAGTGAAGGTTCCAGTGTCCTGTTCTCTGTGTCTTGGTGCTAAGTGGAAGGCAGGGGAGGTTATGAAGCTTTTGCCAGAACACCCTCATAGGGGGATTAGGTATTTCTCCTGGGTGAATTGATCCTGATTGTATAGCAACTAAATTTGGATCACTGAGCCTCCCAAAATGTTATAAGCTTCCTAATACCATATAACAAGTACCTTTCTGCTTGAACTAGTTAGAGTGAATTCTATTGCCTCCAACTAAGAAACCTGACAGAAGAAATCATTGCATTCCATGGTACTTCCTGAGATTTCAAAAGCAAATTCTCTAAGCTTCAGTCACCCATGGTTTTAATAATTATTTATATTTTGCCTATATTCCTGAAGTTCCTTTCAAATCACTTGTTTTATTTGGCAAACAACCATAGTTGGTAATTATGGCAGGTAATAGTCTATCTACTTTTCTTTTTTTGAGACAAAGTCTGGCTCTGTTGCCCAGGCTGGAGTGCAGTGGCTACATCTTGCTTCATTGCAACCTCTGCCTCCTGGACCCAAGGGAGCCTTCCACCTCAGCCTCCCAAGTAGCTGGGATTACAGGTGCATGCCATCATGCCCAGCTAATTTTTTGTATTTTTTGTACAGATGAAGTTTCACCATGTTGCCCAGGCTTGTCTCACACTCCTGACCTCAAATGATCCTCCTGCCTTGGCCTCCTAAAGTGCTGGGATTACAGGCATGAGCTACCATGCCTGGCCTATGTACTTTTCATAGTGGAAAGTGAGACAAAGAAAGCTTAAGTGCCTCATCCAAAGACGTGTAACTTATCTGTCATACTGCCTAGAATCCCCCTCTTTTCCACTATTCTATGTCCTCGGCCCGTTCAGAAATTTAAAAGTCCCATGAAACTCTTGGGAGCTAATTAGAGCTCTGGAAAAATTTGTAGGAGGGGTGACTGACCCAATATGGTGATTCCTATCTAATATGATATGCTTATCTGTTTAAAATTTGGTTGCATGTTTATTTTAAATTCTTTTCTTTATTTTCCTGTTATAATTTTGTGCTTAATATACAAAACTTGGGAAAAATTTAGAAAATCCTAAAGAAGCAGAAACAATTATCCATTAGTCCACTACCAAGCAATCTTCATTTATAATGCTCATCATCACTGGCCATCAGAGAAATGCAAATCAAAACCACAATGAGATACCATCTCACACCAGTTAGAATGGCGATCATTAAAAAGTCAGGAAACAACAGGTGCTGGAGAGGATGTGGAGAAATAGGAACACTTTTACACTGTTGGTGGGACTGTAAACTAGTTCAACCATTGTGGAAGTCAGTGTGGCGATTCCTCAGGGATCTAGAACTAGAAATACCATTTGACCCAGCCATCCCATTACTGGGTATATACCCAAAGGATTAGAAATCATGCTGCTATAAAGACACATGCACACATATGTTTATTGTGGCACTATTCACAATAGCAAAGACTTG
This sequence comes from Homo sapiens, assembly GCF_000001405.40. NCBI lineage: Eukaryota > Metazoa > Chordata > Mammalia > Primates > Hominidae > Homo > Homo sapiens. The sequence continues at coordinate 122,291,151 of NC_000003.12, read as the reverse complement.
GAACCAACCCAAATGTCCAACAACGATAGACTGGATTAAGAAAATGTGGCACATATACACCATGGAATACTATGCAGCCATAAAAAATGAGGAGTTCGTGTCCTTTGTAGGGACATGGATGAAGCTGGAAACCATCATTCTCAGCAAACTAATACAAGGACAAAAAACCAAACACCACGTATTCTCACTCATAGGTGGGAATCGAACAATGAGATCACATGGACACAGGAAGGGGAACATCACACACCAGGGCCTATTGTGGGGTGGGGGGAGGGGGGAGGGATAGCATTAGGAGATATACCTAATGGTAAATGACGAGTTAATGGGTACAGCACACCAACATGGCACATGTATACATATGTAACAAACCTGCACGTTGTGCACATGTACCCTAAAACTTAAAGTATAATAAAAAAAAAAGAATAAAGAAAAATTTGGAGGAGGGGTGACTGACCCAGTATGGTGATTCCTATCTAATATGATATACTTATCTGTTTAAAATTTGGTTGCATGTTTATTTTAAATTCTTTTCTTTATTTTCCTGTTATAATTTTGTGCTTAATGTACAAAACTTGGGAAAAATTTAGAACATCCTAAAGAAGCAGAAACAATTATCCATTAGTCCATTACCAAGCAATCTTCATTTATAATGAGTGTATATTTATAATTTATAAGTTTCTCATTTATAATGAGAGGTCAGATAGAAACAAAACATTTAAAGAAAATCAGGACATTCTGAACAATAACCACATCTTTGGGTTGATATCAACGAAGACAATCACATTCTTCCAAAAACATTTCCTGATGCCTTTACAGGAAATCCTGTAATGACCCCAGGGTTTATTCTTGGGCTTTGATCTCTTACCTATTTTCACCAAACTTGAAAATATTTGCCATCCATGTGCTGAAACTTCAGTCACAGAGTTTGCTGCTTTTATTTGTTCTAACTTCCTGCGCTATCTAGTTACCCAGGTGCCCACATTTTAGAGGCAGGGAGCTGGTGCTGTATCTCTATTATTCCCCCCGCCTCTACCAATAAAATTGTTTTTCTTCTTCTTTTTTTTTTTTTTTGGCAGGGTCTTGCTCTGTCACCCAGGCTGGAGTGCAGTGGTGCAATCACAGCTCAATGCAGCCTTCACCTCCTGGGCTCAAGCAGATCCCCCCACCTCAGCCTCCTGAGTTATCTGCCACTACAGGCGCATGCCACCATGTCCAGCTGTTTTTTTTTTTTATTGTTTGTAGAGATGGGGTTTTGCCATGTTGCCCAGGCTGGTCTTCAACTCTTAGGGCTCAAGTGATCCTCCCACCTCAGCCTCCCAAAGTGCTGGGATTGCAGGCATGAGCCTCTGCATCTGGCCTCAGCTGTTGATTTAAACAGGTACCCCTGCTTGTCTCCACTCCAAGTGTCCTCCACTCTTGTCCAGGGGTCAGGGGAGGGGATGAATGTGGTGGTTATTCCCAACAGAGGAGAAGGTTCCCCTAGCCCCACTCGGTGCTAGAGTCACAGTTGTCCCTCCAGTTCCCAGAGGCACCTTCATGCTGGCTCTGCCCGGCTTCCTGCCCTGTTGGCCTTCACCTAGCAGTTCTCCATTTCTCATACCACTTGCTGAGCTTTTCCTCTCAAGGCTAAGGTTCTTCTTTGGATCCTTGGAATGCACCTTTATTCCTGTGACAGGTTCTACCCTGTGCTTGTTGTTTCCCTGACCCCTGCCTCACTCCTTGCATAATAGCAAAGTCACTCAAAGTTGTCATCCAAGTCTTGATGTTTTTTTTCCATGATCTGGGCCAGGAAAACCAGCATCTCCCAGAGGCTGTGATCTCACTGTGGCAACTTCCTCCCACCTACCCTAATTCCACCCACCTTTGGGAGTATTCTTGTCTCCAGTGGACTCCTAAAATGACCACTCAGGCTCAGACAAATGAGGGCCACCTCCTCCGGTGATTAGCACCCCTTATTGATGTTCCATTATTCTTGTAGCAATAATTATTTCAAATGCAGCAGATGAGCAAAGGGAAGCTCTGGCTGGGCAGAACCAGCCCGTAGCTATGTGATTTCAGCCAGAGCAAAACGACAGACAACATTGCCTTGAAATGTGCCTTTTGGAGACAGAGGTAGGGTAGCCCCAACTTCCCCAAAATCAAAATTAATGCAATTAGACAACGTGTGACGATCATAGGGACTTTCAGGGTATTGATGTTATATGCTGATCGTCACCTCTAAATTTCCAACCTAAATTCTTAAAATCTTCTAGGACACTTTCATTTGAGTGAAAATCTTTTTAACTTTATAATTCATTTTAATTTTCAAAAGAAATGTAAGCAGTTTCCCATTGTTAACAAAACCTAAGAAATATTTTAAAAAGTAATTAAAAGGTGATCATATATTTACCTCCTGACTTCCTTTATTCAAGAGAAAAGCAAACACTAGTTTGTTGAAGCTACCAATTTCAGGTTTCTGCTACTGACAGATAATAGAATGAGACAACACGGCTGTGTATTTTCTATAACCAAAGCCAGCAAAGACTTAGAATATGAGGTTTATACTTTCCCAAGCAGATGTAGAGGAATAGAATATTAGAGGGGAAGGAGTGAGCTAGGTGAAGGGAAGAGGACCACAGTGAGAACAGGAATAGATCTCTGAGACAGGCTCTGGCTGCCAAAACTCAGGGAAGGAGATAACAATACAAATGTATTTGTTTTCTGTTGCTGCTGAAACAAATTACTATAAACTTCATGGCTTAAAACAACACAAATGTATTATCTTACAGATCTGGAGGTCCAAAGTCCTACAAGGGTGTCACTGGGCTAAAATCAAGATGTTGGCAGGGCTGCATTCCTTTCTGGATGTTTTAGGGGAGAATCGGTTTTCTGGCATTTGCCAGCTTCTAGAAGCAGCCTGCCTTCCTCAGCTCATGTCCACTTCCCTACGCAAAGGCAGTACAGGCCAGTGGTGTTTTTCTCATACTGTATTGCTCTCACACTGACTCTTCTGCTTCGTCCACATTTAAGGGCCCTTGGGATTCCACTGGACCCACCTGGATAATTTGGGACGCTCTTCCTATCTCAAGGTCAGCTGATTAGCAATCTTAATTCCACTATACTTTAATTCACCCTTGCCATGTAACAACATAGCCATAGGTTCTAGAGATGAGGATGTGGGCATCTTTGGGTGACCATTATTTGCCCACTACGAAGTCTATTCAGGTTTGGAGACATGTACCCTGTTTCTTCTCTGGTACCCTGGAAGCTTTGTTAGCCTCCATAAGCTCTGTGTACTGTCATGGGGAGACAGCAGTCAAGTAGACATGAAAGTGAGGCTGCCAGTGATTTCTGGGCCTCAGGGATGAGCATGGAGGTAGCTGCAAGAGCTAGCAGGCCCCACAGGGACCGACTGGTTAGGACAGTGAGGCATGCGTGAAAACCACCACGAAACCCATGATGGGACCAGATGAGGATACAATGCCTCAGAGCACGCCAGCGAAGGCCAGATAAGATTGCTTTCAGCAATGTCATGAGGGAGCTGCTGATGACTGAGGAGGCCCACCCCAACATTACAAAAGCCCTCCTGGAAGGGAGAAGGAACAACCTCTGAATTGATCCCCAAACATCTAAATTGGCTCAGAAAACACTGAGGTTACTGTGAAAACCCCGATTCGACTAAGATGAAGTTTCTGTCACTAGGCTGGAGGGGAATTTGAGATAGAAATTAAGTTGTTGTAGAAAAACAATGCAAGTTCATATTTCACACCCCTGATTTTGTGCTGAGTTGTGCCTGCTACGTATAAATTGGGACAGTGTTTCTGTATCTGCCTTTCTGACAACAGCATTGGGAGAGACTCCTTATTTGCAAGCACTTGGTGAAATAAAAGCTCACTGTAAACCTATGTTTTCCTCCTAAAGCCCCTTGGGTGACATGGACATTGAAGTCAAACCCTGGAGGGAGAAGTATGTCACATTCTGTTGAGGCTGTTCCCTCATAGTTATTTTGAAACCATCACATTTTCAGCATTTCTTTTAAGACCAAGTAAAATGTTAAATATAAATCCCCACTCAGCTCGGTGCCTTGCTCAGAGGCATGACTGCAGGGGGGCGCAGGCTGGGTGGGGGCCGGTGCCCTTCCTAGGTGGGGAGCAGGCACCTCACTTGGGTCATCCTGAGTCACCACCTTCTGCTCACAGTCGCGCTCCCACATGGTGCCCTCTAATGATTTCTCATTATAATCTTAACAACTATCAAGTCCACCAATTTGCCCTACAAATCACTGAAAGGCGCCCCTTTGGAAGAAAGTGGTCAGGGGAAGAAGTCACCAAGAGCTGTAAAATTTGAGGCTTCAGGAGATTTAATTGCAATGGTTTGGCCTCAGCTTAGAACCTCCTGCTAGACTGGTGATGGTCTTCCCTGGATGCTGGAGGTCCAGGCCCTGACACTGCGGAGACAGGGCATTGGGCCACCTGAGGGGCTGACCAGCTTTCTGGCTTCCTCACCATGAGCCAGTGATACTATGGCTGACCCCATGTGTTGGGCCCAGAGCTCTTGGGCTTATTACAGAGAGAGTGATTGTGATCAGTGGGCTAGGCAGTACAATCTGAATGGTTAATATGTATGTTTTGTTTTGTATTTGAAGTAAGGGAAAAAATAATTATTACAGTATCAGTAATAATATTAACTAATATTTATTGAATGCTTATTGTGTGCTAGGTACCAGGCTAAAGTACTTTATATACATTATCTCGTTTAATCCACATAAGAGCTCTGAGGGGAAAGAATGATTATTATCCTTATTTTAAAGATGAAGAAGCTGTGGCTTAGAGAGGTTAAGGTTCCCTGCCTACAGTCACTCAGCTTGCAAATGACGAAGCCATGGCTTGAACCCCGGTCTGTCTCTCTGGCTCCAGAGCCTGGGTGACCGGCAGTATTAATACCACTGCTGGAGGGAACATAGCTCTGACATTTGAGGGTGGATCTTTCTTGGAACCACGCTTTCCTACCCTAGCAGCTATTAGCAGGCCAATAATTGAGAACTTACTCTGTACAGGGATAGGGTGGATCTGGCTTCAGGAATTCTTTGGGGTAGAGATGGGAGGGACTTCTGGACCCTTGAGTCCCTGAAGGGGCTCACATAAGGCTTAGCTTATGGGAGTGAGGATAGTGGGGTGGGGAAATAGAGCTCAATAATACTGCCTTATATAAACCAGACTGACATTTTTCAGTTTATATTGTCCATGGACTATTACAACAGAAGCATTTTCCTAAGGATAAAGCTACATATAGGAATATTAATTACAGATACAGCTCATTGGTTTATGCAGTCCCTTCCTAACAATTTGAGGTGATTCTTGTGATCCTGGAATCTAAACATGGCATCAGTATCATGTCCTGGACAGAAGCAGACATATGGTATAGGAGGGGTGCAAACCTTCTGGATGTTACATAATAGCAGCAGCAGGTAGGAGACAAAATATCATATGGTTTTCATAAATAGGAGGAGATACATTCTCCTTATGTTGTGAACATTTAAAATTCAGTCTGTTGTCAAGGCATTGGGCAGGACTGGTGACATTCTGTCTTTCAGACTCTCAGCTCTAGTGGTGGCAAATTTGATGTCCCATCAGTCTGCACACTCTGGAGGGTAGTTTAAAGCCATAGTTTCATCTCTGAGCTGTTGGGTGGGATAGAACAGAGGAAGAGACATTAGATGTGGGTGAACAGCAAATCTGACCGTGGAGATCTCAATGCTTTGACAAATGCAACCACAGAAACACAAGGCTCTTCTTTTTTTTAATTTTAAAGGGAACATGGGTCAATTCACTGTCATTTAAGATGGTGTGACTAAATTCGGGGCATTTGATGTGTCTATTATCCCTTCTTCCTCAGAGGAAAGGAGTCTGGGGCGATTCCTCTTCCCTGGGACCCCAAGAAACCTCTCTGCATTCTCCCTAGCCCAGTCTTCTCCTTCCATTTTATGAATTCACTACGTTTTCTGTAACAGTGCTGCCTCCACCACTGATGACAAAGCTCTGTGAACTGGACACTACAAGTGCTGGGGACAACTCTTCAGGGTCCTCCACCTCTGGCCGCTGGTCTCCACCCACAGGTCCTTGCAGACCTGTTTCCTGGACGGTCAGATCTAAGTCCGTTTCCCCGCACTGCAGCGGGAGTAATGGCTCGTGTCGGGTCAGCGTATCGCTGCTTTTCTGGGCCTCCAGGGAGTTCTGGTGCGTAGAATTCCTGTGGGCCATGGCGTTCTTCTGAGGCTCATCAAAGCTCAGTGAGAAGGTGACCGTGCCGCTGCCAAAGATGACCTTCTGCTTGCATCTGGGCTGCTGCTGAGATCGTTGCTGCTGTGGGAGGGTCAGGGGCTGCTGCTGCTGCTCTTGCTGGGTTAGGGCCAGCGGCTGCTGCTGCTTCTGCCTCTCGGGCTGTGGGAATGGGTCTTCGCTGTTGCTCTTGCTGCTGATGGAGGAGGAGGGGGTGGATCCCGTGGAGCCTCCAAGGCTGCTGGACCGCTTGCGGGAGACGTTGCTGCGGCGCAGCGTGGCCCGGGCAGCCACCTTGAAAGCGTGAGCTGCGGTGCTGCAACGCACCTCCTCGATGGTGTTGCGGGATGGCTTGAAGAGAATGATGTAGATCTTGTTGAAGAAGATGCACGCCAGCAAGCCAAAGCTGGCTGCCAGGATGGCAATCACCTCTACGGCAGAGACAAACTTGCCATAGGTGCTGGCATAGGCTGGAATGAAGGAGATCCAGACGATGAAGAAGATGAGCATGCTGAAGGTGATGAACTTGGCTTCATTGAAGTTCTCCGGCAGCTTCCGGGACTTGAAGGCAAAGAAGAAGCAGATGGCAGCCAGCAGGCAGGTGTAGCCGATCAGGAAGCCCAGGGCCATGAGGGAGCCCTCGTGGCACGTGATGAAGATGATCTCATCCTCCAGCTCCTGGTTGCGGTAGCTTGACGGGGGCGCGGTGTAGAGCCAGATCACACAGATGACAATCTGCATGAAGGTGCAGAGGAAAACCAGCAGGAACTGCAGGTTGAGCCCCCACCACTTGCGGTGGAAGCTGGTGGGGATCTTGGCCTCAAACACCAGGAGGACACGGTTGGTTTTCACCAGGATGCATGAGATGCAGAGCACGAAGCTGATGCCAAAGGCCGGCTGGCGCAGGCGGCACGTCCAGTCCTGGGGCTCCCCGATGAAGAACAGGGAGCTGGAGAAGCAGCAGAGCAGGGAGAAGAGGAGGAGGTAGGAGAGCTCTCGGTTGGTGGCCTTGACAATGGGTGTGTTGCGGAACTTGATAAACACACCCAGCACAAAGGCTGTCAGGAAAATGCCCAGCACGGCAAAGAGGGTGAGTGCGATCCCAAAGGGCTCCGTCCACGACAGAAACTCGATCTCCTTGGCAATGCAGGAGGTGTGGTTCTCATTGGACCAGAAGTCATCTGGGCACTTGTTACAGGCACTGGCATCTGTAAAATGTCCCAGTGAAGAGTGAGTTATTGTGTGGCACAGACTAAAATGTGTGAGTGTACATGTGGTGGTGGGAATACATAGTTTTTTGGATGTGGTCACTACATATTTTCTCCATTTTGATGAAATCATTCTGATTTTTACATTATCAAAAATATGCTGAACCCCGACATGTTTAATAACATGGTTAATTTCATGTAACTCTGATGGTTCTATTGTTAGTTTGTTTTCCCTTTGCACATGACATGGGTGAGGCCCTTGTTTCACTTAACACTATCTTCTGATGGCAGGGAATGATCAACCTTGCTGGACAGGTGGCTGCCCTGCACACCAGAGGTCTAGCATGGTCCATCAACTCTTCGCAGAATGATTCAAGCTTAGCCTGATTTATTTATTTAAATATTATTGGGTAATATTTGAGGTTTACAACATAATGTTGTGGGATACATATGGGCAGTAAACTGGCTACTCTAGTGAGGCAAATGAACATATCTGACATCTCACATGGAGAGTGATTTATTTTGGATATATGGATGGGCTTTGTAGACATGCCAGAGCAGACTTCCTTTTAGATCAAGGCAGAGTATCCCATGCACATGACCTGTGCTTTCCTCACTCCACATCCACAGCTTTTTGATGAGGGAGGCTGCAGACTCATTCAACTGACAACTGTTTACTAAGTCTCTGCTAACTCCCAGGCAGTATGCAGTTTTGGGCAGTGAAGGGAGCATGGGTTTTGGAGTTAGAGATCTGGATGGAATCCTGGCCATACAACTTACTAGTGATGTGACTTTGATCAAGCTTCTTAACCTCTCAGAGCCTCAGTTTCCTAATTTATAAAATGGGAGCAGCAATAACCCCATCACTGGGGTGAGGATAACATGAGATAATATCAACTATAGTTAATATTTATAGAGTACTTCTAATATGCCAAAGTTTTATTTAACAAATATTTATCTAGAACTTACCATGTGCATTACCAATATTAATCATCTAATTCTCAAAATTCTATAGGATAGGTTTAATTATTATTCCCACCTAAAAATAACCTGAGAAACAGGAAAAACACAAGTAAGATAGCAAATTCAGTGCCAGGCACCCAGCAGGCAATTCTATGATGGCCTATTAACTCTGGAGTCTGGAGCAGACATAACTGTGTCCATGCAGGGCCACTAAACTCTAACAAAAAGGAAATATATTGGCCGACAATATGAAGTAAGAGAAAGATGTGTAATAGGTATTGTTATCTTTTATGGTATTAAAAGAACATCTAACATTCTTTTTCTGTTCCACCTCCATGCCCAACATTTTGTGATGCTCAGATATACCTTTGTTAAATGAGAAACTGTGCAAAGCACCATCTCAGCCCAGCCCTTCCATGGGCTTCACTGACCCCAGGCCTCCGAAGTGGACCAAGCCCTGCACAGTGCCCAAGAGGGGTTCCCTTACCTGTCTCATCACTATACTCCCCATCAGGACACTCCACACACTCAAAGCAGCAGGTGGGCTCCCCCTCAATGATCCCTTTCCTGGTCCCTGCCAGGCAGTCTCGGCTGCAGTTGGAGAAGGGCACCTGGAGGACAGACAGCACAAAGGTGAGTGGCTGTAGTTGTAGGGTCAGGGGCCAGCCCTACTGTCTCTTCAAAACATGTAAGAGGGAGGAGTTTGGGCACAAGAATCAGTGTGACAGACGTTGGGCCCATTCCAGGCAAAGGGAGGTCCAGAGGTCCTTGGTTCTGATATCTGTGAAAGGGACAGATGACTATGGGAAAGTGTGTGTGTATACATGCACACACACACACACATGTGCATGCACACATACACAGACACACACCCTTGGGATTCTATGATGATCTGGGAAAAGCGCCACTACTTTCTACTACTTGAAAACAGATGAAAAATACTAAAACACTAGACAACAGACTCAAAGGACATAAGAAAGAAAATGCATCATGACCATGGTGGGTTTATGCTCAGGAGTGCAAAAAAGTCTAATATTAGACAAATCTATAAGTATTATTCACTGCATTAGCAAATTAATGGAGAAAAAAAATCATATGATCACCAACAGATAAATAAAAAGCATTTGATGAAATCCAACACAAACTATTGATAAAAGCTTAGTAAAAAAGGAGTGGGAAGAAATATCTTTAACTTGAAAAAGGGTAACAAAAAACCTCTTAGAGTAAACATCATTCATATAGAGAAAACATTAAAAGTATTTCCATTTAAAACAAGGATATCCACTATCACCACTACTCTTTAACTTTGCACTGGAGGTCTTAGCTAGTGGAATCAGACAAGAAAAATAAGTGCATACATTTTGAAAAGGACCAAATAAAACTGTAGTTATTTGCAGATGATATGGTTGCCATAAAGAAAACCCAAAAGAACAACCGAATTATTAGAAACAACTGAAGAGCAGGCCCAGGCTAAAATGCCATAGACTACCAGTGTTCTTACCAGAATTTCATTAGTTTTTGTTAAAAACAAAACAAAACAAAACAAATAAACAAAACCCTTCACCTTTTGTTGTGTGCTTCTGGTTAACTTCCAGGTTCTTCAGTGGTTTTTGTCCAGTTTTGTTCAATTTTATCATTGCTTCACCATTTCAAGAAGTCCTGCTTCTATCTCATTCTTTGCACCAGCTAATTGATTATTCATTCTAGGAATTTATTAGTCATTTACTATCTAACAATGTATATGTTTCAAAGACAAGAAATGTATCATAAGAATGAAGTCCGTTTTGCAACAGCATATGTATCTTAGAGGTAGAGAGCACTTCTCACTCATCTTTGTAACCCCAGGTACAAAGCCTGGAGTAATGCTTAATACATAGTAGGGCTTTTACTATTTCCATAATGTCTATTTAATGGGTCTCCCCTCTACCTACTACTTTGTAAGATGTCTTACAAACACAGAAAGCAGTAAAGTAGCTGTCGTTGTTTCTAGCAGAAATGACTGGCTTGACAAAGGAGTTAAAAAAAACTTGAACAGAAGATGATTGACATTATCTTCTAATGAATGAGGAATGGAAAGGCAGTAATGGACCTGATGATTGCCAAGACTCTCATGACCCAGGGAAGGGAAGGGGAGGGGAGGGAAAAGGACAACTCACATCATCATCTTCAACTATGGTGACAAGGTATCCTCAGAGATGTGCTCTCAGTCCTTGAGTTGCCAACCCATTTGATCACTCAATGAAAGCTAAAGGCCCTGTTTTCCAAACCCACACTAGGAATGCTTCTAAATTTTCCCCATTAAAGAATGATGGTTGCTTCCTCTCTTCCTATTTGAATACCCTTTATTTCTTTCTCTTGCCTGATTGCCCTGGCCAGAACTTCCAATATTATGTTGAATAAGAGTGGTGAGAGCGGGCATCCTTGTGCCAGTTTTCAAGGGGAATGCGTCCAGCTTTTGCCTTTTCAGTATGATATTGGCTGTGGGTTTGTCATAAATGGCTTTTATTATTTCGAGGTATGTTCCTTCAACACCTAGTTTATTTAGAGTTTTTAACATGAAGGGATGTTGAATTTTATCGAAGGCCTTTTCTGTGTCTATTGAGATAGTCATGTGGTTTTTGTTTTTAGTTCTGTTTATGTGATGAATTACGTTTTGCAGGAACAGAAAACCAAACACCCCATGTTCCCACTTATAAGTGGGAGCTGAACAATGGGAACACATGGACACAGGGTGGAGAACAACACTGGGGCCTGTTGGGAAAGGGTAGTGGGGTGGAGAGCATTAGGGAAAAGAGCTAGTGCATGCTGGGTTTAATACCCAGGTGATGGGTTGACAGGTGCAGCAAACTACCATGGCACACATTTACCTATGTAATAAACCTGCACATCCTGCACATGTACCCCAGAACTTAAAAGAAATACAATGAAAAAAGAATGATGGTTGCTGTATCCTTTATCAAGGTAAAGTGAGGTTCCCTTCTATTCCTAGATTAATGAAATTTTTGTTTTTAACCTGAGAGGTTAAAACCTGAGAGGTTAAAAATTTTTGTTTTTAACCTGAGAGGTGTTAAATGTTAATAGATACTTTTTCTGTGTCTACTGACATTGCAGAACTTTTATCTTTTATTCTGCTAATGTAATAAGCTACATTTATGAACTTTGTAAAGTTTGGCTATCATTACGTTCCTGTACATTCACCACTAACTCTACTAGCAGATGATGTTTATTTTATACATTGCTGGTCTGTTTGGTGATATTTTATTTAGGATTTGAGCATCTACGTATACAAACAATATTGTCCTATAATTGTCTTTGCTTGTATTGTTCTATCTGTTTTTGGTATCAAGATTATATTATCATCACAAAATAAATTTAGTAGCTTTCCTTCTTGGTTTCTGCTAGGCTGTGAGTGCCAAAAATCTCAAAATAATAACTCCCAACAAGACTGAACTGTATTTCTCTCTCATATAAATGTCTAGGGATGTGGTCTAGAGTGATATAGCACTCCATAATGTTGGACACCTAGACTCTTTCTACCTGGTGGTTCTGACATGTTTGTCTTTGCCTCATAGTCCTTGATAGTGGCATTTGGTTTCCAGGAGGCAAGATAGAGGAAGGGATGAAGAAGAGAGCAAAGGATACTTGCAAGCACTTTCTTAAAGAAGGTTCCCAGAAGCCATCCCACAACACTGCCACTTACATCCCATTCTCTAGGATTTAGTCATGGGGACGCACTTAGTAGAAATGAAGGCTGAAAAATGTCATCTTGAATCTGGGTAGTCATGTGTCTAGCTAAAATAGAGTTCTATTTTTAAAGAAAAAGAGGAGTATAAATAACGAGGGCCTATAGGAATGTCTGCCTTGCCTCTTTTTCTCTTCTTCTTAATGGTTAAGGAACAGGCTGAAGGTCACACAATGGCTTGACTGGAGAGCTGAGATTCGCGCTCAGGTCAGTCTTCAAAGTCTGTACTTTTCACTACACCAAACTCTGCTTTATACCAGTCAAGGCTTAGAAGAATGTCTCCATCTGGGTCTGCTTACTGCATCCTTCAGCAACCATGAGCTAAAGAGAAATCCTATCACCACAGGAGTGGGCTGAGGTAGCCACCGGAAAGATCCATTTTTCCAAAAAGCAGTCAAGTATCTCCAAGCCTCCTCAACAGTCTTATTAAAGATGCCTGTCCAATTCTGGCCAAGGAAGCTCATCTGAATTCCAAGACCCTAATTAAGGTGTCTCTTTTACTTCTTATTTGTTGTAGCAAAACAAGGAAAGAATTATTGGCAGCACAGTGTAGGGAATGGAGCACTGAGGTCTAAGTTAGGGCCCTTGGGGTCTAGTCTCAGCTTTTATACTGACCATCTGTTTGGCCTGAGAAGTCACCTTTGCATCCTAAAACCTCAGTGTCATCAACTTCAAATTGGAAGCTTGGATACAAGGATCTTTAAAGATCTATCTAGCTCTAAATTTAGTGCTACATTTGTAAGAAAATTGAGAACATCAGTTAAGTATAATGCCATATTAATACTTTGCATTTATATATTAGTAGTATGATTCAGTTTATCATACGCTTTTCATCCTTGATCTCATTTGATCTCAATAACAACTTTGTGAAATACATAGGGAAGTTACTAATATATAATTTATAGTTAAATATAGGTGGTATTTTTGTGGTCATTTCCACAACAGCACAGAAAATAATAGAGTAGATCCTAAGATTTGTTGAGTATCCATTGTGTGCTACGTTTGAGGTAATATTTCTATGGAAAAAAATTAGATTTAACTTATAACTGTGTCAACTATTCCAAGAACATAAGTGACTGAATTAATGAGAATTCCCTGTGTTATTCATCTATCAATGTTTAAGCCCATGATGTACATAGCCTGGGAGAGGACAGTTAGGGCTATGGAGAACTGTACAGGAGATAGCTCCCTGCTGCAGTGGAGAGACATGTGCCATTAGAGAATTCAATTCTATGCATTAATGGGGGTGAAAGATAAACTGGATGATCCAACAGGGGTAAACAGGTGGCAGTATAGCTGATCAATTTAGACTCCAGTCAGTGAAAATACGTGATAAATTAGACAAAGGTATAATTAGTGGACAGAGGAATATAACATCTGGAACCCCCAAATCTCCATCTGGAAAAGTCATGACATATTTATAATTAAGAACCCACCCTCTGGGGTGTAAGCTATTAAAAACGGCACACTGTGGATGAGATTCACTGTCTATGGGAGACCTTCCCAGTGGTAATCCATCTACATACTGGGTAACAGTGAAGTTGTAGCATCTCATCAGGAACCTGTCAACCTAAGAAGCATTTGATAAGAAGACGAAGCGAGTCTTTGGTTATGTTATAAAAAGTGGTCCAAGATGGCTGGGCATGGTGGCTCACGTCTGTCATCTGAGCACTCTGGGAGGCTGAGGAGGGTGGATCACCTGAGGTCAGGAGTTCGTGACCAGCCTGGCCAACATGGTGAAACCCCGTCTCTACTAAAAATACAACAATTAGCTGGGTGTGGTGGTGCGCCTGTAATTCCAGCTACTTGGGAGGGTGAGGTGGGAGAATTGCTTGAACCTGGGAGGCAGAGGCTTCAGCGAGCCGAGATTGTGCCACTGCACTCCAGCCTAGGCAACAGAGCCAGACCCCATCTCAAAAAAAAAAAAAAAAAAGAAAAGTGGTCCAAGATGCTCAAAGGTGATAATAAAAAAGGCAAATGCAAATAGAAATGTGGTGGGTCTTATCCAGGCTTCCTGGGAGAGTTAAGAGGATGCCCTGTCTAGGATCTGTGTTCTTACAGAGGACCTGGATTCTTAGCAGCCTGCTATATTCTAGGACACAAACATCATAGAATGGTCATCATTCCAGTGTATCACGTTTCTCTTCCTCAAGTGCAAATTGACTGAGGGGTGGGCTTCTGGTTATTAACAGGCTTCTAGCTGCAGTGATACTCAGACACACAAGCATCCTCCTCTTTGTTACAGGTCTCCTGGAGGAGGAGAATAAATTGTTCTTTTGATTTACAGTTCAGCAGCCCGGGCTGTCACACTACCTCTGTGTGAACTGTCCAGGCTGTGAGGGTGGTGACAACACCAAATGACTCAGGTGAAAACATCCAGCTCCATTTTGGGCTCCAGTGTCTTTCAATGGCTGTTACTGGCCATTGAGGCGGGATCAATTCTTTGTCATGTAAGCTTGTCCCACACATGCTGGACACTTAGTATCCCTGGATCCCAAGTGCTGAAGGCCATTAATACTTCCTGGTCATTGTGACAACCCAAAAGCAGTCCCCTCCACTCTAAAACTTGTCTCCCCTGCCCTTGGCCGAGCTGAGAGCCACTGACTTGACCGATGTTTACATTTGCTTAAATATTTTGCTCTGGTTAGGGAAAGTTTTAGCCAAGGAAACTTTGTGACTAGCTAGGGAGTCATATTTGTGAAAAATGAAACTGTTTCAATACAGTAGGAAGGCATGGGGCTCAGGTTCTGGAGATTCTTCTCTTTACACTAAACACTGTGGATTTCACAGGGAGCCCCAAGATTGCAAAGGCCAGAGAGTTCAGGGAAGTGGACTCTTTATTTTGGAAGTCCAGTGGGGAAACCAAAGGCCCTCCCAAAGCCCAGCACAGTTTCCTGCCCCTGGTGGAGACATCTGGTTTTCTGATGGACAGCACCTACCTCCCTGGAGAACCCACTCCACAGGATTTTCTCCTCGTTGATGAAGAGTCTTTCTCCCTTCTTGGCATAGACGTTGTAATACCCGACTTCCTTAAACACGATGGAGCCATCCTCTGGGGAGAGGTGCCAGTTGATGATGGAATAGTTCCCCACCAGGTCACCACACTCATCAAAGGTCACCTGCTCCCCCATATTGTTTGTAAAGTTTAGATGCCGTAGGTGCTTCAGGACCTAAAGAGGAGCAAAGAATGAGTACAAGCCCCAGGGCTGCCACATAGAACTAATTAGGTAGGCTGTGCCCTGCACAACAACGGTAGACTATCTTGTTCCAACAAAGTGGGAGGAACGTGACTTGAGGAAGAGACAGCTTTTTCTAATTCACACCAAAGTACTTGCCGGTGTTAGCAGCAGCCCTGTTAAGCCATGGGCTTTAATTATTATTCAAATTATGATTAGGGTAGGAAACACTTTCTTGAAGATGGGGAAAGGAAAGGGAGACATCTCACCTGGCAACTGGCCAGGTCAAAGGTTCTGCAGGTGTGCCATCACCTGGTGGTGCCCCAGGAGGGGCAGGATTTATAAGCCAGAGTCCATCCCTGGCATCTTCTGAGCTGGGCATTGGGGAAGGACAGGAGAAATGACTGAGTGCTCTTATTCTCCGCACTTTCCTTTCCTATGATCCTGCTGCTGTGGAAGTGCTTTGCTGCCAAGATTCACAGAGTGGGGTGAAGGAAGAAAGAGATGAGGCTGTGGGCAAAGCCCGGCCATTATTGTTGTCAGAGTCATGGCAAATCCTTGAATTTTTATAAGGTTTTATATGTCACAAAGCCTTTGCACAAAAAAGTCATCATAATAATTACTAACACATACCACATGTTGTCATGTAAACATTTTAGATATCAGTCATTTTACTACCATTGAGGCACGACCCTAAGTACTTTATATCCATTATCTAATCAAATCCTCACAACAAATAGTATTAAGCTTATTTTATTTCTGGGGAAACTGAGGCACTGAAAACTTTAAGTATCTCGTCCAGGGTCACAATCCTGCGCTCTTAATTGCTGTACTCTACTGCAGCATCGCTGGGCTCCTGGCTCTGCTTCCTCACATGCTCCTGACATCAGTCAAGAGGAGGCAGTGGGCACTCAGCCACTTATCTTTCATGTGAGGCCAGCCTTGTGTCACTGTGACACCACGTGAGAGTAAGGCAGGGTCCAGCCTGTGAGTGTAGGGTACACCTTCCACTGCACCTCCTGAATCTCCAGTAGTCTCCCATTCTGAGCTAATTTTTTTTTGGTTTTGTAGAGACAAGGTCTCACTATGTTGCCTACGCTGGTCTCAAACTCCTGGGCTCAATCGACCATCCTGCCTCAGCCTCCCAAAGTGCTGGAGTTACAGGCATGAGCCACTGCGCCCAGCCATTTATCATTCTTTTTAAGGTACTTAAAATCCAACGTCTAATCTCACACTGGGACAACATTTGGGCTGAGTCCATCTAATGAATGGCCTTAATAGGCCTTTCTGAGGCCAAATTATTCTGATATGTGTGACAAACACGTGGACTGAGCCAGTACCTCTCCTGTCCCACTCCACTCCAGAGATGGCACTGCTTCTTAACAATTGATATCTGTATTAACTTTATTTTTAGACAAACATTTATTTATAGTAAGGAATATTAAATACAGGAGAGGAGTCACTTGGATTTATCCATAAGTAGCTCCAAGACATGCTTGGGGGCAGAGTCCATGACAGACTATGTGTGCTCACAGGCATAGCACCCTGGGTGCCTCCCTTAACCTGCAGTCTGTGAACGCTGCTCCATTGGCAGGCCCTGACTGCCCTGACTTTCAACTCAGGTCTATGAAGGAGAGGGATCCCTCACTCCCTGCTACCTGGTTCTGCAACCAGAGCTGCTGAGCCATCCTCAAAAAAGATGGAGAATGGCTCCTACTAAGGATTTGTGTCCCTCGTCTTCTCCTGAGCCTTCCCACCTTCTCTGATGGTTGACAACCTTATGTTTGCCTTCATTTTTACTGAGGCCTTAAGGCCGTCAGTGCAGAGGAGGTGTTCTAGATGTGTTCCTTTCTTTTACCTCCACCTCCGCTTCCTATCCCTCCTCGCTGTTGGGGTGACCTGACTTCCTCCTACCCAGAGTGGTGTACATCCTTTTGTCTCTACCCCAACACATCCTTTTCCTGACACATCCTTCTTGCCCTCAGAGGAACATGCAGTTCTTCTGCTCTTTAATACTGCCCTCACTCCCACATTGCTCGAAACCTTGCTCTTAGCAGTTTGGGGGCCTTTCTGACATGGCCATCATCCTTCTCCATGCTGTAATCGTGCCCCTCCCACTTCCTGCTGGGGACCTACCATGACTCAGATGAAATGTGCTTCAAACTTATTCAGGTAGCTTCCAAAGCCCTCCATACTTTGGTCCCATGTACCTACCATGACTTGTCAGTGCAAATGTTTCATCCTAATCATAGAGTTTCCACTATCCTGTCCACATGCCATGCCAGGTCTGTGTGTGTGGAAAAGGAGATGAGAAAAGTGAAGAGGTAGGAAACTACCTCTTATTTGTACTTCCTATGTGCCAGTCCCTGTTCTAATACTTAATACATACTATATCATTTAATCCTCACAACACCTCTATGGATTAGAACTATTAGTATCTTCATTTTCTAGATGATGAAACGGAGGCATAGAAAGGTCAAGAAACTTGCAAAAGTCATATAGCCACTAAGTGCTGGAGCTACGGGTTAAACAAGGCTTTTCTACAACATCATCCTACACCTCTAATATAAATTGCTTACAGTGTCCATGGCAAATGTTTGTTAGAGGTCAGTAATACATCCTTATTGAAATGCATATATTGTGGTAAAGCTCTAGTAGTTAGCATACATTTCTTCTTCCTATTTAGGTTTCAGTTCCTTGGTTCTTAACATGCCAGGCAACAAGCTGCTTTTCTCCTTTGTCCACTAGTTCTCTGCAGTGGAACTCTCCCAGCATCAGGGTAGAAGTGGGGAGGGGAACTGCACAAGATCCTTTCATAATTAGCTGGTCATCTTTCACACTGGTCAGACAAGTGACTTAAAGCTCATCCCTGGCTACAAGTCTTCTGCATTATTGTTGGCATGGGCTGGAGATTTCCACCATAATCCTAACTTCAAAGGAGAAACAATCAAAAATCATTTTCTTAAAGTTTCTAAGTAGTCATTAAAAAACTCATGATAAATACAAGACTGGAATTTTATAATATTGGAATCAATCAACCAGGAAATATTTACAGAGTATCCACTGTGTGTTCTGAACTGGGCTGCAGAACTACAAGATATGGTCATCCCATCCTCATGGAGTTTTCATATGGATTAGGGGATAAAATGCACGACATAAATATTCAATGAAGCAGTAAACAGTGCAAGATAAAATATAGTTAACTGCTAACTGATGGGGTATCATCTCTAAGTACAGAGAAACTTAGAGGAGATAGAAATTTAAAAGGGCTGAAATGATCAATGCAGGTTTCAGGCATATTTTGGCTGGCAAAGGACAGAGGGAGGGAAGGTGTTAAAAACAGTGGAACAGCATGGGCAAAGATATCACATTAGGAATAAACATGATGTGTTATGGGGCCAGTAAAGAGATCAATTTCTCAAGAATCATGTATGTACTAGAGAACAAGGGGAAATACAGAAGATAAGTAAAGAGGAGCCAAGGCAAAAAAGAGGCTAGATTTCACATTAAAAAGTATTGGATTAGATAAGAAACAGGGCTGATTGAAACGTAGAGAACTTGGGGTCCTCCATAGACTGCTGGTGGGGATGTAAACTGGTGCAGCCACATTGGAAAAAACGTCTGGCAGTTCCTTAAAAAGTTAAACATAGAGTCATCATTTGACCCAACAATCCTACTCGTGTGTGTGTGTGTGTGTGTGTGTGTGTGTGTGTGCATTCCTAGGAGAAATGAAAATATATGTCCACACAAACATTTGTACATAAATGTTCATAGCAACATTACTCATAACAACCAAAGGTGGGAACAATCCAAATGTTCATCAATTGGGTAAACAGATAAATAAAATGTGGTATATCCACACAATGGGATACTATTTGGCTGTAAAAAGGAATGAAGTACTGATACATGTTACAATATGGAAGAAGCAGCCAGTCACAAAAGATCATATGTTTTATGATTTTATTTATATGAAATATCCAGGAAAGTCCAAATGTATAGAAGCAGAAAGTAGATCAGTGTTTGTCTAAGACTGGGGCTTTGGGGGCCTAGGGAGTGACAGTTAGAGGATATGAGGTTGCTTTTTGATGTGGTGAAAATGTTCTAAAATTGACTGTGGTTATGGTTGCATAACTGTGAATGTATTAAAAGCCACTTAATTGTATACTTTAAATGACTGAATTGTATGGCATGTGAATTACATCTTATAAAGCTGTTGCAAAAAAGAAGGCATGGAAAAGGACTTTAAAAATCCAAATATGAATTAATTAGTGAAACCGACATTTGTAGTTGGCAGGATCCTTGATAACAAGGTAGCCTCTAGGATACTTGGTGTAGCGAGTTGAGTAATGAGACATGGCAAGTCCAACTTCGGATGTGGCAGGGAGATAAAGAGTAGGCAGGAGGGAAGAGATGGCAATGTAAACATCTTATCTGGAGAAGGAAGCACTCTGGAATCTTTGTGGCTAGGAATGTTGTACCCACACTTCATTAGACCAAACTTCTCTAAAGCAGGAACTGCCTTATTTCCTTCTGTATCTCCAGTGGTTTGTAGAGGGCCTAGATTTTAGTGGATACTCAAACCTTGTCTTTTGAGTGCATAATTAATAGAATAGATATTAAACCTGTAGGTGTCCAGCATGACTATGTGGACAAGTCATGCCCATGATGAGGTTTTTATCAGTCTGAGGATAAATGAGAAAAATAAGGTCAATAGGGCATTCGTATTAGCTGAAAGAAGTAGGCAGAAAATCAATACAAATATAAAAGACTTAAAAGACTTGGACAGTACTATCAACCAACTTGATCTAATTGATATTTACAGAACAGTCATCCCAACAACAGAATATACATTATTTTCAAGAACACAAAATATTTATAAAGATAAACCATATTCTGGATTATAAAGCAAGTTTCAATAAATTTAAAAATATTAAAATCAAACAAAATATGTTGACTCCAATGGAATTAAATTAAAAACAAATAACAGAAAAATGTTTGGAAAAATCACTGGAAACTTGGAAACCAAATAACACACTTCTAAACCTGAGAGCCAAAGAAGAAATCAAAAGGAAAGTTGGAACGTATTTTAAATTGAATTAAAATGAAAACACAGCATATCAAAATTTGAGGGATGCAGCTAATAAAATATTTATAGTGAAATTTATAGCAGTAAATGTCTATATTATAAGAAAAGAAAGGTTTTTAAATCAATGACTTCAGTTTCCAAATAAGTAACTACAAAAAGAAGAGCAAATTAAACTGAAATAAATCAGAAGACAGGAGATGACAAAGATCAGAATAGAAATAAATGAAACAGACAACAAAAATATAGAGAAAAATCACTAAAGCCAAAAGCTGATTCTTTGAGAAGATTAATAAAGTTGATGGATCTCTAGCCAGACTGATCAGAAAAAAGGGAGAAGATGCATATTTACAATATGATAAATTCGAGAAGTGACAACACTACAGATGCTGCAGACATTATAATTATAGTCTGAGAACATTGTAAACAATATTATAAATAAACTTATGCCAGTAAATTTGGCAAATTAGACGATGTGGACAAAGTCTTTGAAAGACAAACTATCAAAGCTGACTCATATATACCTAAATAGCATTCTATCCATTAAATAAATTGAATTTTCAGTTCAAAATTTTCCCACAGGCCATGGACAGTGGTTCATGCCTGTAATCCCAGCACTTTGGGAAGCCGAGGTGGGTGGATCACTTGAGGCCAGGAGTTAGAGACGAGCCTGGTCGACATGGTGAAACCCCATCTCTACTAAACATACAAAAATTAGCTGGTGGTGGTGGTGCATGCCTGTAATCCCAGCTACTCGGGAGGCTGAGGCAGAAGAATCTCTTGAACCTGGGAGGCGGAGGTTGCAGTGAGCCAAGATCATGCCACTTTACTCCATCCTGGGTGACAGAGCAAGACTCCATCTCAAAACAAAACAAAACAATCCCACAAAGAAAACCAACTAAAGGTGGCTTCACTGATGAGTGCTGCCAAAGATTTAAGGAAGAATTAATACCAATTCTACAAAAGTCTTACAGAACATCAAAAAAGAAGTCAATACTGCCAAACTCATTCTGAGGTCATCATTACCCAGACACCAAAACCAGACAAAGACATTACAAGAAAATAAAACTTTAGACCAATAGTCCTCATGAACATAGAAGCAAAATTTCTTAACCAAATTTTAGTAAATCAAACACACAAATACATGTACAAAAAGGAATATACATTATGACCAAGTAGGATTAATCCCAGGAACGAAAGGTTGGTTTGATGGTCAACTACAATAACATACTACAAAAGAAAAACCACATGATTTTCTGAATAGATACAGAAAAAGCACTGATGACATCCAACCTCCATTCCTGATAAAAGCTCTCGGCAATATAGGAATAAAAGGGAACTTTCTCAACTCTATAAAGGGCATCTATGAAAGTTAACATCATACTCAGTGGTAAAAGACTGAATGCTTTCCCCCTGATCAGATGCAGACAGTAATGTCTGTCCTCACTATATCTATACAAGATTATACTGGGAGTTCTAACCAGTTCAATTGGGCTGAATCAGGCCGAGTAAGATTGAAAATATGATCTAAATTCTAAACTGAAATAAACAAAAACAAGCAAACAAATAAAAAGGCCAAAATAATTTTTTTAAAGTTGCTTCTTTTCTTCTTTTAGGCATATTTATTAGTACAAATTAGGCTAATAAATTGTTCCTGATAAAGATTCTTAGGAGGCCTACATCAGTTAAAAATACAAGAATAATTTAAAATTTAATGGTTTCTGGATCTTTATGCCTCAATAACCCTGTTTATACTCTTAAAATCCTTACCAAAACATGCTTTCCTTCATGTAATTTACTTTGTTAACAATGCAGAGCTAAGTTCCAGCCCCAGTTTATGAAGTCAGCATTACTGTGGTTTCTTGTGTGAGAGTTTTCTGACCACTTCTCTGAGATCACTGACCTCCCTTATCTGTGCCTGTATCTAGGTACTGTGTTACTGTCCTCCACTGTCCTCTCAGGAGTTATTTTTGTCCCATTTTCTTTCTTTATTCATTTGTTTATTCAACAAGTATTTATTGAGGGACCACTACTGGCCAAGCAGGCACTGTTTTAGAAAGAAGAAATACAGTAATATTCAAGATGGACAGAGATGTCTAATAGACTCCAACCTGGTTGGCTGTGTGCACTCTCAATTATTTGCACACTATACTTTCTCTTTGTGTAAGGACCGAGGTGTCAGGACAATTGTTGAACACCCAGGGTTCAAGGCAGTGGACCAGTGTCTTCACTTGGAAACCACTGGCTGATCTGGCAGCCTCTCAGGAGCTAGAAGGCATGTGGTGCCCAGAGGGCAAAAGTCATTCTTTTAGCAACTCCTTTGGCCTCTTTGGGGAACAGATCACCTGGAGCAGATGTAGCTTTTTTACTAGCTAGATATATTACTTTAGGAAAATCATTCTGACTTCTCTGGGTCTTACCCTCCTCACCTACAAAAGAATAATACTCAAGACTAATATTTACTGCACATAGTATATAGGCACTATCCTAAGCACTCTGTGCATATTAAGTAATGGTATCCTCATAATAAACTTAACAAGTTTCATGATCTCTATTTCTCAGGTGAGAGAGAAAAGTGAGGCACAAGGACACTAAGTGACTGCCCAAGGTCATAAGGCAATTAGGTGGCAATTAAAATTTAAACCAACTCAGTCTGGCTTGAGATTCCAAACTGTTAACCATTACACTATACTACCTACTCACATGCAGGAGTGAAATTAGACATCTATTAAGTTGCCTATCTCTAGTTACAACAGGTTAACTGGTATAAAATGTAGGTTGAGAAAATGGACATATTTTAAAAATGAAATGGTAGAGATGTGTAATGCTTGTGGCAACATGAGGGGCCATAAGTGGGAAAATGGTCTAACCTGAATGACATCCTGATCTCCATGAGTAGCCAGGACTTCCCCACCTGGGGACTTTCCGTTATTTTTTTTATCAACTTTTTTGAGGTATAATTTATATACACTCATTTTAAGTGTATAGTTCTGAATTTGGGCAAATGTATATGCTTGGTAACTACCACTGCCACCTTCCCAAAAGGTTCTGTGGTGTCCCTGAAAGTCAACCTCTACCCACTTGCAGCCTTAGGCCACCACTGATCTGCTTTCTTTCTGTCAGTAGAGACAGAGTATCGCATAAATGAAATCATACACTATGTACTATTTTTTTTTAGTCAGTATTCTTTTGCTTAGCAGGACATTTTGTGACCTTTCCTCCAAGGAGTAGATCCTTCTCCGTATCCACAAATTTTATCTACCCTTCAAGACTCGTCTCAAATGATATTTTTTTTTCCTTACTTCAAATCCTAACCTGAATTGTATTGTACTATGTCCTCACAGCAGGTATATAAATAAAATCACATGAGTGTGGAATATTTTCTACTCAAAATTTGTACGTTATCCACTTATAATCAATAAATTATTATGCTTACCAAGTCATATCTCTAAGTCACCTCTTTAAACATCTTTAATATTTCTTTTGGCAGGCTGACTTGCAAGTTTTGCATTTGGGCGTTTTATTTTCTGCATAATATCTTGCCTTTAATTCACATAACAGGGAAGATGGAGATGAAAACCATTTCACTCCTAAGAGCAATGACAGGGAATCTTTAAATTGATAATGATTGATCCACAAAAAAAGCAACATAAGTTAGAAGATAATTTAGATATCTGCCCGAGAGAGAACACTCTTTTTATTATTTATTTATTTATTTTGAGACGGAGTCTCGCTCTGTTGCCCAGGCTGGAGTGCAGTGGTGCGATCTTGGCTCACTGCAATTTATGCTTTCTAGGTTCAAGCAATTCTCCTGCCTCAGCCTCCTGAGCAGCTGGGACTACAGGTGCCTGCCACCACACCCGGCTAATTTTTTGTATTTTTAGTAGAGACAGGGTTTCACCACGTTACCCAGGCTGGTCTCGAACTTCTGACCTCATGATCCACCCACTGTGGCCTCCCAAAGTGTTGAGACTATAGGTGTGAGCCACTGCCCCTGGCTTCTTTTGCTTTTAAAAAGGAACTGACAGTTCCTTTTAAAATGAAATATAAAATTTTACTTGAGATTATTATCCAATATTATATGCTTCCAAATTATTTATTTTATTTGGGGAGTAATATGAGGAAAAAGAATAAACGAAGGGGAAGAGAAACAAAAAAAGCTAGTAGAAAGATCCAAACATAGGAGTACTGCTTGAACCTGGGAGGCGGAGTTTGCAGTGAGCCAAGATCGGGCCGCTGCATTCCAGCCTGGGTGACAGAGCAAGACTCTGCCTCAAAAAAACAAAACACAAACAAACAAAAAGATCTGAACATAGAACATAACATACAGACACAAAGAGACTTACAGGCTCACAAAGAAAACACCACCAAGAAAGACACATAGATCTAAAAGAGGGGCAAATACAGGACATGCATGCACTTAGAAGCTAACATACTCTTTTATGCCATAATATTCCCATCTTGTGGTCTTTTAGGGTATTTCCCCTAAAAGATTTTAAAGTCAAACGGTTGCTCATTATAAGCATAAATGGAAATCACCTCTTGGCACACATTCTTAGTAGCGTCAATTGAATTAAACTGAACATTAGAGACTAGAAACCCCCCCACTCTGGTCTAGGACTTCCAGCTCTTATACAGATAATGAGGGCCAGGTCACACAGATAATGAACAAGATAATGAAGTTCATTATCTTGCCCAGTTCCTGTGGTAAGAGCATGGGGAAGATCCAGGCCCAATTCCCTTCTCTAACGCCAGCCATGTTTTCTTATCTCCCTTCCATCTTCTCTGGCTGTCCTCACAATTTATCCCCCATTCCCCAACTTCCAGCAGTACCAGGAATTCCTAGAAAGATCAGCTCCATCTGACTTCCATCTTCACCATGGCTGCACGCCTGTTTTCTGACTAGTGAGTGTTGGTGTGAGGTGCAGGAGAGTAGGAAGCACACCTTGTGCATGATCATCCTGAGAGAAGAAAGAAGGTGATTTCATACTTACATGATGTTCCACTCAAACTTGATAGTGGGCACGTGACCAAAGCTTGTCCAAACAGAGCCTAGAATACCTTGGCCACAGTGATTGATTCAAGAATGGGTTGTTGGCTCAAACGGTTCCCTGCAAAGGCCTATAGGTAGTGTTGACAGGTCAAATCAACTAGACTGCTATTCACTCATTCATTCATTCAATGAATATTCCAGCGACAGGCATTCTGAACATAGTACTGAACAATACAGGCATGGTTCTGGATCTTATGAAGCTTAGAGTACAGCAAAGGAGTAGTGAAGAGAGAGCTGGGAAGGGATGTGAGGAGGGCTTGGGGGTCTCCAAGAAGAGGTCAGGAGGCAATTGTGAGTTGTATGCTCATAAATCACCTGCTAGTGCTACTTTTGAGGCATATGAGTTGACTGATAAATATTTTTTTGGGGAGAAAGAAAGGAAAAAAATTGTGATTGACCCTTATAACCAGAATTTTAACTAATAAGTGTCTATTTCAGTCAATTAAAGAGCTGTGGAAGCTTAAGCTGGGTATATAAACATCAAAAATGAGGAAGCGAGAATGATCAGAAAATGTGTTGTGGGAATACGATTTGAAAAGACTTCCAGGGGAAAGTGGATTTTGAAAACAATTTAAATGTTCCTGGTGGAAAATGACAGCAGAGATAAAAATTGATGGCCCTTCTGGTGTGGGCTATGGCCTATGCAAAGATGCTGTGCCAAAAACTAATGAGTGATTTGTGAGGAGGTGTCATGCAGGTTGGCTTATAGGGGAAGAACTGAGAGAAGGCAGACATGGAGTTCCAGCTGGAGACTTGGATTAGATTATAGGTGATAAGTTTCCATATAGATCTTAATATTGAGAATGAATGAATAATTGCTAGTTGATTTCCTGATGAAGATATAGGTCTTAATAATGAGAATGAATAATTGCTAGTTCATCTCCTGGCCAAGACCTCAAATTCTGGAACGCCCATCCAACAGCCTGGGTTCCTGAGGCTCAAAGGAGACTCACACCAAGCACTCAGGACATTTTGGCCAATTTCCCATGTCATTCCTCCCTAGAGTTCTGATCCCATTTTCCTATCTGTGCTGTCTCCTGGGGAGATTTTTCCAGACCATGTAAGAGTCAGGAGAACATATCTTTACCTGGGCCATGGTTGGGTGAAGTGTCTGTGTAGTGGACATTTTGAATGTTGGCTGCTTTGCTTCTATTTCTTCCTCCTTTTGGTAATGGCATCCTGACTTCCCACTGGAGATTCACTCCCCCCTTACTCTAAGTCTATGTAGTCTGGAGGACTGCTAGCATCAGGGATGGATCCATGACTTAGGAATGGTCAATAAATGTGGTTTCTGGAACTTTTACAGGATATCTTGGGAAGTAAGGAGATCCTAGCTTCAAGCTGCTACAGAAGCTGAAAATTGCTAACCCTGGGGAATGAAGAACAGAAAGATGAGATGAAAATACCTAGCTGTACCTGGAACACTTCTGAGATTTTTAGTGACATGACCCACTCACTACATTTCCTCTTTTTTTGTTTATGCCAATTTGGTTAGGGCTTTCTATTACACAACTAAAAGTCCCAGTTGTGACTGTAGCCTGTCATGGCTTTTTTTTTTTTCTCACAGGTCCAAGGTCTGGTCTTGACCATCTGTATTTTATTTCCTTATCTGGAAGAGGAGCCATTGAAGAGTAGAACTGCCAAGTTTCCCCCTTGAAGCCTGTTTTTCCTTCAACCCTACTCTTGTCTTGCAGTTTTTTCAAGAACTGAGGTCCTCCTTGCATTGGACGTGAGAGGTAAGAAAGAAAAGACAATAGTAACAACCACCTAGAAGATTGCTCCCTTACTCCTCCTACTTAAAACCCCATACCTTAGCATCATCACTCCTGAAGACTTTAGAGTGCCTGACCTTTATTACAGCACCTCTATCTTGGCAAGGTAGGGGTTCCGTGTGAAGAAAGAAGCTCTGAGTACCCCACAGAAGTTAGAAACTTTAGCCAACAGTGATGGTTGGGTAAGAGGTTCCCATATAAGAAGGGCTGAGAACTTGAAGATTCTGGCCTATTTGACCAACTTAGACAGTCACTCCTTGTCTTTCATGAGAATCTCTACAGTGACTGATACAAGTTGTGTGCTTTTTGCTTCTTGGTATCCTTCCCAAAGGGTTTGTGGTGGTTGGGTTCTGTATACAAAGGTGTTCTAGTTATCATTTTTACCTAATTCATGGATTAATTAGAGCTGTACTGAAATCCTACTATAATAATCACACATCTGTTTAGAGCTTGAAAGTTTACAAATTGCTTTTACATATATCATGTCATTTAATGTCATGAACCTAAGTCAAAAGAACATTGAGTGGAAAGTAAGCTAGACATTAAGTCTGTGTCACAGATGGAGACACTGTGACTTACAGCCATGGTTTGCCTAAGATCACACAGCTAGGAAATGGGGGAGCTGGAGGCTGGCACATTCCATTCAAATTCAGGAATTCCCGCCCTCTCCACTGTCATGCAATCTCTCTGATAGGTCAGTTTGGAACTAAGGAAAATACAAAAGGAGTGTGAAACATGGTCTGATTGAAAAAAATAAGGCACATATGCAAGACCCGAACAGCTATTTAGGATATAAGCTCTTGAAATGAAAAAGATTATGATGTCTCTCCTGTGTGTAATTCAAAAATACAAAACAAGGCTAAACAAGTGTGGGAACTCCTCTTAAGTTCTGATTTTTTCTATGATAACCACTTCAGTGCTTCTTTTTGAAACACTCAATATCAAATCTTTTTACAAAGAGTTTTTGTTTTCTGTGTCTTTGATTTGCTTTTGTCCTAAGCTGTGCTTAGCTGACCTGCTGGGTGGCTTGGTATAGGCTGTCAGTAATGTAATGGCAAAAGTGGTGGCTAAACACAATAATACTAGCTTTATGCCACTTAGTATATGGAATGTAATAGGTACTCAAAAAATACTTCTTACTCACAAGGGAACAATATTGATAATTTAGACATTAGAAAAATACCCCACTCATTACTAAATCTGTTCTGGGATATTTGAAAACTTTTGGGGACCATACTTCAGTTATTCTGAATCACTGGACTAAAGAACAGTTGACTCAAGGCTTTAAATAGATAATCAAATTACTATCAATTTTGTTCAAATCAGTTGCTCAAGATTTAAAAAAGGTACTTTGAATCCAAAGCTCCATTTAGTGGCTTCATTTAAATATTGCCCTTTTCAAATGACCACTATTTTTCTTGCCTGGAGTTGCAGCCCAACTCTGCTTTATTATACAGCAAATTGCTATATAAGTGAAGGACGCACCTGCCACGCCTCAACTTTCTTGATGTCTGCACAGGAGCCATTGGTGAAGAGCCCTCTCCCAGGTAAGCAGGTATATATATCTTGCAAGGCGTGGGCAATGGAGTAGACTGCTAAGTACACATTGTAGGATATCCGTAAATGCGTGTAATCTATGTAAGGGGTCTCGACACTGCTGATGTTCTCATCCCCTGTACAGAGGGGTCGGAAGGCTGTCGAGCTGTTGCTAAACCTGTCGCCACTTTCTTCGTGACCTCTCAGAAAGGTGTCCACAGGTAAAGGTCCTTTTGCACCTTCTTGGAGGTGGCAGTTAAATGTTTCTTCCCAAAACTCCTTGGCAAAACCATTGTGGACAGACTTCCTGGGATGGACCTTCTTCAGGAATTCCCGGAAGCCTGGGATCTGCCCAGCCTTCAGAGCGAATCCAATGGTGCCGCCAACCACGTGGAAGTACTGAGGCATGGCGATCAGGGAGGAGCTGGCCCAGGCCTCGCTGGCCAGCCAGATCTTGCCCGTGATATTGCGCCGGACAATCTCCTTGATGAGGGGCTCAAGATCTGGGCCACTGGAGAAAACCACGATGACTTTGGCCGTGGAATTTTGAATCACCTCTACCACATGCTGGATCTCTTCCTCATCAGAGTACTGGGAGATGAGTTCACTGAAGTCGATGCAGATATCCCTTTCCTCAGCTTCCTCTCGGAATTTCTCAATCCCCGGCCGCCCATAGTCGTCATCAGCTGCAATTGTGCCCACCCAGTTCCAGCGGAAATACTCGATGATGTCTGCCATGGCAGTGGCCTGGTGCTCATCATTGGGGATGGTTCGGAGGAAAGACTTGAATTGATTCTTGTTGCTGAGGAGTCTGCTGGAGGAGGCATAACTGACCTGGAGAGAACCAAGAACATGGTGAATGAGTGAGTGAGTGAGTGAAGAGGTGCTGAGTGAGCCTCCAGGCTGTTGTGGAGGTGGCTTTCTGAGCATGCCTTGGTCTCATTTATCAACTATGCTGTTCACTGTATACAGGATGAAAGAAAGGGTAAGGAAAAGCAGCATCTGTTCCACTCCAGAGTGAGCACTTAAGCACCTTTCAGTCTTTGAGGGAGCATCCCAATTCCCAATGGATGATTCTTCACAATGCTAACTTCAAAACTGGGTCTGGCCATAAAATCAACCCAACAATAGTGGGATGTACTTAGCCTTTCAAGAAGAGTCTTTATGCACCGTTTCATGTCTTCTCTAACCTCCTCTGTGCTGCCTCATTGGTTATAATATATCCATGTACACAACTTTGGCTTGTTGGGCTCAGCTTCTGATCTGAAGAGTTTAACTTCCCTTTACTGCAATAAACACTTTGTTCATAATTTGCCTGTGGAAGGAATCGGGTTCCCCATGGATTATAAACTTAAGGCTCTTCAGAGGAGTCCCCGGGAATTCCCTTTTCTTATTCTGCCTAATTTCTCTCTTCCCCTCCTCTGGTTATTCCTCCTCCTCCCTCTCCTCCCCGCACCCCAGTACTTTAGAAAAAACTAAGCTTAATTGCAGTCATTTCTGAGAACTGTTTCTTTTAGGCTCAATTAGACCACTAAGACCACTAGGCTCAATCCCCCTGTATCACAATAACAATGACGTATGTAATTAAATATCATCAGAAAAACCTCCCTTCCTCTCCATCCCACTATTGTTGGATTGATTTTATGGCCAGACCCACTTTTTTTTTTTTTTTATTATACTTTAAGTTCTAGGGTACTTGTGCACAACGTGCAGGTTTGTTACATATGTATACATGTGCCATGTTGGTGTGCTGCACCCATTAACTCATTGTTAGCAGACCCACTTTTGAAGGTCGCATTGTGAAGAATCTTCCATTGGGAAGCACCTTCCAGAGCCCTTTCCTTTATTCAGTTATAGGTGATGGCTGAGCCTGCTTGACAGGCTTTTGATATGGGTCTTGAAAATCTTAAGAGGCTGAACAGGAACCCTGGAGAAGCTGTCTTGACATGTTTGCACTCTCTAAGACATAGCCACTTCTGCA
The DNA here is from genome assembly GCF_000001405.40 of Homo sapiens. Classification (NCBI taxonomy): domain Eukaryota; kingdom Metazoa; phylum Chordata; class Mammalia; order Primates; family Hominidae; genus Homo; species Homo sapiens. The sequence goes on along the minus strand of NC_000003.12, from coordinate 122,260,380 downwards.
TCTGAGCAAGGGTGTGGACTACCAAGGGAAGAAAGTCTTGCCCTTGATGTTAAGAGATCGTTGCTTGAAGAAGTAGCCAAATACCATGTAAAGCATTAGTTAGTGCAGAGCTTTCCCACTTCTTTTCACATTATGGCAACACATGGAGCAAACAGAGGAAGCTGATCAACCCTGGTGGGAGTGCTCTGACCACTCAGGCCCCACCTGGTCACCCCAACACTTGAGGAGATCCACATCTTTGATGAGGCCGGCTTCAGCTCATTTGCAGCACTCTGTGTCATCATGGCTCACCACTTAGGAAGTTCCAAGTTATGGGACCATTTTTTCTGAAGAACGAAACATTTTTACACAAATGGAATTTCTTCTAGGAAATGAAGTAGCTTAATATCTTGTGTTCTCTAGTTTTTCCAGAGAGATTTTAAACTTCTTAAGAAAACAAGTCAAAGGTATTTGGGAGAATGCCTTTTTAATATCTTTCACCATTTAAAACAATTAATTTTCCATGTCCAATATTTTTAAGTAAAAATTTCCAGACCATCCTGGCTAACACGGTGAAACCCCGTCTCGACTAAAAATACAAAAAATTAGCCGGGCGTGGTGGCGGGCGCCTGTAGTCCCAGCTACTCGGGAGGCTGAGGCAGGAGAATGGCGTGAACCCGGGAGGCAGAGCTTGCAGTGAGCTGAGATCCTGCCACTGCACTCCAGCCTGGGTGACAGAGCCAGACTCCATCTCAAAAAAAAAAAAAAAAAAATTTCCAATGTGTTTCTTCTTATTGATGGATAGTTTCTACATTAGAAACATAAAAGGCGTTGGTCTGTAAAAAAATTAGGCCAACTTGACTAAAAAGTAAGTATGACTGTTTTCTGACAAGAGCTTTTATTTTAGAAGTTATAGTATAAAATTGATAATTTTTTCCCTTATCAGAATAAGGTATTCTCGAAATACCACAGAACTTATGAGGCAGGTGGTTAAATTAAGTAATTTGTTTAGATGTTATTGTTTTTCAGAGAATTCTGTTAGCAGACCCAAACAATAGGCCTCTAAATCAGATTTTTGCAAACACAAAACCTACCATTTTAAAAAATCCATCCATTATTGCTTGCTTCTTGAGTTTTTCAAAAATAGGTCAAAAGGGCTTCAATGGAATAAAAATCAAAAACAATAATATTCCTCATGGATATGTTCTCTTAAGGAACGTATTTATAATGTTTACCAAGTTTTTAAAAAGCAACTCTAAAGTGGGGTAAATACCATTTTGTGCCCCAACCCCCCAAAAAACCCCTCAGAAACACACAAAACTTTTTTTTATTGTAAGAGGGGAGAATTTCAAGAATGATTCAGAAAACTGTTCCAACCGCAATTTGTCTAGCTGGTCTGCTTGTTCCATCCACTTGGTGGCGTGGCTGGCATACGAAATACCCCTGGGTCCATGACCTCACCCGGCAGGGCAGTGGTTCCCAGCCCAGCTGCACATTAGAATCACTTCCAGAGTGTTAAAACCTCCCGACACCTAGGCTGCATCTCAGCTCAATTAAACCTTGATCTTTGCGGAGTGGGACTTAGGCACCAGTATTTTTAAAGCTCTCTAAGTGATTCCAATAGGTAGCCATGGCAGACATGGCAGAGAACCCCTACTGTAGATAGACTTATATTGGTTTGATTGATAATCAAAGCACTTTTATAATTCAAACTCAACTTAACCTTATCTTTCATCCAAAACACAAAGAATTAACACGCCCCTCCCCTTTTCATGTTCTTTCTTTACTTGACATCTTAGCCTGTTGGCCATGGGGTAACAATAACTTACTTTAACGTGTATCTAAGTTTGAATATACGCAGCACATTTACTGATACAGGCTTTGTCAGATCACTTTGGCACAAAAGTTACAAAGCCAGGGCTTCCCCATGGGAAACACCTTTAATTCCCTGAAGTAAGGATTCCGTCAATGATGACAAAACTATCTCTTGTCTCATGTATATAAAGAGATAATGGCAATCACCAAAAAAAAAAAAAAAAAAAAGGAGCCCTCCCAACATAGAAATGTAAATTTATCAAAGGTACTCTTACAAATTTTAAATATTAAACATTCAAAAAATAAATTTAAGGTATAGTTTATAGTTTAATTTCAAACTTGATGTAAGGATGCATCACAATTGAGCTGATTCTCCCACCCACAGACATTTAGGTTGTTTCCATTTTTTCACTATTATAAAATGATGTCATAGATTTATAAATATTAAACTGAAAAATGCTTTGCTCTATAGCGTTAAGAAGGAAAATGTCAGGTTATAAAATGGCACTTCACATTTGTTATCTTTTTTTGGTGAAAAAAATGCACCACTGAATGTTTATTAAAGCACTTGCTTCAATAAACTGTTAGTAAATGGAAACGCAACCATCTCTCCACCTAGGCTAAGTTCCCGCAAAGTGGAGACCGCTTATACATATATGCTCAATAAATATTTTTTGAATGAAATAGAATTTTCTCCGTTTCTGGAATGTGCAACACAATGATTAAGTTCCTGTTTTGTGAGAAAATATGCTCTGCTTCCCTCTGAGCTAAAGTTTCAATGAGACAGTGGAGCAGCGAGACTTTTCAGGAAATGGAATTCGGGACAGATATTTTGGATTTGAGAGGTGGGATTTACCTCATATGCTCTGATTCCTTTTAGTAAAAGTAGAAGGAAAAAAAATTTACTAAAGGAATAGAGTGGGAAATAAATAACTGAATGCCTCTTTTTAAAAAAAGACACAGTTTTATGCAAGGTACATTTAAAAGAATTTTGGAAGCATAGTGAAGGTATCATTGATATTGTGGACACTGGAGTTTCAGAAATCCCAAATGGTCATGATACAGCATATCAACTAAATCATAGGTCTTTTGTGCCAGAGATGGGAATATGGTAAACCGTATGGCTATTGGGCATGGCACCCCCAAGCCTGCTTCTTCTGATCCTGCTCCCAGTGCCCCGCCTGAGAAGGCTTGAGTACCTGGGGAATGTAGAAGAGCCCCAGCAGATTTGCCACTGCCGTGGAGACGCCTGAGCCAGTTGCTCCCACCACAGCAATCGTAGAGGGAATGTGCTCTGAGCAGTTGCAGAACTCATCAAGGTTCAAAGAATCAATTTTGTTTTGAGCAACAAAACTCAGGGTGGCTTCCAAGGCCTTAGAAACGGTGTTGCAAGTGTCAAATATCCTGTATCCCAGCGTCAAGTTGGGAAGAAGGGCTGGGCTGCTGTTTATCTCCTCTATGGCAAATATCATAGCCTGTAACCAGCGAAACCCACGGAAATTATACCTGGAAGAAAGAAGAAGTGGAAGAAAATGGGAAGCTTTCTAGTCAACGACTTTAGAGTAAAGACCTGGCAAAGCTGGGTTTGAATCATCGAACTGTTACTACTCTCTGGCTTCATGGCATGCTCTGTACAGAGCCCTCTCTGTTAAAATGGGGATGACATGGCCGGGCGTGGTGGCTCACGCCTGTAATCTCAGCACTTCGGGAGGCCGAGGCGGGTGGATCACTTGAGGTCCAGAGTTCAAAACCAGCCTGGCCAAAAACATGGCGAAACCCCGTCTCTATTAAAAATACAAAAATTAGCCAGGTGTGGTGGCAGGTGTCTGTAATCCCAGCTACAGGGGAGGCTGAGGCAGGAGAATTGCTTGAATCTGGGAGATGGAAGTTGCAGTGAGCTGAGATTGTGCCACTGCACTCCAGCCTGGGTGATAGCGTGAGACTCCATCTCAAAAATAAATGAATAAATAAAAATAAAAGGAGGATGACACTTGCCTCATAGGGTGACTGTGAAGATCATGACATGAGCTAATTATGCAAAATCTTCAGCATGGTGCCTCACACAGAGACAGAGAGCAATAATGACAATAATAAAAATAAAAAGAAGAATAAAAGATTGCTATTTGTAATTCATTGAATAATTTGTATCTGTCTTCTGCAGTAATGAATTTGAAGTAGCTGATATGAGGTACTTAAATAAAAGCAATATGTAGATGTACAAGAAAAGGACCAGGAAAACATAAATACATTAGGATATTAATATGTGGGTGCCTAAAAATAACCTCAGATCAGATTTGCAGAGTCATATGTTTAGACTATGACATTCCTGAAGGTCAAGGGGAAAGGGACGTGAATGATCTCATTTTTGTAAACAAATAACAAACCTATGAAGGCCATACACAGACAGTCTGGGGTGTACAACAGTGGTTATTTCTGGGAGGTGGAATGCTGAGTTTTAAAATTATGTGCTTTTGGCTTATTTATACTTTATATCTAAAAAATGAACATGCATTGCTTTTCAAAGAAGAACATTTTAAATAAAAATCAAACAAGTTAACAAGAGAAATAGGGTCAGTGACATAGTTTTCACTTCCCTAGCACTTTGCTCAGAGTCAGGGCTCAGTAAATGTGCTGAATCAGTGTATTTGTGTCTAGAGGAAAAAACAACTCACCAGGTTCTTTATATTGTGGGTTTCACTACTTGAACTCAGTGACAGTGACAGGAGGTGAGATATACAATCTTTTATACTCCATTGTATTGTTAGGTTCCCTAAGCTCTTGGTCTAACTTTTAATGTGATGTTTTCTGTTACCATTTTCTTTAAGTTTCCTTCATGTATTTGTTTAACTATTTGTTTTAAATCTACAAAGTTATTATGAAATATTACAGATTTTTTTTACATTAAACATCTTTGCTGCTAAGCTAATTTTATTATCTTTAACATAATTTAAAAATATATATTATTTTAGGGCAAGCCTCTTGCTTGATCTTAGGTCTGTATACACATGGCACATGTACAGCTCTGTGCAGCAGGGTACAACAGAGTATTTGTCCACATGGGTTATGTGAAGGATATCATCAGCATCAGTGCGATTCTGCACTTAGATTTCCTGCATTCATAAGAAAAATGTGAAAATATTATCAATTTACTAGCTCTCATTAGAACATGAACAGAAATCCAGTTTTATTGGAACAATCCTAGTTTTCATTTTCATTTTCCAGCTATTGGGAAGAGCAAGGAAAAGTGCTGGATCCCTTCTGGAAGTTGCAAGTCTCTCTAGAAGATGGGTCAAGATTTGGAGCACAGTCAGTCTCCAGTGTAGATTAGGGGAGGTGATAAACAGTCCCAACCATATTCTGCAGAAGTCAGATCCCATTTAAAGAGATGTGCCTCACCCTGGAGACTATATTCTAAAAGGGTCGCAGTAAATTAGGGGGCATCAGATGGAGGACAACCAGGATGATGACGGGTCTGGAAAGCATATCATGGAGAAAATGATGATAAAACAGACTATGTGGCTTGGAGAAGAAAATATTTGATGAGACATATTAGCTCTCTTCAAGTGGCCACAGAGAGAATCTATTGAGAGAGTGAGATGCATTCTTGGCAGGGTGGATGGGGGGTGGGGAGGGTGGCAAGGGGGGATAACCTTCCTATGCAAAAGACTTTTTGATGGCAGTAGTTCCAAAATGCTATGGACTACATTTTACAGTTTGAAGATGCCTGGGTCATGCTGACTACTGTGGTTTCTTTCAACTTAAATGCCTTAAAAAAAAGAAAGAAAAAAAAGAAAAAGAGTGAGGCAGCCAGCACTCAGGTATTACTATCCATTGGAGCATGTAAGGTCAATGGGGGATTTTACTACTCAGGTTTGCAAGACCTGCAATAAATTTCCTTCTAGGTACTTAGTCTTCCATTAAGCAACACTGCTGCCAGGTGAACGATGATAACTTGGTCACCAAATGACCACCAGGTGCTTTAACAGGCCATGCATGGATTTTCTACTTAATATCATTGACATTTTATTTAAAAAGAAGTCTTCAGGAAAAAAAAGGCAGGTTGTGGGGGCAATAAGCTTCAGCATGATTACCAATCAATCACTATTCTTGAAAAGATAGGACAAAGTTTGAAAAAATTATTTTGCGTTTGGTGCAGCTTTTCTCCAACCACTCAGAAGAGAAGAGATTGGCAGATTAGGCCCCTCTTCTTACCTGATACATTCCACAGACTCCGGCCTTGATTTGAGATCTTGATCTTTAGCTGCTACTCCAAAATGAATAGGAAAGAGCCCCCCAAGGATAATGTCCCCCTTCTTTTGGGCTCGCTGGTCTGGCCCGTAGGCAGAGGTGTGCCAGGTGAGTGCCAAGAGGACCCAGCAGCAGCTATAAAATGCCATGGTTCTGCCGTCTCTCCAGGGCAAGGGATGAGACAGCTAGGAGTTTGGAGGCTCCCAGAAGTTTCTCCCTTGGAGCAGTTCACTCCCTGCAGTGGGGACACATGTCTACAGATTGATTAATAAAATAATAGAAGACGTGGTGTTTGAATCTCCATTTCTGCCTTCCTCAATCCAGACTTGTAATGTGGGTGGTCCTTGAGTCTTTGGAAGCCACATCATGCAGAGGCCTCCTGTGATGCCTTCTAAAAGAAAAGAAAGACAAAATGGATTCAGCTAAACCTCAATCCCATCTTGTGATGACCACTGCAACTAAGGTGGCTCAGAATTTCCATTTAGAGGGGCCTAGGGGTGGCAGACTGAAAAGGCCTGGCTTGGAGTCACATTTTTATAGCACTTCATGTAAAATACAGGAAACGTCAATTGCCCATATTGGGGAAGAACTATGTTAGGTTATGAGAGGTCAAATTTTAAAGAGGCCCTTGATAACCTAAGACCTCTGCTGGTGCTGATGCTGGATTTTAATCCATTCATTTTCCTGTGTGAATGAGGCATAAATTTGGCCTATTAGTAGCAGAAGCTCCTTTTGTTATAATAATATTAGAGATATTTTATTCAGCATGTAAGTTCTTATAGAAAATATAGAATGAAGCTGGGTGCAATGGCTCACGCCTGTAATCCTAGCACTATGGGGAGCTGAGGCAGGTGGATAACCTGAGGTCAGGAGTTCAAGATCAGCTTGACCAACATGGTGAAACCCTGTCTGTACTAAAAAAATACAAAATTAGCTGGATGTGGTGGCATACGCCTGTAATCCCAGCTACTTGGGAGGCTGCGGCAGGAGAATTGCTTGAATCTGGGAGGTGGAGGTTGCAGTGAGCCGAGATCGTGCCATTGCACTCCAGACTGGGCAACAAGAGTGAAACTCTGTCTCAGAAAAAAAGAAAGAAAATAGAGAATGAGTCATATTTAAGCTTAAATCTGACTTTGAACCAAACAAAAATGTTGGAAAAGACCACTTATTCTTTATTTTTTATGATAGTCTCCTTTTTTTGTGCAGGTCTCTGGTTTCAGTTTGTAATATGACACCCTGTAAGCCTTTTAAGAACAGTTCTTATACGAAATTCAGAGAAATCATGGATTAGATTGTGTTTTACAAAGATCAACAGCTGGATATAGGAGAAAGCCCTCCTGCTATACTATGATTAGTAGAGTAGGAACTCTGCTCTTCTCACTCCGCACCCTATCTCACTCACCCTGTGAGTCAATTACCAATTACAGGTTGATGGGGCTAAATATCCAGCCTGTCTTGAGGCTCAGGGCCAAGCACTGGACTGCCAACTGGACACTGCCACATGAATGTTCCACAGATTCTTTGAATTTAACAGGCCCTAAACTTACCTCCCTACTGGACTTGTTTCTCCCTCACTGTTTTCTATCTTAGAAGATTACATGCCATCCACAGAGACACAAAATAAGGAGCCATCTTTTCCTCCTTTCTGTTCTCATCATTGTCCTTCATATTTACACAATCCCTAAGCCCTGTAGATTCTACTTCTTAATTCTCTCTGGAATCCATTTACTCCTCGCCATTTCCAAGATTATTTTTAGTCCACCATCATTTATTTCTTTTTCTTTTTCTTTGTCCCTCTCCCCTCCCCTCCCCGCCTTCTTTCTTTCTCTCTCTCTCTTTCCCTTCCTTCCTTCCCTCCCTCCCTTCTTTTCTTTTCTTTCTTTTCTTTTTTTTCTTTCTTTCTTTCTTTCTTTCTTTCTTTCTTTCTTTTTCCTTCCTTCCTTCCTTCCTTCCTTCCTTCCTTCCTTCCTTCCTTCTTTCTTTCTTTCTTTCTTCTTTCTTTCTCTCTCTTTCTTTCTCTCTTCCTTTTTCTCTTTCTTTCTGACAGAATCTGGCTCTGTCGCCCAGCCTGGAATGCAGTGGCGCCATCACAGCTCACTACAACCTCAACCTCCCAGACTCAAGCAGTCCTCTCACCTCTGCCTCTTGAGTGGCTGGGACTACAAACACATGCTACCCACACCTGGCTAATTTTAAATGTATTTTTTTATAGAGATGGGTCTCACTCTGTTGTCCACAGCTGGCCTTGAACTCCTAGGCTCAAGTGATCCTCCCACCTTGGCCTCTCAAAATGCTAGGGTTGCAGGTGTGAGCCACCATGCCTGGCCCTGCCATCATTTTTAACCTGGATTTCTGCAACTATTTCTTAACTGGCATTCTCATCTCCAGTTTTGCTCTTTTGCAATTTGCAAATCTTTGGATGCCACAGGACAAGTGCTTTGGAGCACAGGCTCTGGATTCACACCTGGCTTTGAATCATAGTTCCACTACTTTCTAATATGACTTTGGGCAAGTCACTTAATGTCTGTGATCTAAACAAAATAATGCATGGAGAGCCATTAGCACAATGTAACTAGTAAACTCATAGAAAATACTGGCTTTAATGAATACCCTTCCACTCTTGTTAGTCTTCTCTTTGTATGTCACACTCCAACCTTGCTGAACTTCTTTCAGTTCCTCAAGTACATCAGGCTTTTAAAATGCTCAGATCTCACACTTGCTGTTCCCCTCCTTGGTCCCTGTGGCCTAAACTTGGCCTGGAAAACATCTACTTATCTTTGAGCTTTCAGATGTCCTTAATTGCAGGGCATGTCTGGGTGAACTGTAGGCCTTCGGGTGAATGAGGAAAAGAGCTCCTTCTGGGGAGCACACGGCTTTGAGTCAACGTGCACAGCTTTAGTGGAACACAGATTGGATTTCAGCCCACATTAACCCCTCAGTTGTGCAGTAAGCAATTTGCAAGGCTTTTGAAGGAGGACTTCCCTGAACCCTTAGGTGAGGGGAGGTCCACCTGTAAGAACATAGTCTCTTATGTCTTGGATCTTGGAGCTTCCCTCTTGGAAGGTTCATCACACTTTATTACAGTTATGTTCATAAACGTCTGATTCCAGAGCTCAATCTCTTAATCATTGTCATATGGTGCCTCTTGCTCCTTAGGAATTCCACCTTCTCCTCCAACAGCATTCCTAGCAGAGTGTGCTGAGCCTCAGGTGGAAGGATGACCCCAGCAGACGCTCAATTTTCATGGAGTCTCCTCCTGTAATGTCTGAACATCCATGACCATCCCAGTTTTCTGACCCTAGTCCTGCTTTTAGATTTTTGGCCTCATTCCTTGGACCCTGGTCATATGTTCACTCATACATTTAATAAGTACATGTGCTGGGAATATAAAGGTGACAAACACATGCATGTTTATATCCTCAGGAGCTCTCAGTCCAGGGGGTAGACATGCTGGGCTAAATGATCAGAATTTACCTTAACACTCAGAAGTGGAAAAAAAAAAGTAACTTTTTCTCTAAATTCAACTTTGTCCTGCAGCACTTACTTCGTACAGTGTCTGAAATAGTAAATGCTGAATAAATGTTTATCGAATAAAAGCATTAAAAAAGAAAGTACTTTGGAAGGAGACAGAAACTAGCATTTATTGATCCAGGCATTGTGCCAGATCCCTTAAACATTCCATGTATTTTGAACTTCACAACAATTTTGTAATGAGGGTAATACCAAGTCCACTTTCTAGATAGGGAAATAGATTCTTTGTATATTCAGCTTACTCGAGTGAGCAGTTTTGGCACTTGTCTTAAGAATGCCTTAAGAACTCAGAATTTTAAGGAGTCCCATGGACTGAATTAGATGGGAGAGAGAACATTATAACTGGCTAGGGTTAGTCACTGAGACCTGTTAAATTTTTCCTGTGAAATATTAACTACTTGGAGTTTATTAACTTAATTAGTTCATTCAACAGAAAATTAATGGCAATAAGGAATAGAGGAAGGAGAGATTTGGGGTCAATTTGTAGCAGTTAACTCTCTCAGTCTAACATATTCTTCAAACCACCCTTTTGAGTTCAGTTGTCAGGGTCGAATTTGCTTCCAAAGCTGAGGGTCATTCTAGATCCTCCATCTCCCTGTCCTCCAACATCCAGTCTCCTGGTCCTGTGATTCTGCCATTGCTTCCCACTCTGCCTTCTCCTACACACTCCTGTGGCCAGTGCCTTCGTCCAGCTCCCATCACCTTCCACCTTCCATGTTGTAAAAGCTTTATTTTCTTTGTACTTGACTCCTGGTTGCCCCTTATCCCTTCTCCCCGCTTCCTCTATTCTGCTGCACGGAGGTGGATATGACAGCTAGAGACCATCTTGAACAAGGAGCTACAACCTAGGAAATGATGGTGCCATGAGCTAAGCTTTTCATAGAGCAGAACCTTAATATTGAACTATTCCTGGACTTTTGCCTGACAGAGAAAAAAGGCTTCTGGCTGGTTTAAACCACTGTTATTATATATATTTTTTCTTACTGTAGTTATCTCCAACAGTATCTAGCAAAGAATCACAAATAAACTCATTTGTTCTCCTTACTATACATTTATTCCATTTAAATCATATATAATCATGTTTGCCTTCCTGCAAATGAGTGTTACAAACAAAGCTGAAGCTAGTATTTGTTCTTTCTCTCAATGGCAGATACATCTTGGAAGAAGAAATGATCCGTGCACCAGGTGGTTTTATGTTTAGAAGGTTCTTGACATCAGGAGGAGTGTTTCAGTACGGACAGATAATGGCTTGTTAGGCTTTTCAGCCAAGGATCGGAGATGAGGGCAGACCAGTCAATGGGTTCCATGGGTTCATGAAGTTATAAATTCGTGCAATGATTTACTCATTCAAAAAACATTTATTGAGCTCTCTATGTGCTAGATACCAGGGAGTGCAAGACACTAGGGAAAGAAAGTTGAAATTTTTGCCTTCAAGGTGCTCAAGGTTTAAAAAGAGACAGAAAGGCGCATTATAAGGACGGTGATCTAAATGTTATAAAGAGGCATGGTTTAAGTGTTGAGGGAGCACAGAGCAAATAGTGATATTCTCTGGTGATTGCTGGGAAAGAGAATTAAGTCAAGGTGGGGACCAGAAACTTCATGAGGCCAAGGCCTGTCTCTTTTCTTCACCATTGTTGCCTAGCACCCAGCACAGCACCTGGCACAAATGATTCACAAATATTCGTTGAACAAATGTATGAAGTGTACACAGTAAAGACCAGAGGCTGGTTGGGCAATTCCTGGACAGGACAAGGAAGGGGTCACCCCACGAGACTGATGGTTCCTGTAGGCAGAGGCTTCTCCATGATCATAGCTGCATCCTCAGCATCAAACAAAGAACCTGGTACTAAATGGATGCTCTAAAAATGTCTGTTGAACTTGTTGTCCAAAGAGTAGCTACGTGGCTAATCCAAGTTCCGGAGTCAAAACAAGTTAACAGAGGATAGCAAAACAACGTCAGGAGTGAACACTGCCACATTTCAATTTTCTTCCAAATAAAAACCACCCCTACTCTCACCTCTTGGCCTCAACATTTCTGGAAATTGTGAATCTCTAGAGCAAAATGATTTTGCTCACATTTCAAATAGAGAAAACCCAGGCGCAGACCTTCTGAACATAAAATCACTCAGTAAATTAAAGGCACAGCAAGCTCAAAAGCTACTATTTTTGAATTCCTAGATGGCAAAAAAAAAAAAAAAATTCTAGGTTGCCTAGAAAAAAGAGAATTATAAGACCAAATTTGATTTCCAATAGAATTTATCTCCATAACGTGAGTACACTGCTATGTCTCTGGTTTATTGTACTGTAATCTTTACTCTCTTTCGTCACAATGATCATAAAGATACTAACAGTAGGGTCTGAAGCCACTATTGCAGAAAGGTGAAATGTGTATGTTTTAATGAGGGTGAACAGGAAAAATAAACCTGAAAAAGTTTAATCAATAATCACCAAACTCACGTGCCTGGCTGTAGTTGCAGCTTCCTTTACCTCTTGCTGAAGAGACATCCACAATATGGGTTTCTATACACAGCTGGTGCACATTTGCCAAAGAATTAGGGACTCTTACCTGCCATCACCAATACGGCCATCCCTAGTTCTATATCAGACTTCATTCCTTCTGTACCAAAGCAAGGCACATGTTGTTTTAAAATGAGGGCCCTCTTTCGGCACTGGGGGAAACACAAATTGCCCGGTCACCCTTGGCTGCCTCCCGCAAGCCCAAGCCCGGCTTCTGCTGTCTGCCTGCCAGCTGCACATGGTCTTGCCCTCCATCTCCCTGACAACAGGTGTGACTTTTGGGGAGTCCATGCCTCATTTAGTTCTGGTAATGGCTTAATTGAGTTGGAAAAATGCAAAGACAGGAGCGTAATGAAAAGCAGCTGAGCTGGGTGGGTTCTTGTGAGTCATTGGAAAAAGCTATCAGGGAAGGGAGGGAAAAGGATGAACAAGAGTGGTGAGGAGCAGCACAGGGCACAGAGCAAAGTGGGGAAACAGAAGCCTAGACAAAGCAAAGAAAGGCTGTAAATAGAGGAAGCTGACATTCATTAATGCTGCATCCTGAGCTCCTTGAAGACAGGGCCAGGTCTGTCCCATCCGCGGCCTGGAACATGGAGGGGCTCCATGATGATGGTTGAGTGGGTGCATACTTGTGTGTACTGCCGGCAACATAACAAACTCTGTGTCCACATAGGACTGAGTGAGTTGCTGGCGACATAGCCCACAGGAAGTTAAGAAACTTCTTGTCCTGAACTGTTTCCTTTATGCCTTAAGTCAGCTCTGCTGACGGATGTATGAACACCAACAGAGTTAATGAAATGGTTCATTTGAAAAGCGAAGATATGCAACTCATGTTTTTATAAAGAAAAATGCCAGAGCCTCAAGTCCTACATAAAAGAAACATTTCTGTGGAATAACATCCTGGCGTTGCCTCTCCAAATCATAAGGAACCCTGACTACCCAGGGTGGCATTTTTCAGTATGATGTCCCAAGATGTGTCACCAGGAAGTGTTCTGGGGTAAAACAAGTTTGGGAACTAATGTACACTCTGCCACAGGAGCACATATGCCTCCTTAAAGGCTCTGAGAAGTCCTGCAATAAAGATTATTGCTTATTTTGGTATGGGACACTTTTTTTCTTCCCTGAAGGACACTTTTCATGATGCCGTGAAACATGGGCTTGGAAGGGCTGACTGAGTGGAAAGCATAAAGTCTGTAATCTGAGATTCTCGCATTTGTTTAGGTGTATCTTTGAATGGGGAGATATGTCTGCCCCTCAATGGGCATAGCAGTTTTTGTAATCCCAGGTATGAAATTCCAAAGGGTATTATTGGAAAGAAGGACTCAGGTGGGGTGGGTGACTGCTGATGTAACTTTGAAGTCATTCTCTGGTCAGGCATATGTTTCTGTTCTCCGCTACTCCTGAGGGATGGGTTTCTATTGTACATAGAAAGTTGTACACTGAGCCTTTCCCCATCCACTTGCAACTCTCCTGACCTCACACAGTGTCTTTGTCTGAGGACCACTGGGGACATGTGGTGGTGTGCTTGTAGTCTGGCTTCTAAAAGAAAAACAAGACCTGACTTGTGGTGTATGCTAAATATTCCCACCATGGTCAGTTTCAAGCTACCAATGGTTTAACAACATATTTGTAAAAAATCTGAATATTTAACCATCGGCTCTCAAGCGCCGATAGAAGCCTGTTCTAGCACATCGTGGGGACATCTTTCTAAGCACATGGAAATTCTGGTTTTCTTTGGAAAACCTGGCCAAAATTATTTTATAGGCATTACAAATCTTCTCTCTTCTCCTGTTTCCTTCTTTGAGTGTTAGGAAGCTGTAAGCCAAGTTTGTGGCTCCGCTGTAGCTAAAATAGAAACCAAAAGCATGCATTTTAGTGTTCTAACATTACGTGTGCATTATTTTAAATTCTTGCACATATTTTACCCTGATTTCCTCAACACATTAAACCTTTCATTTTTATTAACAGCAACAGGGATATAAACACGAAAACAAACCAATAAATCTGGATTTTTGCTGTGAGCAATAAGAACTGTCCCCAGTTGAAACTCTCTGTGTAATTAACAGGAAAGGGTCTGGAAAAGTCATTCTTGCTTTATTAATTGAGTGGGTAGACACATCAGGTCATTAATCTAAAATACAGAATTTTAGAGATAGAAGGGACCTGGGAAGTTTATCTGGTTTACACTGAAACGTTCTGACACATGAACGTTTGAATCATTATGGCCAATGTTATCATGAACAGGAGCTGGAATTCACAAATCATTGTAAAACTATGTGAGGTTTAGTAATCAAAGGGCAAGCTTCTTCTTACTGAAAAGGGAAGTAATTTTTTCCCCCCGATTTGTCAGTGCACAGTTTGTCTTTAAAATGTCAGTTTAGGACTTCAGAGGACTAAACTTACTTTCAATTACAGCACAGAATCTATTTATTATGAGAATTCTTTTAGTTTTAATTGGACCGCAGGTGCACAAAATTGGATTAATCATAATCCTTTGTTGGTGATACATCCTCATTATTGGTCCAGACCTGGCCGACTTTTATTTCCTAAGTTATTTTTAATAATTAATCTACCACCTAAAACAAAAAACACCCATAGTAACCTACCGGTGGGTTCCTGTATTACATCCTGTTCTTGTGCCTCTTTTTTTTTTATTATTATACTTTAAGTTCTAGGGTACATTGGCACAACGTGCAGGTTTGTTACACATGTATACATGTGCCATGTTGGCACTAAAGAAGCCATTATCCTCAACCACATGCCTATCATTCCTTGCTTCTCTCCTCACCCCATCCTTTTAAAAACTTCATAAATCATAAGACAGAAAGACTGGTAGGATACACACCGAAATGTTAAGGATGATTAGATCTCATTGATGGAATTCTGGTTTCTTCCCTGTTTTATTTTTTGTTTCTGAAATTTAATAAAATAAACATGTACACTTGGTCCTCCATACATGTGGGTTCTGCAGCCATGGATTCAGTCAACTTCAGATTGAAAATATTTGGAAAAGATGAATGGCTGTATCCGTACTGAACATGTACAGACTTCTTTTCTTGTCATTAGTCCCTAGACAATAGAGTATAACAAGTATTTATGGAGCATTCACGTTATATTAGATATTGTAAGTAATCTAGAGATAATTTAAAATATACAGGAGGATGCGGATAAGTTATAGGCAAATACTATGCCATTTTATATAAGAGACTTGAGCATCTGCAGATTTTGGTATCTGAGGGGGTCCTGAACCAATCCTCCATAGATACACACAGACAAGTACATTACTTTTAAACCAGAAAATATGTGGTAGAATGTTATTAAAACAATGGCTATATGAAGGGACATAAACGTTAAACATGAAAAACATTGCAAAAAAGATTTTACTTAGATTTTACCACCTATTCATACTGTATATCCTTTGAAATATATTTTGAAAACTATGCTTATTGATACTTCTTATCTTCCATCCTATTTGTTATTATCTATTTTTACTCCCTTATCTTTATCTCCCTTATCTTTCTCTCACTCTTAAAATAAAATTTTAATTGAAGCATGATAGACATCAGATATGCACAAATCATACAAGAATTTCCACAATGTAAACATTCATGTAACCAGCATCCAAATCAAAAAACAGAACCAGAACTCCGGAGCCCCCACTCATGCCTCCCTAGAGTCATTACCTTCCCCAAAGATGGCCAGTACTCTGACTTCTACCATCAAAGATGGGATTTTCCTGTTTTTGAACTTTATATAAGTAGAATTATGTAGTATCTGGCTTCTTTTGTCCAACATACTTGCAAGATTCATCTATATTGTATGTAACCATAGTTTGTTTTTTCTCATTATTGTATAGTATTTTCCTATGATTCTACCACACGTTACCTATCCATTCTCCTGCTAATGAACGCTTTGGGGTTTTAATGAACAGTGCTGCTATGAACTTTCTTTTATTAATTTTTAATTTTTGTGGGTACACAGCAGGTATATATATTTCTGGGGTACCTGAGATATTTTGATAAAGGCATGTAATTTGTAATAGTTACATCATGGTAAATGGGGTATCCATCCCCTCAAGCATTTATCTTTTGTGTTACAAACAATCCAATTATTTTCTTTTAGTTATTTAAAAATGTATAATTAAATTATTATTGACTATAGTCATCCCATTATACTATCAAATACTAGGTCTTATTCATTCTTTCTAACTACTTTTTGTACCCATTAACCACCCCTGCTTCCTCCCCACTCCCCGACTACCCTCTCCAGCCTCTGGTAACCATCTTTCTACTCTCAATGTTCATGAGTTCAATTGTTTTAATTTTTAGCTCTCACAAATAAGTTAGAACATGCAAAGTCCATCTTCGTGGCTTACTTCACTTAACATAATGATCTCCAGTTCCATTCATGTTGCTGCAAATGACAGGATCTCATTTTTTTTTTTATGATGGAATAGTACTCCATTGTGTTTATGTAACACATTTTTTGTATCCATTCATCTTTCGATGGACACTTAGGTTGCATCCAAATCTTGGCTTTTGTGAATACTGCTGCAACAAACATGAAAGTGCAGATATCCCTTTGATATACTGATTTCCTTTCTTTGGGGTATATATACCTAGCAGTGGGATTACTGGATTGTATGGTAGCTCTATTTTTAGTTTTTTGAGGGGCCTCCAAACAGTTCTGCATAGTGGTTGTAGTGATTTTTATTCCCACCAACAGCGTATGAGAGTTCCCTTTTCTTCACATCCTTGCCAGCATTCATTATTGCCCGTCTTTTGGATAAAAGCCATTTTAACTGGGGTGAGATGATATCTCACTGTAGTTTTGATTTGCATTACTTTGATGATCAGTGATGTTGAGCACCTTTTCATATTCCTGTTTCATACTCATATGTCTTCTTTTGAGAAAGGTCTATTCAGATCTTTTACCCATTTTAAATCGGATTATTAGATGTTTTTCCTATAGAGCTGTTAGAGCTTGTAATATTCTGGTTATTAATCCCTTGTCAGATGGCTAGTTTGCGAATATTTTCTCACATTCTGTGGGTTGTCTCTTCACTTTGTTGATTGTTTCTTTTGCTGTGCAGAAGGTTTTTAACTGGATGTGGTCCCATTTATCCAGTTTTGCTTTGGCTGCCTGTGCTTCTGGAGTGTTACTCAAGAAATTTTTGCCCACTACAATGTTCTGGAGAGCTTCCCCAGTGTTTTTGTTTAGTAGTTTCATAGTTTGAGGTCTTATATTTAAGTATCTAATCCATTTTGATTTGATTTTTGTATATGGTGAGAGACAGAGGTCTAGTTTCATTCTTCTGCATTTGGATATCCAATTTTCTCAGCACCATTTATTGAAGAGACAGTCTTTTCTCCAATGCATGTTCTTGGCACCTTTGTCAAAAACAAGTTCACTGTAGGTGTGTGGATTTGCTTCTGGGTTCTCTATTCTGTTCCACTGAGCTATGTGTCTGTTGTTATTCCAGTACCACGCTGTTTTGGTTGCCATACTTCTGTAGCATAATATGAAAGTCGATAATGTGATTCCTCTGGTTTATTCTTTTTGCTAAGCATAGCTTTGGCTATTCTGGGTCTTTTGTGGTTCCATATAAATTTTAGGATTGTTTTTTCTATTTCTGTGAAGAATGTTATTGGTATTTTGATAGGAGTTGCCTTAAATCTTTTATTGCTTTGGGCAGTATGAACATTTTAACAATACTGATTCTTCCAATCCATGAATATGGAATATATTTCCTTTTTTGTGTCCTCTGCAATTTCTTTCATCAGTGTTTTATAGTTTTCATTGTAGAGATCTTTCACTTCTTTGATTAATTCCTAAGTATTTAATTTTACTTGTGACTATTATACGTGGGACTACTTTTTTGATTTATTTTTTAAGTTGTTCACTGTTGGCATATAGAAATGCTACTAGTTTTTGTATGTTGATTTTGTATCCTGCAACTTTACTGAATTTGTTTATTGATTCTAATAGTTTTTTTGGTGGAGTCTATAGGTTTTTCTAAATATAAGATCATATCTTCTGCAAACAAGGATAATTTGGCTTCTTTCTTTCTAATGTGGATGACCTTTCTTTCTTTCTCTTGTCTGATTGCTCTAGCTAGGAACTCCGGTACTATGTTAATAACAGTGGTGAAAGTGGGCATCCTTGTCCTCTTCCAGATCTTAGAGGAAAGGCTTCCAGATTTTTTTCACAATCTGTATGATACTAGCTGTGGGTTTGTTTTATATGGCTTTTATTATGTTGAATTACGTCCATGTATGCCCAGGTTTTTGAGGGCTTTTATCATAAAGTGATGTTGAACTTTATCCAATGCTTTTTCAGTGTCAATTGAAAACGATTATATGATTTTTGTCCTTCGTTCTGTTGTTATGATGTATCACACTGATTGATTTGTGTATGTTGAACTATCCTTGCGTCCACAGGATAGATCCCACTTGGTCATGATGAATGATATTTTTAATGTATTGTTGAATTTGGTTTGTCAGTATTTTTTAAAGGATTTTTGCATCAATATTCATCAGAGATGTTGGCCTGTAGTTTTCTTTTTTTTGTGTGTGTGTCTTTGTCTGGTTTTGGTATCAGGGTACTACTGGCCTCATACAATGAGTTTGGAAGTATTCCTTCCTCCTCTGTTTTTTGGAATAGTTTGAGTAGGATTGGTATTCATTCTTCTTTAAATGTTTGGTAGAATTCAGCAGTAAAGCCATTGGGTCCCAGTGTTTACTAGGAGACTTTTTATTGTGACTTTGTTTTCATTACTTTTTATTGGTCTGTTCAGGTTCTGGATTTCCTGTTGGTTCACTCTTGGTAGGTTGTATGTTTCAATTAATTTATCTATTTCTTATAAGTTTTCCAATTTATTGGCATATATTTGCTCACAGTAGCCTCTAATGTTCCTTTGAATTTCTGTGGTATCAGTTGTAATGTCTCCTTTTTCATCTCTGATTTTATTTATTTGGGTCTTCTCTCATTTTTTCCTAGTCTGGCTAAAGGTTTGTCAATTTTATTTGTTTTTTCAAAACACCCGCTTTTCATTTAATTGATCTTTTTTATTGTTTTATTCATTTCAATTTCATTTATTTCTGCTCTGATCTTTATTATTTCTTTTCTTCTACTAATTTTGAGTTTGGTTTGCTCTTGCTTTTCTAGTTCTTTAAGATGCATCATTAGGTTATTTATTGCAAGTTTTTCTTCTTTTTTGATGTAGGCACTTGTATCTTTCAATTTTCCTGTGAGTACTGCTTTCACTATATTGCATAGGTTTTGGTATGTTATGTTTCTATTATCATTTGCTTCAAGAGATTTTTAAATTTCCTTCTTAATTTTTTCACTGACCCACTGGTCATTCAAGAACATGTTGTTTAAATTCCATGTGATTGTATAGTTTCCAAACTTCCTCTTGTTATTGATTTCTAGTTTTATTTCATTGTGGTCAAAGACAATGCTTGATATTATTTCAATTTTTTGAATGCCTTAAGACTTGTTTTGTGACCCAACATACGGTTTATACTTGAGAATGATCCACATGCTGAGGAGAAGAATGTGTATTCTGTAGCTGTTAGATGAAACGTTCTGTAAATATCTATTAGGTCCATTTGTTTCATACTGCAGATTAAGTCTGATGTTTCTTTGCTGACTTTCTGTCTGGAAGATCAGTCCAATGCTGAAAGTGGGGTGTTGAAGTCTGTAGCTATTATTGTACTGTGGTCTCTTTCTTTAGCTCTAATAATATTTGATTTGTATATCTGGGTGCTCCAGTGTTGGCTGCATATATATTTAAAATTGTTATACCCTCTTTCTGAATTGATCCCTTTATCATTATATAACGACCTTCTTCATCTCTTCTTACAATTTTTGTCTTGAAATCATTTCATGTGATATAAGTATAGCTAGTCCTGCTCTATTATTTTGGTTTCCATTGGCATGGAATATCTTTTTCCATCCCTTTATTTTCAGCCTATGTGTACCTTTATAGGTGAAATGTGTTTCTTATAGGCAACAGATCATTGGGTCTTGTTTCTTCAGCACTTTAAACATGTCATGGCACTCTCTCCTGGCTTATAAGGTTTCCACTGAAAAGTCTGCTGCCAGACATATTGGAACTCTGTTGTATGTTATATGCTTCTTTCCTGTTGCTCTTTTAGTATCCTTTTTTATCCTTGACTTTCAGGAGTTTGATTAGTAAATGCCTTGAGGTAGTCTTCTTTGGGTTAAATTTGCTTGATGTTCTATTACCTTCTTGTTCTTGAATGCTGATATCTTTCTCTAGGCTTGGGAAGTTCTCTGATATTATCCCTTTGAATAAACTTTCTACCCCTATCTATTTCTCTACCTGTTTTTTAAGACCAGTAACTCTTAGATTTGTCCCTTTGAGGGCATTCTCTTGATCTTCTAGGTGTGCTTCATTCTTTTTTGTTCTTTTTTCTTTTGTCTCCTCTGACTGTGTATTTCCAAATAGGGGTCTTGGATAAGACCCAGAAGAATTCTCTATAGTACCAGACAGAGACTCTTGTTCTCCTCCTTACTTCCTCCAAAACAAACACAGCCTTTCTTTCTGTGCTGAGGTTCCTGGAGCTGGAGGTGCGGTGACACAAGCTTCCCTGTGGCCACTACCACTGGGACTGTTCTGGGTTAGGCCTGAAGCCGTCACAGCACTGGGTCTTGCCCCAGGCCTGCTGTAACCACTACCTGGCTACCATCTATGTTCTACCTCAGTGCCCTAGGGCTCTGCCATCAGCAGTGAAGAAGCCAACCAGGCTTGTGTTCTTCCCTTAAGGGCAGTGAGTTCCCCCAGGCGTTGGGTGGGTCCAGAGACACAGTTGGGAGCCAGGATTTGAGCCAACAACCTTAGAAATCTACCTGGCATTCTATTCTACTGCATCTAAGCTGGCCCTTAAACCACAAGACAAAGTCCTTCTCACTGTTCCCTCACCTTTCCACAGGCAGAGGAGCCCCTCCTGGTGGCCACCACCACCACTAGCTCAGGGGGAGTTCTGCCTGGCCACTGCAGATGTTCATTTAAAGCCCAGGGGCACCTCAGGTTGTGGTGAATGCTGCCAGGCTTGGGACTCACCCTTCAAGGCAATGGGCTCCCCTCTGGCCCATGGCAGGTCCAGAAATGCTGTCTAGGAGCCTACACCTGGGCTCGGGACCCAAGAGCCCGCTTGGTGCTCCACACCCTTGTGGCTGAACTGGTACCTAAGGTACCAGCAAGAAAATATCCCCTTTACTTTTCTCAAGCAGAAGGAATCTTTTGCCATTGCCACCCCAGCTGGGAAGGTAGTAAGTCACACCTGAAACCAGCATGTCTGAGTCTCACCCAAAGCCCATGGCACACTACCTGGGTATCACCGTTGGTTATTCAGGGCCCAAGAGCTCTTTAGTCAGCAGGTGATATATTCTGTCAGGACTAGCTCATTCCTTTCAAGGCAGTGAGTTCCCTTCTGGCCCAGGGCATGTCTAGAAATGTTGTCAAGGAACTAGGGCCTGGAATGGAGGCCTTATGACTCTGCCTGGTGCTCTATCCTACCTTGGCTGAGCTGGTATCCAAGGTGCAAGACAAAGTCTTCTTTACTCTTTGCTCTTCTCTCCTTAAGCAGAAGGAAGGAGTCACTTTAGTTGCTGTGAGCTGTGTTACCTGGGGTTGGGAGATGGGTAGAACAAGCACTCCCTTAGCCACCCTGGCTGGTGTCTCCCTAGGTCACCTGCTGCTCTAGTCCACTGGCTCTAGTGTTAAGCCTAGCCCAGCACTAGGAATTGCTTAGTTAGGAATTACAGTCCTTTTGTCCTAGACTGCTTTTCAAGCTTATGTAAGACCCCAGAGCACTTTAACACGTGGTGGTGAGGCTTGCAGAAACTCAAGTTCCGACTGCTTAGGTGGGTGATTCCCCTCTTGCTAGGGCTGGTCCAAATGCTCCCTCCTCCTCAGCGAATGCCAGCTGAGCCCAGCACAGCTTTTCTCTCTGCTGTGACAGGTCAGCACTGAGTTCAGTGCCAAGTGGCCCAGTCGCTGTGCTCTCCTTCCCCAAAATGCACAGATTTTCTCTTGCACCACACGGCCACTGCTGGGGGGATAGGGGAGGGGTGGTATCAGCGATTCAAGGCTGTCTTTCCTACCCTCCTCAGTGCCTCTTTGAGCAATATGAAATTAGCACCGGGTGCTGTGACTGTTCACCTGATTTTTACTTCTTTTGATGGTGCTTTTTTGTGTAGTTAGTTGTTAAAATGTGGTGTTCCTGCAGGGGGGAGCCATCAGTGGAGGCTTCTGTTCAGATATCTTGCTCCACCCTCAGCTATAAGCTTTCTTAAACATGCCTTTTTGTGAATGTATGTTGAATATATACCTAGAAGTGGAGTTGCTACATCATAGAATTTGTGTATCTTTAGTTTTAGTAGATACTACCAAAAAGTTTTCCAAAGTGTTGTACCAATTTATCTTCCCACTGCACTCTATGAGAGTTCTATCACTCCATGTCCTTGTCCACCCTTGGTACTGCCAGTCTTTTTCATTGTGGTCATTGCTTGTCTTCCTTTTATATGATTATATTGTATCTACCTATGTTCCCAAAATGTATTTAAAATTTTAGTTGTTTTAAGCTTCATAAAAGGGTATCATACTATATGTAATCTTCTGAGTTTCTTTCACTTAATATCGTATTAATAAAATTCATCTATATTGTTGTACTTTACTATAATCCATGATTTTAACTGCGGTATAATATTCCACTGCGTGAATATGTCACAATTTATTCATTCATTTTCCCATTGGTGGGCATTTGGACTTTTTCAATAGTATGGCAATTCTTTCAATTGGCTTTGAGATTGTGCAGGAACCAAGGAAGAGCTCTGTGGAATTTTAAAGACACTTCGGCCAGGTGTGGTGGCTCATGCCTATAATCCCAAGGTGGGAGGCTGAGGTGGGTGGATCATGAGGTCAGGAGATTGAGACTATCCTGGCCAACATGATGAAACTCCATGTCTACTAAAAATACAAAAATTAGTCGGGCGTGGTGGTGCACTCCTGTAATCCCAGCTACTTGGGAGGCTGAGGCAGAAGAATCGCTTGAACCCGGGTGGTGGAGGTTGCAGTGAGCCAAGATCACACCACTGCACTCCAGCTTGGTGACAGAGCAAGACTCTGTCAAAAAAAAAAAAAAAAAAGCATAAGTACTGTTAGCTACAATTAGCATCTCTACAAATTTCCAGGCCCAAAATAACAAGCCTCCAGTGTTTCATTACCCCATTTTAAAGAAGATTTTACCTCACAGTTAACTAAAATCACATCTATTTTAAAATTAAGGCCATTTATTCTTGCCTAATTTACCACTGCAATGAAAGGCCAGAGACAAAAATTTTCATTAATTTAAAGATAGAATCACCTTCACTTTTTTTTCAGGCTTAACTATCCAAATTTCTTTCAAACCTTTCTGCTTAGGACTACTTCATATTTTTCTAGATATATTTGTTAATATGCCAAGAACCTATTCTAAGTTCTTCATGTCATTTTTTAGAGCATGTTAACAGAAATTGGTACCATGATTTGGGGCTGACCTGAGGTTAAAAGAATTTGCGTCCCACTGGAGATTTCAAGATGTGTTTGTTAGCTTTTGTCCATAACTCCACAATTTGGCTGACTCATGTCCATATTCTGGCCTTCTAGGGCCTCCTTGATTTCCTAATATACATTTGCTTGAGTAGTCCCTTCAGAACCTATATCTGTTTTTTTAATCCCCAAATATCTCAGATTGAAAATGTTCAAACTGAATTTTATTTTTGAAGAACTATGCCTCCCCACTAAATTCATTATGAATTTTGTTCCCATTTTTGAAGGAACATGTCTCCCTGTCAGGAAATGTCAGGAAATATGTGTTGATTTATTAGCTGGCCCCTTCAGCTTTGCCCGGAAGAATCATGAACCAGCATTTAAAGAATGAATTTTGGAACATGCTACATTCAGTTGCCTCTATGAGAAGATTCTCCATTGCTAAGGACACCTGAAGCTGTTCTGGAGGAAGACTGTCTGGAATAAACTTTCCCCAAATAAGCCCATGGATGTTTCTAACCCTGACTTTGATGCTGGGTCAGCCAATATATCCTCACACATGGTGGAAACCCATTCAATTGATTTCTTTTAATGTGGTAACCCTCAGAAAGAAACTTCTTGTTACTGTAAAAAGAGCCTCCTATCTGTTGGGCATGGGGCCGGGTGCAGGGAAGTGAGTCTTAAATTGTGGTCCTTGGACGAGCATCAGCACCATCACTTGGGAACTTGTTAGAAACACGAATCCCATCCCAACCTACTGAATCAGAAACTCTGGGTGTGGGACCAGCAACCTGTGTTTTAAGAAGTTTGAAAGCCATTGCTAGACCGTCTTTCATATGCATCTGTCCAGGGTCATATTCTGTTCTGAGCTCTAAAAATTGTGTTTCCTAAAAATGATTGTTTAAATGTAATTTTATTTATGTATTATCATTTTTAGAGACATGGTCTCACTATGTTGCCCAGGTTGGAGTGCAGTGCCATGATCATAGCTCACCGCAGTCTAGAACTCCTGGGCTCGTGATCCTCCTGCCTCAGATTCCTGAGTAACTAAAACTATAGGAACATGCCACTACCCCAGGCTATTTTTTAAAAAATTTTGTAGAGACAGGACCTTGCTGTATTGCCCAGGATTCTTCTGATACTATTACTTTTCTCCAAGGATAACACAGCCAAACAAAAATGTATTTTGAATGGATACACAACAGTTTCCTGTCAATGTCAATTCATTCTTCGGTTTCCCTGAAACCTTTCTCCTGCAAAATAACTGCTAACATCTTATGAAACCAGTATTCCAGGAAAGCACAGTTCAGAAGTCATTGCTGTAAAGTTAGGGTAACTTTCTGAATCTATAATCAATATGCATGGTCTGTGAACTAGAGAAAATGGCCACTAACCATAGATAGACTACTTCTCACCCTCTCTTCCCAGCCACATGCAGGGGATTTACCTATGTGGTTATCATTTGCGTCTACCTTTCCGAGCAGAGTCTTGGGTGCTCTACTTTACACTTAAGTCTTTCATTATTAATTCCCTTTTTAAATTTGTGGAATGAGTATATATTCTTCACAATCAATCCATCAGTCCCAGATGGGAAGGTCTGGGACCCTGTTTACCTGCAACTGTTAGAAGTCACAGCACCTGTGACTGTTAGAAGTGTCCAGCACTCCCTGGTCCTTCTCTACTCTCCTGCGAGCCCTTTCTATGAGCTCTTCAGGGGCTCTTTCTTTGGGAACTGAAATGGTCCTAAACATTCCACAATCTGTGCTGATGCAGTGCACTCTCAGTGTCTCTCTGCCTTCTTCGGCTTTGCCCAGAAGAATCAGGAACCAGCATTTAAAAAATAAATCCTGGAACATACTACATTCAGTTGTCTCTATGAGAAGATTCTCTGTTGCTAATGACACCCGAAGCTGGTCCGGAGGAACACTGTCTCAGATAAACTTTCCCCAAAGAAGCCCACACATGTTTCTATAAACCTGACTTTGAAGTTGGATTAGTCCACATAGCCTGAGCCTCAGTGAGTGACTCCTGTCCAGCTGGTCAGGGTAAGAGATGACTAGGGTCAGCCTGCTATACAGAGGCCTTACAAATAACTCTTTCCACTCTGATTCTTCCATTACTTATTTGAAATAACTAAATTCCATTTGAAATAAATAAAATTCCATCCTCTCATGTTTGCTTTCTTCTTTCTTCTCTCCCTCTTTTTCCTCCATCCTCCAGCAGTTTCCAAACTGATTTTAAACCTCTCAATCTGTCTAATGAGAAGTAAGCTCTTTAGAAAGTAATGGGCAAAGGTTATTATTCCTCTTCTTATTCAGCTGTGCCCACGTGTTGGTTACATTACACCAGGGGCCAGCCAACTACATTCCATGGGCCAAATCTGGTGTGCTTGTTTTTATAAATAAAGTTTTGCTGAAATACAGTCATGCCTAATCACTTGCATTATATCTATGGTTGCTTTTGTGCTGCAAGGGTAGATTTGAGTAGTTATGCCAAAGATTGGCCCACAAAGCTTGGAATAGTTAATATTTGGCCTTTTACTGAAAAAGTTGATTGACCTCTTCATGAAACTAAGCACAAAGAAAACCCTACTTTTGCCATGAACTGGACATTTCCATGACTTTGGAAACAGTTATGCGCCTGATGTGAGCAATGGCTTCTCCAAGTTGAAAGGAGCTGACTTCACCAGCTTTCTCAATCAGAGGAGTAAGGGTCCTCTAGTTTGTTTTGTGTCCAGAGATAGAGGTCACTTCTTTCCCTTGGTTATCATCTGACTCAGGAGGCACCAGGAGTCTGGTTTGTTTACCACTGGCTCACATGAATAGAGTAGGTTGTGTGGTGGGGACTCCCCCCAGTGAAAAACTTTTAGCTAAGGGTGGGAAGTCCAAGCTGTGAATCTGAATCAGCAGCAGCAACAATTTTTGTTCCCCTTAGATACTGTCAAATGGGTCAGTTCCACCGGGAGCTGGTTACCTTCCTGTGAAGATGGCTTTAAGGGGAGGTGGTGGCGTTTGGTTGGGAAACAGAAATACCACAACCGCCCAAGTAGCCCATGCGTAATCTGGGTGGGGCATAGACATAAAAGGAGGAAGCCCAGACTTCAAGTGAGAGAAGAAACATTCGCTCTGGAGACAGTTTTAATTCCGTTCCCACATCATCAGGTGGACAAAATTCCCCTGTGAAGTCGCCCTCTTGCATTTCTCTTCCTCATTTTCTCCTCCGCTACTTCCCAGCTCTACTCCCCAACACCCTGAGGCCCAGAGCAGGGTACCTGTGGTGAGATTAGAGAAGAGCAGGGAAGGGGACTGATGTCAACTCCATCCAGCCAAAGACCCCCAGGACTGGGCTGGAACTGGTGAGACAAGAGAGACACCAGGAGAGCAAAGTGTAGGGTGGCATTGCTTCTCATGGCCAGCCCTGCACTTGCATGAGGAACACCCTGTGCTTGGACAGGACATAGCAGAGAAGGAGAACGGTGGGGTGTCTCACCGACAGGGTGTTAGAAAGGACTTACAGGAGTGCGGTTTGTGGTAGGCGATTTTGGGGACGGTTTAAGGAAGTGGAGCTTTGCATGCTGTCAGAAGCAGGGGTAAATTCTATGATTCCATATCTTAATAAATCTTGTCTAGAAGGGAGGAAGACTAAGTGAGACTGAAGCTGTAAGGGTAAAGGAGTAGCAGTCACTCCTCCGAGCCAGAATAGGGAAATGTTTGGTTAGTTCCATGGTTTGGACAATGTTAACGTTTTTTGTCTGTGTTCAGACATGATTGTGGAGTGGTCTTATTTTTGTCTTTATCATGGTCACAGAGACATCTTGCTTGCTGTTGATGTTCTGTGAAGTTGTTTATGTTTAACAGGAGAACGCCAAGGCCTAGCTTATGGGACCACCCAGATCCAGGTTGTCAGGGGCCACTTTTCTCTTTCTCAGCAATCACTTCACTTTCTTTGAAGTCACAATATCACAGGATGGTAGAGTCAGAAAGGGCTTTCGAGATCATCTAATTGAAGACTCTCACCTTGAAGATAAGGAAATGGAACATGTGAGCTGTTACCTGCCTTGCCAACAGCCCACAGCCAGTTAGCATCCCACCTGGCGATTCCTGGGCCCTGCATACACTGGCCCTGCCTCCTCTCCGGCTGCATCTCCCACACCACTCTCCCTCTCTTGGCACCTAGCCTGCCCTCCCTTCAGTTCCTCCAGTGGGCCAAGTTCTTTATTGCCTTGGGCCCTTCCCATCCCTCTCAGAATGCTCTTCCACCCCTCTGACCTGTGCCTCTTGCTTAATTCATTTCTCTTCATCCATCAGGGATGAGGCATTCTTCAGGGATCCTTCAGTGGCTCAAACACCACTTCTCAAGGAAGCCCCTCCTGGTTCTCCAGGCCTCACTCTCGTGCTCTCTGCATCTGCGTGGCACTTCCCTGCCACAGTCCCTCTTGCTCTTTATGCAGCCAGGGACCTGGTCTGTCTTGTTCATTGCTGGCATACTCAGGACACAGCAGACACTTAATGAATGGCTGCTTCACTTCAAGCCCTGTGGAGGTTCTATCACTAGAATTCTTTTTATAGTACAATAAAAAAAAGGGATTGTGAATCTTTTCTTGGGGTTGCAATATAAACTTACAGTCCAGTTGCAAGGAAAGAATACAACAAGCTGAAGTAAAACTGCTGAGGTGTTGCAAGTAGCTGGAGGGTGAATCTGATGATCCCATCCCCACGTCGTCCTTCCTGCGATGGCTATCTGGACATGCGGGTGTGCTGGAAAGGCCAGTGCACAGCCAGGAGCCCTTCACACCCCTGAATCACAGAGAGGTCTTTGGCTCAGGGGTGACTGTAATCTGAATCTGCCTATCGGTACTGCTCAAGCCCGTCGGTATTTACAATGTTAGAAGAGAATGCAAGGTAAATTGTTTAGTGTGAAAAAGGCTATAAAATGAGATAGTCCTGAGAGTTCTTTGATTTTTTTTTTTTTTGTGAGTGGGAGGGGGGTAATGGGTGTCTTTGAGATGCTGATGAAAATTGTGGCTGCTCTTTCCAGAAAAATGCACATATGCACATAATTTCTTCCAATTCAGATGTTTCATGTACCAGAAAGGCAAGGTTAAGTGACTAGCACGAGATTACAGAGAGATAGAGAAAGAATGGAAGATGAGTTTCCTTATTCCCCATTTAGTAACCTTTTCCTTATGTGCCTCTGTCTCCTCATTGTCCACACAGGAATAACAATAGTACGGTTGCTGTAAGGATTATATTAAAACAATACTTGTAAGAATTTAGCATAAAGTCTACCACATAGTAAATGCTCAAAAAACATTAGCTCTTCGTATGATGGTGATAGTGTCCCCCTCTCTCTTCCCAAACAGTGCCTTTACTAATTGAATTGATCAGCATGATGACTTGCCACCTCCTGACCAGTCCTAGAATGCCTAGTTTAGCCCACTCGTGGGATGGCCACCTTCAAACAGCAAGTGTATGATGCTGAGACAGGACTGGGGCAGAAAGTCAGGTAAGCCACCCAACAGGTGGGCCAGAGGAATGGTGTCCTCTGAGACTGGTTAGCATCCTGTCTGCATGGTGGATGGGATTAGCTGCAGGACACACTTCTCACTTCTACAAGGGGATCATGATCATGACACTTTCTGATGTCTCTAAAGTGACTGCAGGTGGATGATGACCCTCAAAAAGCTGCAAAAATTCTGAGTGGATGGTAAGCAGAACACACAAGAAGATCCTTAGGGGACAG
Organism: Homo sapiens; assembly: GCF_000001405.40. Taxonomy (NCBI): domain Eukaryota; kingdom Metazoa; phylum Chordata; class Mammalia; order Primates; family Hominidae; genus Homo; species Homo sapiens. Next base: position 122,230,988 of record NC_000003.12, on the reverse strand, counting down.
ATGAGTTTCAGGTGTCAAATGCACAAATCCCTGATTCTTTAAGTATCAATCCGATAGGTCAATACAAATATTTGGAAGCAGGTTTGCAAAGAAACTAAAAAAAGAGAAACCCCCTTTGGCTGAAGAAGTCTAGTGGAGGGGACAGAGAAGTAGAAGGGGCCAGGATATGGTGGTTCTAGTCCCCACCTAGCTGCTCCTCCTTGGGACAGCTGCTTCCTTCTCTGGGCTTTGGTGTCTTCTCTTGTAAGATGACCAAGTGGTATCACGGGCTTGGTGGGTCCCAGGAAGCCCCTTCTATGCAGGTGGAACCTCAGTGGAAGAGACTGGATTTGGAAGTGGGCTCTCTTCCTGGTTCCTTTCCAAGTCCTGCTCAGGTGAGAGGGTCTTCCTCCTCCCTCCCATCCCACCTCCCACCTACAGAGATGGGTTCAGCCGCTGCCCTGTTGCAGGGGGTGGGGGATGGTGGCGCAGAGAGGGGAAGCCCCTCAGGGAAGGAGGTTGCTTTCTCCACGGTCAGCAGCATCCCCGCCCCCGCTGCTCCTGCGTCCCTCTCACGCCCGCATCCGCTGCAGGCCAGGCTGTGCTGGAGCAGAAAGATCTAGGCTCGATTTTCACCCCGGATGTGGCGGCAGCGTCAGCAAGGAGGAGAGGTTGTTTTGTAATGCGTGGCGCTAAAGGAGCGTTTTCCCTGGACTTGGGTTCTGGCCCTCACCGCGAGGCGTCATCGCTGCCTTTGCTTTACTGGTCCATGCGAGTGACTCCTTCAAACAGCTGCCGGCAAGCCTAGGCTGAGCTTGCAGGATCTCGTCCCAATGTCCCAGACTCTACCAGGGGTTATTGATAACTTAAGACCAGAAACACCAGAAACATTTCTGAGCAGAATGAATACATGATTAGAATCCAATACTGTAATGCCGGGGCCAAGAAGGCATCTCAGAATATGTTTAGTACAAATCTTCCATTTTACAAATAGGTAAACTGTGGCTCAGAAACAGGAAGCAGCTTGCCAAGTCACAGGCCACACACTAGCAGTGTTAGCAGTAGAACAGAAATGTACAGTCTCTCATTATTTCATAGTTTACTTGGTTAGGAATGGGAGGCTTCCTTTTTTATTTATTTATTTAAAACAGAGTCTCACTCTGTTGCCCACCCAGGCTAGAATGCAGTGGCACAATCTTGGCTCACTGTGGCTTCCACCTCCCAGGTTCAAGCAATTCTCCTGCCTCAGCCTCCCGAGTAGCTGAGATTACAGGTGTGTGCCACCATGCCCAGCTAATTTTTGTATTTTTAGTAGAGGTGGGGTTTCACCATGTTGGCCAGGCTGGTCTCGAACTTCTGGCTTCAAGTGATCCACCTGCCTTGGCCTCTCAAAATGCTGGGATTACAGGTGTCAGCCACCATGCTTGGCTGAGGCTTCTTACTTCTAATTTTTAGTGTGCAAACTTTTAACACAGTAAACTAAACCACATTGGAAAGATGCATTTTATTGGAACATTAAGATATGGCCAAATTATGCAGAATTTTAAATTTGGAAAGGATATTAGAAGTCATCTAACTCACTTCATTTGTTCATGACTGTTTAGAGGCAGAGAAGGGTATAGACTTCTGTGGGCTCTGCCCACTGCCATGACTGTTATGAAATAAACTCACCTAAATAGAAATGCAAATGAACACTACACACTCTGGTAGGAAAGTAGAGAATTTTGCTACAAGAAGAGTGGCCTGATTTTGAGGGTGGGTGGAGGTGGGTGGGAAGTGTATAGACGTTGGTAAAAAGTGTTTAGCAGATTTAAACAATGTATATATTTTATTTAAGACTGTTTACAATAAAATATATACTTAGTCCAGAGTATTCATGTTGTGGGATTACTACATCTTAAGTTTAATCAGGGAGTTTTCCATCTTGAAGTGACTTAACGGCACATAGGCAAGGCTATGTAAATCAACTGTTGTAACCCTAAGAATCTGAGCATCAGATCATTTATAATAAGATGGTAAATACATGATTGAGAAGTCCTGAAAGGATAAATCAGTGAATATCTGAGGGATGCATTTGAGAAGAGTGGGGCATTGAGATGGTAGGTGTGGACAGGCAAAGGAGAGGGTCAGGTGTCATGGTGTGGAGGAGAGGATGGTGGAGTCTCAGGGGTAGTGGCACAGCGGTGGTTCTGGGCCCTTCTCAGCTTCCCCTTTCAACATGGTAGCTGTGAGCATGGATTCAGTTCAGCTCTTACAGCAAATGTAATGGGGGATAAGCCTTACCTCACAGGGTTGTTGTACTAACACATGTAAGTGTGTGGCATGTCAGCCATCAATAAACATATGCACCTCCTGTCCTGTTCAGCCCCTTCTACTCTTCTAAGTGAGCAGTCCTTCAGCCCCTTCTCTTTTTAGGCTCCTAATTCCAGCCAGAGACAGATGGGTCTATGTAGCTGAAACACATGAGGTGTAATCTCAATTGAAGAAGTCCAGATTAATTCCTTTTGTCTGCACCTGGTTAATACTACTTCTAATAGGAAATAAAGGCATTTCCACGTTCCACAAGTGAGGCTTGGTGTGCAAAGATGGTATAGTCTCATAACAGAATACAACGTAATCTTTAAGAACATGTCATAAAACTACCTAAAGACATAGGAAAATGCTCATTATATGCTGATAATTTAAATAAATTAAAAAACAAATTTATGAAATAGCATGTACAGTGAAACTAATTTGTTTTCAAAATATGACTAGACCTAGGAAGAAAAGATGGAGCACTATTAGACCAAGAAAAGATTACTAGTGTTAGCCCCATGATACTTAAACCACAACAGCAACAAAACTACCTGAGAGTCAGGGAATTAAGTGACTTGTCCAATACTAAACAACTGGTAACTGGCAAAGCTTCAGCTGGAACCAGTTCTCAGATCCCCAATTCAATGTTCTTCCACTGGACCATTCGAATCTGCTCCTCCCTCAGACTGCTGGTGTCCTTCACAGGCATATACATCTCAGGAAGGACATATTATTTTGAAGTAGCCATACTGACATGAGCAGTCATTTAGATGTCCTTAGAAAATAGGGATTGATTTATTTATTTATTTTTAACTAGTTTTTATCTTGGCTTTCATTTTAGGTTCAGGGAGTACACATACAGGTTTGTTACACGGGTAAATTGCATGATGCTGAGGTTTGGTGTATGAATGATCTTGTCACCCAGGTAGTGAGCATAGTATACTATAGGCAGCTTTCAACCCCAGTGCTCCTACTGAGAGGTGACAGCGTGCTGGCAGCCCTCGCAGCCCTCACTCACTCTCGGTGCCTCCTCGGCCTTGGCTCCCACTGTGGCCGTGCTTGAGGAGCCCTTCAGGTCACTGCTGCGCTGTGGGAGCCCCTTTCTGGGCTGGCCAAGGCTAGAGCCTGTTCGCTCAGCTCGCAGGGAGGTGTGGAGGGAGAGGCGTGGGTGGGAACCAGGGCTGCACACGGTGCTTGCGGGCCAGCACAAGTTCTGGGTGACTGTGGGCTCAGCGGCCCTGCACTTGGAGCAGCTGGCTGGCCCGCAAGCCCCGGGCAGTGAGGGGCTTAGCACCTGGGCCAGCAGCTGCTGTGCTCGACTTCTCACGGGCCTTAGCTGCCTCCCCGTGGGGCAGGGCTTGGGACCTGCAGCCCGCCATGCCTGAGCCCTCCCCACCCCAACCCCCCACCATGGGCTCCTGTGTGGCGGGAGCCTCCCTGATGAGCACCACCCCCTGCTCCATGGAGCCCAGTCCCGCCAACCGCCCAAGGGCTGGGGAGTGTGGGCACATGGCTGGACTGGCAGGCAGCTCCACCTGTGGTCCCGGTGCGGGATCCACTGGGTGAGGAGGCTGGGCTCTTGAGTCTGGTGGAGACTTGGAGAACCTTTGTGTCTAGCTAAGGGATTGTAGGTACACCAATCAGCACTCTGTGTCTAGCTCAAGGTTTGTAAACACACCAATCAGCACCCTGTGTCTAGCTCAGTGTTTGTGAATACACCAATTGGCACTCTGTATCTAGTTAGTCTGGTGGGCACCTGGAGAACCTTTATGTCTAGCTGAGGGATTGTAAATGCACCAGTCAGCACTCTGTATCTAGCTCAAGGATTGTGGACACACCAATCAGCACCCTGTGTCTAGCTCAGGGTGTGTGAATGCACCAATAGGCACTCTGTATCTAGTTAGTCTGGTGGGGACTTGGAGAATCTTTATGTCTAGCTAAGGGATTGTGAATGCACCAATTGGCACTCTGTATCTAGCTCAAGGTTTGTAAATGCACCAATCAGCACTCTGTGTCTAGCTCAGGATTTGTAAATACACCAATTGACACTCTGTATCTAGCTAATCTAGTGTGGACATGGAGAACTTTTGCATCTAGCTCAGGGATTGTAAAGCACCAATCAGCACCCTGTCAAAATGGACTAATCAGCAGGATGTGGGTGGGGCCAGATAAGAGAATAAAAGCAGGCTGCCCGAGACAGCAGTGGCAACCCGCTTGGGTCCCCTTCCACGCTGTGGAAGCTTTGTTCTTTTGCTCTTTGCAATAAATCTTGCTACTGCTCACTCTTTGGGTTCACACTGCCTTTATGAGCTGTAACACTCACTGCGAAGGTCTGCAGCTTCACTCCTGAAGCCATCAAGACCATGAACCCACCGGGAGGAACAAACAACTCCAGACACGCTGCCTTAAGAGCTGTAACACTCACTGCGAAGGTCTGCAGCTTCACTCCTGAGCCAGCAAGACCACGAACCCACCAGAAGGAAGAAACTCCGAACACATCCGAACATCAGAAGGAACAAACTCCAGACACGCCGGCTTTAAGAACTGTAACACTCACCGTGAGGGTCCGTGGCTTCATTCTTGGTCAGTGAGACCAAGAGCCCACCAATTCCAGACACACTACCCCCCCATCTTCCCCGTTAATGTAGGCCCAAGTGGCTTTTGTTCCCATCTTTGTGCCCATGTGAATTCAATGTTTAGCTCCTGCTTATCAGTGAGAACATGAAGTATTTGGTTTTCTGTTTCTGCATTAGTTTGCTTAGGATAAAGGCCTCTAGCTGCATCCATGTTGCTGCAAAGGATATGATTTTGTTCCTTTTTATGGCTGCATAGTATTCTGTAGCATATATGTACCACATTTTCTTTATCCAGTCCACCACTGATGGGCATCTTGGTTGACTCCATGTCTTTGCTCTTGTGAATACTGCTGCAATGAACATATGAGTGCATATGTCCTTTTGGTAGAATGATTTATTTTCTTTTGGGTGTATACCCAGTAGTGGGATTGCTGGGTCAAATGATAGTTCTATTTTAAGTTGTTTGAGGAAACTCCACACCACTTTCCACGGTGGCTAAATTAATTTACATTCTCACCAACAGCGCATAAGTGTTCCCTTTTCTCTGCAAACTCCCCAACATCTGTTTTTTTTTTTTTTTTTTTGGACTTTTTAGTAATAGCCATTCTGATTGGTGTGAGATGGTATCTTATTGTGGTTTTGATTTGCATTTCCCTAATGATTAGTGGTGATGAACATTTTTCCATACATTTGGCCACATGTATGTCTTCTTTAGAGAAATGTCTGTTCATGTCCTTTTTAAATGTTTTTTTTTCTTTTTTTTTCCTGTTCAATTGTTTAAGTTCCTTACAAATTCTGGATATTAGACCTTTGTTGGATGGGTAGTTTGTGAATATTTTGTCCTATTCTGTAGGTTGTCTGTTTACTCTGTTGATAGTTTTGTTTGCTGTGCAGAAAGCAGCTCTTCCCTTAATTAGGTCTCTCTCATCAATTTTTGTTTTTGTTGCAATTGCTTTTGGGGACTTAGTCATAAATTCTTTCCCAAGGCTGATGTCCAGAATGTTATTTCCTAGGTTTTCTACTAACATTTTTATAGTTTTAGGTCTTATATTTAAGTCTTTAATCCAACTTGAGATAATTTTTGTATATGGTGAAAGGAAGGGATCCAGTTTCAATCTTCTGCCTATGCGAGCCAGTTAACCCAGCACCATTTACTGAATAGTAAATGATTCTGAGATGATCATATGGGGAGTCCTTTCCCCACTGCTTGGTATTGTTGATTTTGTCAAAGGTCAGGTGGTTGGAGGTGTGTGGCTTTACGTCTAGGTTCTCTATCCTGTTCCATTGGTCTATGTGTCTGTTTTTGTACCAGCACAATGATGTTTTGGTTACTGTAGCCTTTAGTATAGTTTGAAGTCAGGGAGTGTGATGCCTCCAGCTTTGTTCTTTTTGCTTAGGATTATTTTGGCTATTCAGGGTCTTTTTTGGTTCTACGTGAATTTTAGAATAGTCTTTTTTGGTTCTGTGAGAAATAATGGTGGTGGTTTGATAGGAATAGCATTAACTCTGTAAATTGCTTTGTGCAGTGTGGACATTTTAATGATATTGATGCTTCCTGTCCATGAGCACGGAATGTTTCTCCATTTGTTTGTGTCTTCTCTGATTTCTTTCAGCAGTATTTTGTAATTTTTGTTGTTGAGAACTTTTACCTCCTTGGTTAGCTGTATTCCTAGGCATTTTCTTCTTTTTGCGGCTATTGTACGTGGAATTGTGTTCTTCATTTGGCTCTCAGTTTAAATGTTATTGGTATATAGTAATGCTACTGAATTTTGTACATTGATTTTGTATCCTAAAACTTTACTAAAGTTGTTTACCAGTTCTCTGAGCCTTTTTGCAGAGTCTTTGGGGGTTTCTAGGTATAGAATCATATTGTTTGTGAAGAGAGAAACCTTGACTTCCTTTCTTCCTATTTAGATGCCTTTTATTTCTTTCTCTTGCCTGATTGCACTGGCTAGGATTTCCAGTATTATGCTGAATAGGAGTGGTGAGAGTGGACATCCTTGTCTTGTTCCAGTTCTCAAGAGAAAATGCTTACAGCTTTTGCCCATTCAGTATGATGTTGGCTGTGGGTTTGTCACAGATGGCTCTTACTATTTTGAAGTATGTTCCTTTGATGTCTAATTTGGTGAGGGTTTTTTAATATGAAGGGCTGTTGAATTTTATCAAAAGTCTTTTCTGCATCTATTGAGATAATTATGCAGTTTTCATTTTTAATTCTGTTTATGTGGGAAATTGCATTTATTGATTTGCGTATGTTGAACCAACTTTGCATCCAGGAATAAAGCCTATTTGATTGTGGTGGGTTAACTTTTTGATGTGCTGCTGGATTAGGTTTGTTAGTATTTTGTTGAAGATTTTTGCATCGATGTTCATCAGGAATATTGTCTGAAGTTTTCTTTTTTGGTTGTGTCTTTGCCAGGTTGTGGTGTCAGAATGATGCTGGGTTCATAGAATGAGTTAGGGTGGAATCTCCTCCTCCTCAATTTTTTGGAATAATTTCAGTAGGATTGGAATAATTTTACATGTGGTAGAATTTGGCTGTGAATCCATCTGGCTCTGGGCTTTTATTGGTTGGTTGGCTTTTTCTTACTGATACAGTTTTGGAGCTCATTATTGGTCTGTTCAAGGTTTCAATTTTTTCCTGTTTCAATCTTGAGAGGCTTGGATTTCCAGGATTTTATCCATTTCTTCTAGGTTTTCTAGTTTGTGTGCATAGAGGTTTTGATAATATTCGCTAAGGATTTTTTGTATGTCTGTGCGGTTGGTTGTAATGTCACTTTTGTCATTTCCAATTGTGTTTATTTGGATCTTCTCTTTTTTCTTTATTAATCTAGCTAGTGGCCTATCCATCTCACTTAATTTTTTGAAGAACCAGCTTTTGTCTGGATTTTCGCATCTCAATTTCATCAAGTTCAGCTATGACTTTGGTTATTTCTTTCTTCTGCTAGCTTTGGGGTTGGTTTCCTATTGTTTTTCTAGTTCTTCTTGGTGTGATGTTAGGTTGTTAATTTAAGATATTTCTAACTTCTTGATGTAGGCATTTAGCACTCTAAACTTTCCTCTTAACACTGCTTTAGTTGTGTCCCAAAGATTCTGGTATGTTGTATATCTGGTCTTATTAGTTTCAAAGAATTTTTTGATGTCTGCCTTAATTTCATTGTTTACTCAAAAGTCATTCAGGAGCAGGTTGTTAAACTACCATGTAATTGTATGGTTTTGACAGATCTTCTTGGTATTGATTTCTATTTTTATTGCTCTGTGGTCCAATAGTGTGGTTGGCATGATTTCTATTTTTTTTTTAATTTGTTGAGACTTGCTTTATGGGCAAGCATGTGGTTGATTTAGAGTATGTGCCATGTGCAGATGAGAAGAATGTATATTCTGTTGTTTTTGGGTGTAGTGTTCTGTAGATGTCTATTAGGTCCAATTGGTCAAGTGTTGAGTTTACGTCCAGAATATCTTTGTTAGATACTGCCTTGATGATCTGTCTAATCCTGTCAGTGGGGTGTTGGAGTCTCCCACTATTATCGTGTGGTTATCTAAATCTCTTCATAGATCTCTAAGAACTTGTTTTATGAATCTGGGTGCTCCATTAAGACTTCTTGTTGAATTGAATCCTTTATTATTACTACTACTAAGAAAGGATTATTATTATTATTGACCTTTTAGATTGTTGTTGGTTTAAAGTCTGTTGTATGTGATATAAGACTAGTAACCCCCAAATAGGAATTTTTTTTTCTCTAATAAATGATGCAGTAGTGTGCTCAACGGATATCCTCCCTCTTCTTGAATCTTTCATGGATGAAGAGGTATAGGCAAGCTGCTAGGCACTCTATGCATACACCCAGAGTACACAGGCTATTAAAAGTGGTGGATATCTCAGGACTTATTTAGCAGATGAGAAGACCAAAAGTCAGAGATAATTACCTTTACCCCCAGCTAGGAATGGACCCTCCCAAGGGCAAAGGGCCTCTTCCAGTCCCCTTTATCTTGTTTTGTAGAATCTACTAAAAAATAATGCTATTGTCTTTTAGAGGCTATTCCAGAAAAAGATCAGCCTACTCCAATATTGGCAGAAAGCTGTCAGCCAGTTCTCTCTTTTGGGTAGAATTATAGTCAATATGCTAGGGCAGGAAGGCTTTGAATAGATGTGTAGATTCAGTTGTTTTTATGGAGACTGTGCTAGCTTAATGGATATAAAAAGAAATGGGAGAGGATGGGAGTTAAATGGAGAAATAAGAGGGAGGTGAGCAATAGGTAAAAGGTATTATACATTTGCCATACTTGTTCATTAAATCTTCCCAATAATTGCCACAGATACTATCGCTACTCACAAGATGAACTTTGTGAGACTCAGAGAGGTGAAGCAACTTGTCCAAGTCATGCTGTAATAAATGATGGGGGGATTATTTAAACCTAGATTGCATTATTCCCAGGTGTACTGGGATTTCATTGTTCACTGGTGTACTAGAGATTTGTGTTGTTGTTGTTACTATCTTTCTAGTGGCAATAGATCAGTAAAGATTCTACACCTTTAGGAACCAAAGATTCACTGAGTTTGGGGTTCAGTTCTCAAGGTGGTTTAATAAAAATTGCAGAAGTAGAGCCTCTTCCATTCCATCAGTTTCATTTTTTCATATTTGTTGAATGAAGAATTAATGAATTCAGAACTTCCTCTGAACCTCTGTAGATTCCTACTCTGCCCCACTGTGAGCCATCTAGGTGAAGGTGTGCTATGGGCAGGGGTGTCCTAGAGCTGGGGTAGAGAGGGGCTTGCGCTGAGACAAGAGAGACTTTAGCACTAAGATGGCAGCTGGAACTGTGAGCATTGATGGTTCTCCAAGGAAGGGGGTGAGGGGAAAAGAAAATGAATGGTAATCTTAAAGTAGCATTTCCCAAAGTGTTCTTGATCAAAAATATATGGAAAAATTCAGTTAAATAAAACTCAATGTCTCTTTCTACACTCTGCCTCATGCTGGATTCCCAATATTTGGAAATAATTAGTACTATCAGACATATCACTGGCTCCTGGCTTATTGTTGGGATAAACTGCCAACTTTTAGGTGTTGTTGGGTAGAAATTAGCATTGGCTGGGAATTGAGACTGGAGGAAGGCAAGATGAAGTGGTCAGACATAAACAAACATTTATCAAAGTCGTTTTTCTTTGAGATGGGGTTTTCTCTGTCGCCCAGGCTGGAGTGCAGTGGCGCGATCTCGGCTCATTGCAACCTCTGCTTCCTGGGTTCAAGTGATTTTCCTGCCTCAGCCTCTCAAGTAGCTGGGATTACAGGTGCCTGCCACCACAGCCAGCTAATTTTTGTATTTTTAGTAGAGACGGGGTTTCACCATGTTGGCCAGGCTGGTTTCAAACTCCTGACCTCATGTGATCCATCCACCTCGGCCTCGCAAAGTGCTGGAATTACAGGTGTAAGCCACCATGCCCAGCACAAAGTCCTTAATATTTTAATGTACGTTGTTGAATCACCAAGAAGAGGACCCAGCAACCAAAGCAGAGAGTTTAGAAGACAAAAATAATATCGTTACTTTTCTTAACTCTGTCTTCTCTTCTTCTGGATATCAAGCTCAAAAAGCTGTAAATCCTTGGTGTTCTATGATTTATTTAATGCATTGTGGTAAACTGTTATCAAGGATGCTGGTAATGACATACAGCAACAGAGATGTTGCTCTGTATTTCTTCAGAAATTTTCAGTCTGTGTAAAGCTGGATTCCCAATATTTGGAAATAATTAGTACTCTCAGACATATCACTGGCTCTTCGCTTATTGTTGGGATAAATTGCCAAATTCTTCTAGGTGTTGTTGGGTAGAAATCAGCATTGGCTGGGGATTGAGACTGGAGGAAGAGCAGGATGAAGTGGTCAGACACAAACAAGTTTCAGGAAGAGGTATGCTGCTGTTTTTTGTAACTGACACCAGAATGGATCATCCTTCTTTGTTGTCTCTATCTTGGGATCAGGTGTCTCTTCTCTTCTCTCTTTTTAAAAAATGGAGATGCTTGTGGCCCTGCAGGTTAACATGCCCTAATGTACCATTACTGACACTCCAGCTGCCACACACGCTCATCGCAGTAGACACAACATGTGCTTACATATATGTGCATGCAGGCATACCCACACAGCAGCAACTGAGCTGAAACTTGTCACAGAATCCTGAATATTTTACCTCATGTGGAAAATAATGTTGAAATGGCAGAGAAATAGACAAGATCAAGAAGGCAAGTATCTTACTGGTAAGGCTACCAAAAAGCCTCACACTCTAGATCAAACTAAATCTGCAAGGCAGGGATCCCTCTTGTCTAAATCACAAGGAGCTAGAGAACACTGAGATTGCACTGCTTGGTATTCCACAAATAAATCTCCAATGTCTGACTCATCCACCAAATGTCTCATCCAATGGTGTCATAGGTGGCATATCTCCATCCCTGTAACCTTGAACTGGCAGCTTTGCCACTTTAACCTCCAGTGTTGACCCAGCTCTACCCTCACCCAGGTTCTGAACTGGTTACCACTTCTAGCCCCAGGCAAACAGCACTGATAGAAACCCAGCTCAACAGATTCCTCCCTTCACTGTGAGCTGCTACAGACCCTGATGTGACTTTGGTGACCCCAGTCTTGATGACCCCTGGCCCTGATCCCAGCTACTCTGGTGCTGGGTTTGGTCCCTGAACCCTGATCTGGGCTGGGTCTGGTGAGATGAATCATAGGTAGGTTACACCAGGCTGTCAACTTATGCAACGGAATCATGCCACCACTTCTTTAGGGGTCATTTGGATCTTCAGTGAGGCCAGTTTGTTAAAATCCCTCTGATATCTGTTTCTCTTTCCCTGATCCACCATCACAGTCCCAGTGCAAGTTATCATCCTCTATCACCTGAATGACTGGCTTCTAACTGTTCTCCCTGCTTTTACTCTTGGTGTGAAATAATTAATTTTTCCCCATTTTTCACACAACAGAGTAATCTTTTAAACATCAGTCAGGTTATTCTAGCTGCTGTATTTAAAAAAATCCAAAATCTTCAGTATGACCTACAAATGACCTACCACCCCATTTTATACAATTCCTCCTTGCTCACTATTTCCGGCCACCCTAATTTCCCACCTATTCCTGGAATACATCAAGATCTTTGAACTTACTGTTTCCTCTACCCAGAATGCTCTTTCACTGGCTCTCTTGGCTGTCTTTCTCATCCTTTAGGTCTTACCTTAAATGTCACCTCCTCCTGAGTTACTCTCTCTGACATGTCCCTTATTTTTTTGTTGTAGTACTTATCTGTAATCACCCACACTGTAATATGTAATTATAATTTGCAATGCAAACACATCACTATTTGTTTACTTGCATATTGTCAACTCTTCAGTTCCAATCCCCTCCAAACTGTAACCTATTGAGGGCAGAGACTTTTCTGTTTTGTTCACAGTTTAATCCTCAGTACCTAGCAGAGCATCTGGGGCTCAATAAATACTTGCTGAATGAATAAATGGATTCTCCTCATCTTCTTCTTCTTCTACCTCCTTTATCCAGTTCACCACCAGATCTTGTGGATTTTACCTTGTAAATAACTTTTTTTTTTTTTTTTTTTGAGACAGAGTCTCGCTCTGTTGCCAGAACTCTGTCGCTGGAGTGCAGTGGCATGATCTCGGCTCACTGCAACCTCTGCCTCCCTGGTTCAAGCGATTCTCCTGCCTCAGCCTCCCGAGTAGCTGGGACTACAGGCTCCTGCCACACCGCCTGGCTAATTTTTTGTATTTTAGTAGAGGCGGGGTTTCACCATGTTGGCCAGGCTGGTCTTGATCTCCTGACCTCATGATCCGCCCGCCTCAGCCTCCCAAAGTGCTGGGATTACAGGTGTGAGCTACCATGCTTGGCCCGTAAATAATTTTTGATTCTTTTCAGCTCTACCACTATGGCCCTGTGTTAAGCTACCATCAACTCTCCCACAGCCTGCTGTTACAGCCTCCTACACTTAACTACCTGCATCCACTTGGGCCCCCCTCCAATCCATTATTCTGCTTGCAGTGGCAGGATCTTTGAATACAGAAACCTGTTCATCTTGTTTGAATCACTTCAATGGACTCCCTTTGCTGTTAGAGTCAAGAGCACAATTCTTAACAGGGTCTGCAATGAGACCATGCCTGCCTTGTTTAGTCTCCTACAACCCCCAACCTCATTTTCTGCTCCACACCCCCTCACTCTGCTTAGATGTGACTATGCCTATGCCAATATCTTTCTAACGTATAGAGCCTAGAAATTCTAGTCCTTGTATTAATAACACCAAAAATAATAGCTAACATTTATTGAACATTTTTTTTTCTGTGGCAGGCTATGCTAAGTACCTGAAATTTTGTCCTTTCAACCACTATCAGAATGGTACGGTTATTACTTTCATTTGTACAGATAACTATAGTTTTTAGTCCTTCTTCCCTTTTTGTGCAGCATGAGAACTTCTGAGAAACCTTCCAGATCTCAGATTTCTCTGTTTGGTGTAAGATGAGCTGATAAGCTGAATGTCAAAATCCAGCCTCAAGGCCTTTGCACATGTTCCTTCTCTTGGGAATCTGCTTCTTCTCACTCATTGTTACATTATTCCTACTCGTTCATTGGATTTCAACTCACACGTCAATTACTTTAGGGAAACATCCTGAATCTTCCTTGCCCCTTTCCCATCTATCACACAAGATTGGGTACCATCAGCTACATACCTCATAGAATTGTATTTTCCTGGCCAGGCGTGGTGGCTCACACCTGTAATCCCAGCACCGTGGGAGGCCGAGGCAGGCAGATTGCTTGAACTCAAGAGTTTGAACCAGCCTGGGCAACAAAGAAAGACCCTGTCTCTACAAAAAACTACAAAAAAATTAACCGGGCATGGTGGCATGTGCCTGTAGTCCCAGCTACTCAGGAGTGGGAAGATGGCTTGAGCCCGGGAGATGGAGGTTGCAGTGAGCTGAGATCATGTCGCTGCACTCCTGCATGGGTGACAGAGCCAGACCTTGTCTCAAAAAAAAAAAAAAATTTTACTTTCCCTTCACTGCACTCAAAACAAGTTCTAGACAAATATTCATTGCTATAGTTATTTGTTTACTGTTTGTCTCCTTTGTTAGACAGTCAGCTCCACGTGGATGAGGTCTGTGTAGTTCACCACTGTATGTTCAATGCACAGCACAATGCCTGGCATATAGTAAGCACTCAATAAATATATGTTGAATGAATGGATACAAATCAAAAAGTAGACATTCCAAATGGCAAAATTACATTTGTAAATTATGCATGATTAACAGTATCTCACTGTTGATGAGGCACTCTTTCATGTGTCAAAAGTCACTCATGACATATAAGCTACTACCTTTCTAACTTACAGAGCCTAGAAGTTCTAGTCCTTGTATTAATAATAATAACACCCAAAATAATAGCTAACATTTAATGAGCACTTTTATGTGCCCGGCTATACTAAATACCTGAAGTTTAGTCCTTTCAACCACTATTAGAATGGTATAGTTATTACTCTCGTTTGTACAGATAACTATAGTTTTTTGTCCTTATTCCCTATTTATGCAGCATAAGAACTCTGAGAAACCTTCCAGATCTCAGATTCCTCTGTTTGGTGAAAAATGAGTTGATAAGTTAAATGTCAAAAGAACTTCCAGGTAACTAAGGAAACTGACCAGATCCTTCTAAAATTCCATAGACACCCCAGACTGAAGTCATTTGCCACACAGGTTGCAGGAAGCTAAAAACAATGGTGGTAGTGATTCAAACTGTGTCCTGCCTGCCTTCTATGATTTCCCTTGCCCATGATCAAGTACTGGAAAAGTCAGGTAAAATGGACATCACATCAAGGACAAGGTAGCCCTGAAGGGACAAACGTGCAGCCCAAGGAGAGTACAAGGGGAAAGAAAAGCCCTCACCCAGTTAGGATTTGATGATGTGGCTGTCTGTGAACTGACTGTCTGTAGGAGGTGTACCCATCAAGAAACAAGATTAATTTGACAAATATACTTAAGCAGTAATGCCTAACATTTGTATAGGGCTTAATCATTTGCAAAAGAGCTTTCATGTCCCTGACCTAATTTGAGTCTCATAACAGCTTGTGAAAAGTGGACATTATGAACACCCCATTAAAGATGAGCAAACACAGGCTCTGTGAGGGTAAGGACCTAACTGAGGTCCACAGCCCTCAAGAAACAGCCTTGGCTCAGTTCTAGTGGTTATGATCCCCAACACTTCTGCAACCTCATGCACCTGTCCTTCAGATACAGTCTCTCTGAGGGCAGGTCTTGTTGGTCACTTCTGACATGGGTGCCTCTCATGGCAATTTCTGAGCTGTCCAAGAAAACCAATTATACCTGACTTGGCACCAAAATCTTGTCACACGGCTTAATCATTACCTTATTCACTGGACTTCAATGGCTCCTGGCAACTCTGACCTATTTTGAAAAATCAAATCCTTTTTCCAAGGTGGAAACTTTGACAAAACTGATGATATTCCAAAAAGTGGGATATATAGAAACCTACCCTGAATAATGTTCACCAAATATTAATGATGAACTTTCAGGTGCTTTTAAAAAAACCTTTAAATTTGTGTTCTTTTCTGCATGATTTGAGATCTCCGTAATAATCTGTGCTTCACTTTAATAAGAAACAATAGAAAGAGGTTTCTTAAATAAAGAAAAACGTTGGAAGCAAATAGGCCAAAATATTTACAGTAGCTAATTATGAGTTGTGGATGTAGATAGATGGCTGTCATCTTTTTTTGTGCATTCCTGCACTCAACTCCCTAAGAATCTCTTGAGCGACGTGGAAGCATCATGGGATAAGCAGAAAGCTTTTCAAGGGGCTTTACTTAAAAGGGGACCACATTCATTTGGTCGTGCACATACCAGCATGATGGTTTAAAATAAATCAGCAGATTGTTTGCCTCATACAAAGCCCAGCTGTCCAGCTGTGCCCTTAGTTCACCCATGGAGGCAGAGGGCCGTAATCATGGTATGGCCCAGCTTTCTCAAGTGCATAGGCAAAGACTTTCTCCGTCTGTTATTCAAGATGCTAGAGGCAGTTATGTTCGAGATGGCAGCAAAAGCAAGGATAGACCTACCTCCTTCCTTCTTCTACCTGCTTCCTTAGCAGTCTGGAAAACTCTGCTTTAAGTCCCTTGAATGTGTGGCATGGATTAGTCTCTCAGTGATGCATTCCACACTTCTGTGGTTAATAAATGACTGAAGAAAAGCAAGTCATTTATCATGGGCTTTCGTGTGACCCTTTGTCCAGTCAATGAAAAAATACTGTGCTATGAATGCTTTCAAACAAGGAATTTGCCTTACTACCCTGCTGCCACGTGTCCAGTTAGGGGACATGGTCTTTTTTTAGTCACTTTCAGTCCAAGGACTCCTTAGCAGCCAGGAGAGATTTTATTTGGTTAAATTCTAGCCATTAGAGTCTAGGATGTAAAGTGTACCTATACAGTTTATGTACAAAATGAATGACAATTGAGTTTACCTGAATAGTAGTACATCTTTCCCTGTTGGATCAGAGTTGGGACTTAGATATGTTCAGAATGTGGCATTAAATGATCTCAGTGATCTGCCTGCTTCTGTATCCATCCCAC
Source organism: Homo sapiens (assembly GCF_000001405.40). Taxonomy (NCBI): domain Eukaryota; kingdom Metazoa; phylum Chordata; class Mammalia; order Primates; family Hominidae; genus Homo; species Homo sapiens. The sequence goes on along the minus strand of NC_000003.12, from coordinate 122,214,518 downwards.
CTCCTCACTGAGGTTTACGCCTTCTGAACTAAGAGAACAACAATGTCATCCCTTCATTATCCTGTCTGAGCCATAGAAGAGATAGTCTGCATAGAGTTAGTTCAATGGTTCTGGACTGCGGATTAGGAGGACTGGGTCCTCTTCAGCTCTGCAATTGTTTGTCTATACTGCCCCCCACCCCCGCCACCTTGAGATACTATATAGCCACTGTGGCATATTTTAAAAGAAGTTCTGAAGAATGCCCTTTGTTTTTCCTTTACAAGACAGCATAAATTAAAGTCTTTAATGAGAAAAATGGATACGCTCCATTAAAGAATCTTCAAACGGATACTGTATGTAGAAAAAAAGAAATCAGGGCCATAAAGTAGAATCAACAAACCTAAAAGAGCCAATGACAGGATCTGGCACAGAGATTAGCAGGACAAAGAGACAAAGAGATAGTAAGCAACAACAACAAAAACCCAGGCACTTTCAGCAGTCACCTTGGAGTTTTCAGGAAGAGGACATGACACGGGGTCAAGTGTTGAGGAGCTAAACATGGGCAGACAAGACACTGATATGGGTCCAGAACAATGGCAGATCCTGGTTAGAAGAGACAATCATGTGGAAGAAATGAGAAACCTATTCTCAGGTGGAGGGCTGTCCCTCTCAGCAACCACAGCTGCAATAGTCAGGAGCCAGTATGAGTAAGTCATCTCAGATCATCCTTGCCTTCTCTTTGCCATGGTCACTGAAACGATGTTGATTTCAGTAATTCAGCTAGGTTTTTTGACACTGGCTTAGTAATTGTACCCAAATAGTAAGCAAAACTATAGAAGAGTCTGGATTATATATAGGCAATATATGAGCCACAGGGTCCAGGTAACTACTAAAGTGGGTTATTAACAAGGACCAGGAGGACCAAGAGACGTATCATACTCAGCCTTGGCCCAGAATTCATATGGGGTATGGTGCCAAGTATGTATATTTCAGTCTTAGAGAGAGGACCCAAACGAGCCAGTGTTTGTCCAAGCTGGACAATGAAAGCTTGGTAATGAAGCCATAAAGAGGAAACAATTATGGGAACTAACTCTGAGAGTTTGCCTGGAGAACTCTAGTCAGGACATGATTGGGGTCTGCAGGATGCTGAAAGAGGTCTTAGTGTTTTCCTGGGTGGGTACGGACAATACGGCTGCAGGCACAAATTAAAGGGAGACAGATTTTGATGTGATGTAAGGAAGAATTTTCTAACCATGAGATCTGCACAATAATGCACTAGGTTTTCAAAAGAGCACGAGAAAAATGTCCTTCTTCCAACAATGAGGACTGTGCAACAATGGAAATACATGTGATGGTGTAAAAGCATTCAAAAAGAGGCTGAATGATCATCTCTGAGGGAGGCCAAGAGGGCATCTGGCCCTGGGTATGTGTGGACGTGAGATCTGCATGTCCCACTAGAAGAATCTGCAATTCTAAGAACTATCTTGAACTATATTGTACCTTGCTTTCTGGGCGCTTAGGTAATTTTACCTTGAGTCTCACAAGAGTAAATGCATCCCAGAACAATGAAGTAACTTGCTTAAAAATTGTAGAAAATCGGCCAGGCACTGTGGCTCATGCCTGTAATTCTAGCACTTTGGGAGGCCGAGGCAAGCGGATCACCTGAGGTCAGGAGTTTGAGACCAGCCTGACCAACATGGAGAAACCCCGTCTCTACTAAAAATACAAAAATTAGCCACGCATGGTGGCACATGCCTGTAATCCCAGCTACTCGGGAAGCTGAGGCAGGAGAATTGCTTGAACTTGGGAAGCGGAGGTTGTGGTGAGCCGAGATCGCGCCATTACACTTCAGCCTGGGCAACAAGAGGGAAACTCTGTCTCAAAAAAAAAAAAAAATTGTAGAAAATCTGGAATCAAAACTCTTCCTAGGGATATAATTCTCATTGATTTCTTTTTTTAAAAAAATTATTTAATTTTATTTTAAGTTCCGGTATACATGTGCAGGATGTGCAGGTTTGTTACACAGGTAAACATGTGCCGTGGTGGTTTGCTGCACCTATCAACCCATCACCTAGGTATTAAGCCCAGCATGCATTAGCTATTTATCCTGATGTGCTCCCTGACCCCAACTTCCACAGGCCCCAGTGTGTGTTATTCCTCTCCCTGTGTCCATGTGTTCTCATCGTTCAGCTCCCACTTATAAGTGAGAACATACCGTGTTTGGGTTTCTGTTCCTGAGTTAGTTTGCTGAGGATAATGGCTTCCAGCTCCATCCATGTCCCTGCAAAGGACATGATCTGGTTTCTTTTTATGGGTGCATAATATTCCATGGTGTATATGTACCACATTTTCTTTATCTAGTCTAACATTGATGGGCATTTGGGTTGGTTCTATGTCTTTGTTATTGTGCACGGTGCTGCAATGAACATAAGTGTCCATGTATGTTTATAATAGAATGATTTATATTCCTTTGGGTATATACTCAGTAATGGGATTGCTGGGTCAAATGCTATTTATCGTTCTAGGTCTTTGAGGGATGCCACACTGTCTTCCACAATGGTTGAACTAATTTGCATTACACTAACAATGTAAAAGCATTCCTATTTCTCCACAGCCTCATCAGCATCTGTTGTTTCTTTACTTTTTAATAATCACCATTCCGACTGGCATGAGATAATATCTCATTGTGGGTTGGTTTCGTGTTTCTCTAATGATCAGTGATGTTGAACTTTTTTTCATGTTTATTGGCCGCATAAATGTTTTCTTTTGAGAAGTGTCTGTTCACGTCCTTTGCCCACTTTATTTTTATTTATTTTTATTTTTTGGTGGCAGAGGACAAGGTCTCACTCTGTTACCCAGGCTGGAGGGCAGTGGCACGATCTAGGCTTACTGCAACCTCCACCTCCCAGGCTCAGGCACTTCTTGTGTCTCAGCCTCCTGAGCAGCTGGGACTACAGGGGTGTGCCACCACGCCCAGCTAGTTTTTTTATTTTTAGTAGAGACAGGGTTTTGCCATGCTGGCCAGACTGGTATTGAACTCTTGGCCTCAAGTGATCCACCTGCCTTGGCCTCCCAACATGTTGGGATTACATGTGTGAGCCCCTGTGCCTGGCCCCTTTGCCTACTTTTTAATGGGGTTGTTTTTTTCTTGTAAATTTGTTTAAGTTCCTTGTAGATTCTGGATATCAGGCCTTTGTCAGATGGATAGATTGCAAAAGTTTTCTCCCATTCTGTAAGTTGTCTGTTCACTCTGACGATAGTTTCTTTTGCTGTGCAGAAGCTCTTTAGTTTAATTAGATCCCATTTGTCAGTTTTTGCTTGTGTTGCAATTGCTTTTGACATTTTTGTCATGAAATCTTTGCCCGTGCCTATGTCCTGAATGGTATTGCCTAGATTTTCCTCTAGGGTTTTGATAGTTTTAGGTTTTAAATTTAAGTATTTAATTCATCTTGAGTTAATTTTTGTATAAGGTGTAAGGAAAGGATCCAGTTTCAACTTTCTGCATATGGCTAGCCCATTCTCCCAACACCATTTATTAAACAGAGAATCCTTTCCCCATTGCTTGTTCTTGTCACATTTGTCAAAGATCTGATGGTCATAGATGTGCAGTCTTATTTCTGAGTACACTATTCTGTTCCATTGGTCTACGTGTCTGTTTTTGTACCAATACCCTCCTGTTTTGGCTACTGTAGACTTGTAGCACAGTTTGAAGTTGGGTAGCATGATGCCTCCAGCTTTGTTCTTTTTGCTTAGGATTATTTTGGCTATATGGGCTCTTTTTTTTGGCTCCATATAAATTTTAAAGTGGTTTTTTCTAATTCTGTGAAGAATGTCAATAGTTTAATGGGAATAGCATTGAATCTACACATTACTTTGTGCAGTAAGGCCATTTTCATGATATTGGTTCTTCCTATTCATGAGCATGGAATGTTTTTATATTTGTTTTTGTCCTCTCTGATTTCCTTGAGCAGTGGTTTGTAGTTCTCCTTGAAGAGGTCCTTCACTTCCCTTGTTAGCTATATTCCTAGGTATTTTATTCTGCTTGTAGCAATTGTTAATGGGAGTTCATTCATGATTTGGTTCTCTGCTTGTATATTGCCGGTGTATAGAAATGTCTGTGATTTTTACATATTGATTTTTGTATCCTGAGACTTTGCTGAAGTTGCTTATCAGCTTAAGCAGCTTTTGGGATGGGACAATGGGGTTTTCTAGATATAGGATCATGTCATCTGCAAACAGAAACAGTTTGACTTCCTCTCTTCCTATTTGGATGATTTTATTTCTTTCTCTTGCCTGATTGCCCTGGCCAGAACTTCCAATGCTATGTTAAATAGGAGTGATGAGAAATGGCATCCTTGTCTTGTGCCAATTTTCAAGGGGAATGTTTCCAACTTCTGCCCATTCAGTATGATATTGGCTGTGGGTTTGCCATAAATAGCTCTTATTCTTTTGAGGTATGTTCCATCAATACCTAGTTTATCGAGAGTTTTTAACATGAAGGGATATTGAATTTTATCAAAGGCCTTTTATGTGTCTATTGAGATAATCATGTGGTTTTTGTCTTTAGTTCTGTTTATATGATGAATTACATTGATTTATTTGTGTAATTTGAACCAGCCTTGCATCCTGGGGATGAAGCCCACTTGATTATGGTGGATAAGCTTTTTGATGTGCTGCTGGCTTCGGTTTGCCAGTATTTTATTAATTTTTGTATTGATGTTCATCAGGGATATTGGACTGAAGTTTTCTTTTTTTGTTGTATCTCTGCCAGGTTTTGGTATCAGGATGATGTTGGCCTCATAAAATGAGTTAGGGAGAAGTCCCTTGATATGGTTTGGCTCTGTGTCCCCACCCAAATCTCATCTTGAATTGTACTCCCATAGTTCCCACGTGTTGTGGGAGGGACCTTGTGGGAGATAATTGAATCATGGGGGCAGGTCTTTCCCATGCTATTCTTGTGACAGTGAATAAGTCTCATGAGATACGATGGCTTCATAAGGCAAAATTTTCCTGCACAAGCTCTCTTTGTCTGACACCATCCACATAAGATGCGACCTGCTCCTCCTTGCCTTTTGCCATGATTGTGAGGCTTCCCCAGCCACATGGAACTGTAAGTCCAATTAAACCTCTTTCTTTTGTAAATTGCCCATCTTTATCAGCAGTGTGAAAACGGACTAACACATCCCTCCTTTTCAATTGTTTGGAATAGTTTCAGAAGAAATGGTACCAGCTCCTCTTTGTACCTCTGGTAGAATTCAGCTGTAAATCCTTCTGGTCCTGGGCTTTTTTTTAGTGTGAGGATGTTTCAGAGAGACTGCTTTAGGGCAGTGTTCTTCAAAGTGTGGACTCTAGGACCAGCAGCATCAGCATCAACTGGAAACTTCTTAGAAAGGCAAATTTTCAGACCTACTGAGTCACGTAAACTCTGGGGTGGAGCCCAACAATGTGTGACTCTGATACACACTTGAGTTTAAGTACTACTGCATTAGGAGGTGGTTTTTGGCTGGGGACTTAGAAATCCTGCCCTCAAGGTTTCAGGGGAAATGGTATATACTGAGAATATTAGCTGAGATCCCCAAGCCCCAATGTCGAACTCTAGTGACTGAGAGTGAACTACACAAAAGATCTTTTTCCTCCACTACGTTAGCCTAAATAATCTACATCTAAGGCGTGCACTCTTTCCTTTTTCTCCAAGGCTAAACTTCAGGTTCACTCTTTCTAATCAGTATGAGGAAGGCATGTTCCAAAATACGTAGCCATTCAGTGCTGGAGGGAAAGAAGCCAGACATGCTTTCCACACATTCCAGGTCTCCAGAGGCCAACTCATTAGTCTCAGATGTCTGCTCCCATGGGGAGAAAGATAAAATTGATAAAATTCAACATCCTTTCAAGGGAAGACCTTAGCAAGCTGGGAGTTGAAGGAAATATCATTAATGTAATAAACAGTGATCATTAAAAAAATCTATGCCCAATACCACATTTACTGACAAAAATCTTAAAAGTCTTTCCTTTAAAAATCAAGAGCAAGACAAGGATGCCCCATCATCACTTCTCTTTATCATTTTCCCAGAGGTTTCAGCCAGCTTAGTAGTATAACAAAAATATATCAAGCATGTAAGGTTTAGAAAAAAAAGATCATTAATTACAGAAAACATGATAATCTTAACATCTACATACAAATAATTAGAATTAATAAGAAAATTTAGGCTGGGTGTGGTGACTGTATTCCTAGCTGCTCAAGAGGCTAAGGTGGGAGAATCACTTGAGCCCAGCTTAAGCAGCATGGTGAGACCCGTCTAAAGAAAAAACAAAGAGAGAATTTAGCAAAGTTGCTTGATATAAAGTATAAAAGAATCATTTGTATTTCCATTAATAATTGATAAGTGAAATATATACTTTGTAAGTAGATACTACTTAAAATAAAAAGTTTCTCAAAAATAACATGAACTATTCAAGTTTTTCCACTTTTTTGAGATATTCATTTATTGCTATGAACTCCCTTCTTAGTACTACTTTTGCTATAATAATAACACATTTTGTTATTATTAGACCTAAAGGGAGAGATAGACTGCAATACAGTAATAGTAGGGGACTTTCACACCCACTCTCAGTAACGGACCAATCATTCACAGAGAAAATCAACAGGGAAACAACAGAGTTAATGCTATGAACTTCCTTTTCAGGAAGGAAGTTTATTTACTTCCTTCTCAGCAAAGAAGTTTATTCTTAGGAATGAAGTTTATTACAAGTAGTTGCTACTTACAACAGTAACGAAAAGTAATTTTCTGAAAAATAAAATGAACCATTGAAGTCTTTCTACTTTTTTGATATAAGCATCTTTATTGCTATGAACCTCCTTCTTAGTACTGCTTTTGTTGTATCCCATAGATTTTAGTACGTTGCATTTCCATTTTCATTCATTTCAAGACATTTTAAAATGTCCTTCTTAATTTCTTCATTGACTCATTGGTGTTCAGAAACATAGTGTTTAATTTCCATGTGTTTGTGAAGTTTCCGAAGTTCCTCTTCTCATTGATTTCTAGTTTTATTTCATAGTAGTCAGAAAAGATACTTGATATAATTTCTATTTTTTAAAAAATGTGTTTGGACTTGTTTTGTGGCCTAAGATATGGTCTATTTGGAGAATGTTTCATGTGCTGATGAAAATAATGTGTATTCTACAGCAGTTGGGTGAAATGTTCTATAAATGTCAGTTAGGCCTATTAGGTGTGTTGTGTAGTTTAACTCTGATGTTTTCCTGTTGATTTTCTGTCTGATCTGCCCATTACTGAGCATGAGGTGTTAAAGTCCTCTACTTGTTGTAGGGGACTTTGCAATACAATACCATTGTATTGCAGTCTATCTCTCCCTTTAGAGCTATTAATATTTGCTAATATGCACCTCACGGAACTACAAAAGCAAGAACAAACCAAACCCCAAATTAATGGAAAGAAATAATAAAATTAGAGCAGATATAAATGAAATTGAGACTTAAAAAAATGGGTCGACAAAATGAAAAATTGTTTTTTTGAAAAGATAAACAAAATTCACAAACTTTTGACTAGAGTAAATAAGAAAAAAAGAGAAGCCCCAACTAAATACTATCAGAAGCAAAAAAAGGAAACAACAATTGAGACTGAAGAATTACAAAGAATCATTAGAGACTGCTATGACTATTGTGCCAACAAACTGGAAAATCTAGAAGAAATGGATAAATTCCTGGACACATACAATCTACGAAGGTTGAAACATGAGGAAATGCAAAACCTCAATAAACCAATATTGAGTAATGAAATAGAAGCCATAATAAAAGTCTCTCATCAAAGAAAAGCCCAGGACCTGATGCTTCACTGATGAATTCCATCAAATGTTTAAAGAAGAATTAATACCAACTCTACCCAAACACTTCAAAAAAATTAAAGAAGAGAGAATACTTACAAACTCATTGTTCGAGGTCAGCGTTATCCTGATACCAAAACCAGATGAGGACACAGCAAAAAAAGAAAACTTACAGGCCACTATTCCTGATAGACATAGATGTAAAAATTCTCAACAAAATACTAGCACAATGAATGCAACAACACATTAAAAAAATCATTCACCATGATTAAGTAGGATTCATCCCAGGGATGCAAGGATGGTTCCACATACTCAAATCAATAACCATGAAACATCACATTAACAGAACCAACAACAAAAACTGTATGATTTTAATAGATATTTAAAGGGCATTTGATAAAATTCAACGTATCTTTATGATAAAAAAAAAAACCCTCATCAAACTGGGCATAGAAGGATCATACCTCTAAAACAATAAAGACCATACATGACAAAGCCACACCTAACATCATAGTGAATGGAGAAAAATTAAAGGACTTTCCTTTACAATATGGAAGAAAACAAGGATGACTATTTATACCACTTTTATTCAATGCAGCACTGGAAGTCCTTGGCTAGAATAATTAGGCAAAAGAAAGAAATAAAGAACATCCAAATAGGAAAGGAAGAAGTCAAATTAGCCTTATCTACAGACAACATGATCTTATAATGAGAAAAACCTAAAGACTCCACCAAAAAACTATTAGAACTGACAAATGAATTCAGTAAAGCTGCAGGATACAAAAATCAACACTCAAAAATCAGTAACATTTATATACACCACCAGTGAACAATCTGAAAAAGAAATCATAAAAAAATCCTATTTATAATAGCTACAAAGAATATAAAATATCTAGGAATAAATTTAATCAAATAAGTGAAAAATCTATATAAGGAAAGCTATAAAACACTGATAAAAGAAATTGAAGAGGACACACACAAAAAATGAAAAGCTATTCCATGCTCATGGATTAGAAGAATTGTTATTGTTAAAGTGACAATAGTACCCAAAGCAACTTACAGATTCAATGCAATCCCTATCAAAGGACCAATGACATTCTTCACAGAAATAGAAAATAAAATCCTAAAATTTACAAGGAACTACAAAAGACCCTGAATAGCCACAGAGCAAAGAACAAAGCCAGAGGCATCACACTACTTGACTTTAAAATTTACTACAAAGCTATAGTAACAAAATCAGCATAATGGCATAAAAAAACAGACATGTAGAACAATGGAACAGAAGAGAGAACCCAGATAGAAATCCATGCATTTACAGCCAAGTCAGCTTTGATAAAGGTGCCACAAACATACAATGGGGAAATCATAGTCTCTTCAATAAGTGGTGCTGGGAAAACTGGTAACTTCCCATATGCAGAAGAATGAAACTAGACTCCTGTCTCTCACCATACACCAAAATCAAGTCAAAATTGATTTAAAAATATAAGACCCGAAACTATGAAATTAACAGAAGAAAGCACTCAGGAAATGCTTCGGGACATTGGTCTGGGCAAGGATTTTTTTGGGTAAGACTTCATAAGCACAAATAACAAAAAGGAAAAATAGAAAAATGGGATTACATCAAACTAAAAAGCTTCTTTACAGCAAAAGAAACAATCAACAAAGTGGACAGACAACCCACAGAATGGGAGAAAATACATACAAACTGCCCATCTGACAAGGGATTAATAACCAGAATATATAAAGAACTCAAAACAACTCAATAGCAAAAAAATGAATAATGCAATTAAAAAATGGGCAAAAGATCTGAATAGACATTTCTCAAAAGAAGACATACAAATGGTTGACAAGTATATGAAAAAATACTCAACATCATGTATCATCAGAGACATGCAAATCATACTATAACATGATATTATCTTAGCCCAGTTAAATCGGTTTTTATAAAAAAGACAGGCAATAATAAATGTTAGTGAGAATGAGGAGAAAGGGGAACCTTCATACACTGTTGGTGAGGATGTAAATTAGTACAGCCACTATGGAGAATAGCTTGGAGGTTCCTCAAAAAATGAAAAATAGAACTACCATATGATCTAACAATTCCACTACTGGACAGATATCTAAAAAAGTCAATATATCAAGAAGATATTTGCACTCCTATGTTTATTGCAGCACTGCTCACAATAGCCAAAATATGGAATCAACCTGAAGTGCCCATCAACGGATGAATAAATTAAGAAAATATGGGGCCTGTCCGCAATGGAATATTATTCAACCATAAAAAAGAATGAAGTCCTGTCATTTATTGTAACGTGGATGGAACTAGAGATCATTATAGTAAGTAAAATAAGCCAAGCATAGAAAGACAAATATCGCATGTTCTCATTTACATATGGGGGCTAAAAAGTGGATCTCATGAAAACAGAGAGGAGACTAGTGGTCACCAGAGGCTTGGGGGATGAAGAGAACTTGATTAATGGGTACAAATACAAGGTTTGATAAAATAAATAAGACAGTGTTTAGATAGATCAGCAGGGTGACTTTAGTTTACAATAATCTATTGTATATTTCAAAATAGCTAGAAGAGAAGAATTGGAATGGTCCTAGCCTAAAAAATGACAAGTATTTAAGGTGATGGATATCCCAAGTACACTGATTTCATCTGTACAAGATACATGAATGTATTAAATTATCACAGGTATCCACAAACTATGTATGTCTATTATTCATCAATTAAAAAAAATGAAAAAACGGAAAATAAACTAAAGATGTATAAGAACTTTATGGAGAAAAATTCAAATGCTGAAAGACATTAAAGAAAATCTAAATATAGTCATACACTACAAACTGCATATACCATGGTGGTCCCATAAAATTATGATGGAGCTAAAAAATTCCTATCACATAGTGACATCTTACCTATCCCAACATCATAGTACAATTACTTTATTTTTAAAGATAAATTTAGTATAGCCTAAGTGTACAGTGTTTATAAAGTCTACAGTAGTGCACAGTGAGTCCTAGGCCTTCACATTCACTCATCACTCGCTCACTGACTCACCCAGAGCAATTTCCAGTCCTGCAAGTCCCATTCATGGTAAGTACCTTATTATACACATGTACCCTTTTTTTGGCCTTTTATACCATTTTTTACTGTACCTTTTCTATGTTTCTATATGTTTAGACAGACAAATAGTTATCACTGTGTTACAACTGCCCACAAGAATTCAATACAGGCACATGCTGTACAGGTTTGTAGCCTAGGAGCAATTGGCTATACCCATATAGCTAGGTGTAAGTAGGCTATACCATCTAGGTTTGGGTAGGTGTACTCTGTGATGTTCGAACAATAATGAAATCACCTAACAACGCATTTTTCAGAACATATCCCCATTGTAAAGCAACCCATGACTGTCTCTCCTGTGTTCATACAGATAGGAAGGCTCAATATTGTTGGAATGTCAGCTCTGTCCAAATTCACCGCAGTTCTAATAAAAAATCTCAATAGGTGTATGTGTGTGTCGCAAATGCACAACTTGGCTAGTTGATTCTTATAAGTTATGTGGACAAGCAAAGAGCTGGAAACAGTCAATACCTCAGAAGAAAAAGAACACAGAAGGGAGGCTCACCCTATCTGCTCCCAAAGTTTAATACTTGGCTGGAATAATTGAGATAGTTGATAATGGCAGGGAAGACAAACAGTACAGAACAGAGCTCAGAAGCAGACTCATGCATACCCGGGACCTTGATAATTGACAGATGGTACTGTGTATTGGTAGGAGAAAGGGCAGACTATTCTATAACAGTATTGAGGCAACTGGTTATCCATGTGGAAAAAATTAATTTGAATCTGTACTCAAATCATACACAAAAATCAATTGCAAATGCCTTGAAGATTTAAATGTGATAGGAAAAACTTTTAAGAATTTAGAAGAAATTATAGGAGAATGTCTTTATAACTATTCTTAAGAAAGGTTTCTTAGCAAAAAAACCACAAAAGGTGAAAGAAAAAATGATAAATTCAATTACATTAAATTAAGAAGCACTGTTCATAAAAACAACCTAAAAGTGAAATAAGCCACAAATTGGAAGATGATAGTTACAGCAATGTAAATGCAAAAGATTAGTATCCAGAATATATAGCATTCCTATTGAAAGAAAAATAGAAACCTCCCACTTGAAAAACAATGGGCCTCTCTCCCTCTCCCTCTCCCTCTCCCCACGGTCTCCCTCTCCCTCTCCCCATGGTCTCCCTCTCCCTCTCTTTCCACGGTCTCCCTCTCCCTCTCTTTCCACGGTCTCCCTCTGATGCTGAGCCGAAGCTGGACTGTACTGCTGCCATCTCGGCTCACTGCAACCTCCCTGCCTGATTCTCCTGCCTCAGCCTGCCCAGTGCCTGCCATTGCAGGCGCGCGCCACCACGCCTGACTGGTTTTCGGATTTTTTGGTGGAGACGGGGTTTCGCTGTGTTGGCCGGGCTGGTCTCCAGCTCCTAGCTGCGAGTGATCTGCCAGCCTTGGCCTCCCGAGGTGCCGGGATTGCAGACGGAGTCTGGTTCACTCAGTGCTCAATGGTGCCCAGGCTGGAGTGCAGTGGCGTGATCTCGGCTCGCTACAACCTCCACCTCCCAGCCGCCTGCCTTGGCCTCCCAAAGTGCCGAGATTGCAGCCTCTGCCCGGCTGCCACCCCATCTGGGAAGTGAGGAGCGTCTCTGCCTGGCTGCCCATCATCTGGGATGTGAGGAGCCCCTCTGCCTGGCTGCCCAGTCTGGAAAGTGAGGAGCGTCTCTGCCCGGCCGCCATCCCATCTAGGAAGTGAGGAGCGCCTCTTCCCGGCCGCCATCCCATCTAGGAAGTGAGGAGCGTCTCTGCCCGGCCGCCCATCGTCTGAGATGTGGGGAGCACCTCTGCCCCGCTGCCCCGTCTGAGAAGTGAGGAGACCCTCCGCCCGGCAGCCACCCCGTCTGGGAAGTGAGGAGCGTCTCCACCAAGCCAGCCGCCCCGTCCGGGAGGGAGGTGGGGGTCAGCCCCCGCCTGGCCAGCCGCCCCGTCCGGGAGGGAGGTGGGGGGTCGCCCCCGCCCGGCCAGCCGCCCTGTCTGGGAGGTGAGGAGTGCCTCTGCCCGGCTGCCCCTACTGGGAAGTGAGGAGCCCCTCTGCCCAGCCACCACCCCGTCTGGGAGGTGTACCCAACAGCTCATTGAGAGCAGGCCATGATGACAATGGCAGTTTTGTGGAATAGAAAAGGGGGAAAGGTGGGGAAAAGATTGAGAAATCGGATGGTTGCTGTGTCTGTGTGGAGAGAGGTAGACATGGGAGACTTTTCATTTTGTTCTGTACTGGGAAAGGTTCTTCTGCCTTGGGATCCTGTTGATCTATGACCTTACCCCCAACCCTGTGCTCTCTGAAGCATGTGCTGTGTCCACTCAGGGTTAAATGGATTAAGGGCGGTACAAGATGTGCTTTGTTAAACAGATGCTTGAAGGCAACATGCTCGTTGGGAGTCGTCACCACTCCCTAATCTCAAGTACCCAGGGACACAAACACTGCGGAAGGCCGCAGGGTCCTCTGCCTGGGAAAACCAGGGACCTTTGTTCACTTGTTTATCTGCTGACCTTCCCTCCACTATTGTCCTATGACCCTGCCAAATCCCCCTCTGCGAGAAACACCCAAGAATGATCAATAAAAAAAAAAAAAATAAAAAAAAAAGAAAAGCAATGGGCAAAAGATATTCACAAGCATTACATGGAGAAAAAAATATGAATGGACAAAGAGAAGAAGCATATACTCATTGGTAATCGAATTGAAACCGCAACAATTTGGCAATGATTCAACTGTTGGCAAGGATGTGCTTAGCTGAGCTCTCTCTTACACTAATGAACAAGTTTAAATGGGTAAAATCACTTTGGAAATCCATTTTGCATTGTCTAATAAGCATAAATGTTTTTTACTCCTAGGTATAATTCCCTAGAGACTTTTGTACATGTGCCAAAGAATCATACAAAAATATTGATAACATTTTTTATAACAGCAGGAAACCACAAATACCAACTGCTCCACTGACAGAAGAACAGATAAATAAATTTTGGCACACTTATACACTGAAATTCTAAACAGCAGTAAAAATGAATAAACTACAGTGATAGTCATTAACATGGATTACTCTCACGAATATAATACATTTTTTAAAAAATTGAAAAAGTGCAAAGAGCATGACTCCATTTGTACAAAACTCAAAACAATGCAACATTAAACAATATATTGTTTAATATACCAGAAACAGCTGTTTCTGGTATAAGGTAATATATGTATGTGTGTATTTATTTTGCTTTCATTATGATTTTTATTTGACACATAATTATACATTTTATGGGGTACTGTGTGATATTTCAATACATGTATACAATGTGTAATGATCAAATCAGGGTAATTAGCATATCCATCACCTCAATACTTTATCATTTCTTTGTGTTGGGAGCTTTCAAAATCTGCTCTTCGACCAGGTGTAGTGGCTCATGCCTGTAATCCCAGCACTTTGAGAGGTCAAGGCAGGTGGATCACCTGGGGTCAGGAGTTTGAGACCAGCCTGACTAACATGATGAAACCCCATCTCTACTAAATACAAAAAATTAGCCAGGTGTGATGGCTCATGCCTGTAATCCCAGCTACTTGGGAGGCTGAGGCAGGAGAATCGCTTGAACTGGGGAGGCGGAGGTTGTGGTGAGCCAAGATTGCACCATTGCTCTCCAGCCTGGGCAATGAGAGCGAAACTGCATCTCAAAAACAAAACAAAAAACAAACAAACAAAAAAACAAAAAACAACTGCTCTTCTAGCTATTTGAAAGTATACAATAAATGTTGTTAGTTATAGTCACGGTATAGTCCTGTAGAGCACTTGAACTTGCTCTTCCTATCTAGTTGTAATTTTGTATACCTTAACCAACTTCTGGTTATCACCTCCCACCCCCGCATCCTTCCTACCCTCTAGTAACCACTATTCTACTTTTTACTTCTACGAAATCAGTCTTTTCTTTTTGGTAATATATGTGTTTTTTTAAACCCTCACATTCTGCAAAACTAAGGATTAAAAGTAACAGATTATGGACTATTTTTACACAGAAAAAAGAGAAATAAACCTCTATAATTTTGTAACCAGAATTTAATAAAACAATAAAAATCCTAATAAAACACTGGGAAAATTATAAGGCAAATTACATTCTTAATCAATAAATACTACTTTCTCCATTTACATTAAATAAACACCACTGCAAATACAATAATTCAGCATATAGAAAAAAGGAAGATAATTTCTTAGGAGAAGGTTTAAGGAAGGGTTGAAGAAGCTACCTTAGGATAAAATGCCCAAAGATCAGGAAGAACTATATAATAAGCACTTCTCAGATTGAATAGAAGGCCAAAGCGAGCCAAGAGGAAGAACTTGCAGTGGATGAGTTCCATGTACAGAAATTCACAGCTTGCTGTATTCAGCTGTGTTAGTGTACCCTGCAGGCAGCTGCAGTTCCTTGGTGGTACAGATCATTTATGTATGGGGAAAGATGTATAAGCAATGTGACTTCCATGTATATTGACGCAATTCCCTTATTTACTTATTGTTTATGAACTAATGTGCATTACAGTAACACAAGTAGTAGCATAATGAACTGAATATGTAAATATCATAAATCTATAAAAAGAGGGAATTTGAAATTCAAATTTGGGAATGATTACTTCTCTGGAGGAAAGAGCAGGAAAGATTTGATTAGGAATACAAAGAAGTTTCAAAGAATTAATTTTCTTAAGCTGAATTTGGGAATACAGGTGTCCATTTTATAATTATTCTTTATCCCCCATATATATATATATCCTCTCATATATATGTATATATAAAACATATTATCTCTAGTATGAATGACAATTTTATAATAAAAAGAAAAATTTTTTGAGTAATTTCATAGTAAAATGTTAGGAAGATATAAAATGAACAATCAAAAAATGAAGTTAGCTATGTAATTCACTAAGAAACTAGTAGTTGTTTTATTTGCCTAAAAAACAACATTTCCTAACTGTAAAATACACGAATGATGTAGAAAAGTAGGAAGAAGAAACAAAAAGAAACAAAAAATAAAAAATCCCTCAAAAAGCCCATCACCAAGAGACCTTATTTCAGTGATTATATATACACATACATATACAATTTTTACAGAAATGGGATCATATTATACATTCTGGTCTGCAACTTTTATTCAAAATATATATTTGTTATCATAAATACATACATATTATCACAAAAACATAATATTTAATGACTCCTAGTAATTCACAGTATGCATGAGTCAAAATTCACATAGCCAATTGTGTACTGGTGGGCATTTAAGATATTTCTTAAGTTTTTACTACTACAAATAACATTTCAATTACTTACTTTCAAGTACTTATTTAACATTTGTCTGATCATCTCCTCAGCATTTATTCTGAGAGGTGGAAATTCTGTGTCATAAATCCTTTTCTCTGAGTTGGCTACAGATAATTTGCTCTTTATGGAGACGACTTGCTTTTCATCTAAACTTTTTTAATAGAAGGAATGCTAATTGATGTTGTTTCAGTATTTTATCTCCTGAGGTTAATTATTCCTTCTATAATCAATTATGACCTAAAGAAAAAAGCATCAGTCAGAAAGCTCTGCAGAGCTCTGAGAAGTCAGAGTGGTGAGACATTTTTTAAAAGATCTGAAAAAATGCTTCAGGGAAGGCCCAAATCAAAGGCTTAAATGATTAGACTCAGGACTAGCAGTTGAAACAGTCAATGAAGAATAAAAATAGATGAGAGACTGATAGGTGGACTTTATAGGCGAGGAATGAAAGGGGGTCAATGAAGGAAGCCAAAGCTGGCAGGCAGATGATCAAAGTGATGACAGCAGAAAGAAAAGCTGAAGAAGGAATGGGGCACTCTGCAAGGACATCTTGAAGCCTGAAAGAAGGGGAGGCGATGTGATGAGTTTAGGAGATCAATATGAATCAACAGCACAAGGCAGTTGGGAAGTGGCCTAGTCCTGACACTGGATCAAACAAAACACCCTGAGTCAAAAGAGAAGAAAAACAAATGAAAACCCAAATTAAGAAAAAAAGAGTTATTAAAGAAACTGAGGAGACAGAATGTTGTGTCTACAGAAATGCTTATTTGGTTATGGGGGAAATTATAAATATAAAATGGGAACACTGATAAATACGAACATCGGTCAAAGGTCTTGTAATTTTTAAAAAAGTACAGGATTTCCTTCACAATGTGAGTGAGGGTAAAGAAAGATAGCTACTAAACTCTAGAGGAAAAAATAAGGGCTGCTGGAGTTCACAAAACTAGTAGAGGGAGGTGGAAAGGACATTTAGTTAGTTAGCTTGCTTTGCTCAAACAAGTTATGAATTTCCCACTGGAGCCACACAAGGACACACAGCACCAGACAAAAGTTCAGTTTTGTGCCAATATTTCCAGGCCAAATGATTAGCTCCCAAGCTCAGCCCACCAGGTTGGTGGGCAAAAAAATGACCAAGGAGTTAGCATAAAAACACCAACAGAGGAAATGCCCAAGATGGAAGTCCAAAGAGATGTTGGTCAAAGGGTACACACTTTCAGCTCTAAGATGAATAAATTCTGGTGCTCTAATGTACAGCATCTTGGTTGTAGTTAATAATACTGTATTGTACACTTGAAATTGGCAAAGATAATAGATCTTTAATGTTGTGACCACACATACAAAAAAAAGGTAACTGAGGTGAGGTGATGGATATGTTAACTAGCTTGATTATAGTAATCATTTCACAATATTTACATATGTCAAATCATCACATTATACATCTTAAACATATATAATTTTATTTGTGAATTATACCTCAGTAAAACTGGGGGTAGCAAAGGGGACAACATGCAGACAATTTTCCTATTAAAAAAATAACCACCATCCTGGGCAACATGGTGAAACCCCATCTCTACAAAAAATACAAACAATTGCTGGGCATGGTGGGGCACGCCTGTAGTCCCAGCTACTTGGGAGGCTGAGGTGGGAGGATCACTTGAGCCTGGGGAGGTCAAGGCTGCAGTGAGCTGTGATTTCACCACCGCACTCCAGCCTGGGTGACAGAGCGAGACCTTGCCTCAAAAACAAAACAAAACAAAACAAACAAACAAACAAAAAACCCCAAAAACCAAAACCAAAAAGTTAAAAAAAAGTAAATGTCAACTAAAAATTATTACATAGTAAAAAAGATAAAAGAATAAAAATTAGTCTTAATTCCAGCACCTTACTTCATCTCACAGCTTTTCACATTTTTAGATATATGTTACATATTCATGTCCTAGTTTGATATCATTTCTCTTTCAGTTTATTTTGTAGTATCTATTTTTTAAAAATTGATTGAATCTGAAATCCTATGGTATGTTATTTACCATACCATATGTTGTATATGTTATTTACCATACTATATATTTATGTTATTTATCATACCATACCATGTGTTTATATCATGAACACATTTCTATGTCACTACATAGTCTTTTTCCACATTATTTATAATTACTACTTGGTATTTCATTGATTATGTATCATGCTTTATTTAGCCAATTCTCTTTTATTGGGCATAGAACCTGTTTCAAATTTTTCATATTATGAATATGGCCATCCTGAATTTCCTTAGGGTAAAATCTTTGAACATATCAACGATTATTTCCTTAGCATAAACTCAGGCATGGGAATTGTTAGATTAAAGGATAAGAATATTTTAAAAAGCTTTTTATATGTATTGCTAAATTGCCCTCCAGAAAGGGTGTATTCATTTATACTCTCGCAGTAGGGTATGAAAGAGCTATTGAAAAACTCATTACATTTTTAAAAGATGAGTTAAAAGATTCCATAAACTACATTTTTGACTATGGGCTTTGGAATGATATGAACTGATTTTGAATCTAGGTTGTTCCACTTACTGGCCATGAGACCTCATACAAATCACTTAACCTGACTAAAGTTCAGTTTCCCCATGTGTACTGGGATAATAACTACCTAAAATTTTTGATAGGATTAAACGAAGCAATGTATAAAATCTTTAGCATAATGCCTAACGCATTGTCAACACTAAATAAACAGTAAATGATATTCCTCGGGATAATTTTTTCCCCTAGTGTTCCACTATGAAAACTACCAAGAATAGCGCATGGAATGAGGCACCAAAGAGAAGAAATTCAGATTACAGAACACACCAAAGGAAACCATCAAGAACACCACAAAGCTGGTTCATAAATATGGGTCAGAAAAAACCCGTTTGAACAAGAAAATTAATTCAATCTGAAATTTTGCAGTAGTGGTGGTGTCAGTGTAGCAGTGTAGCTACATGAACCTGTAACACAAACACAACCAGCACTTTTGAACTAAATGGATGGGGAGGAAATGAAAGCACCATAGGAAATCTCACCCTTTTGCTGGGAGGCCCAGCTGCTCTGTAGCCCTGTTACAAGGAAATGACA
Organism: Homo sapiens; assembly: GCF_000001405.40. Taxonomy (NCBI): domain Eukaryota; kingdom Metazoa; phylum Chordata; class Mammalia; order Primates; family Hominidae; genus Homo; species Homo sapiens. Next base: position 122,195,195 of record NC_000003.12, on the reverse strand, counting down.
AGTTGTGGGAAAATTACAAAAGGAGGATTACAAGCTCTGGGATGTGTAAGTTGAGTGTTGAGTGCTGTCATAGTGGGTTGATAACACTGCCCAACTAATAATAGGAGTAATAACCTCAGAAAGATGGAGAAGGGAGGGATGGAGGGAAGTGAAGAAAGAGAGGGAGGAGGAAAAAGGAGGAGGAGGAGCAGGAAGTAGGAGGAGGAGGAGGAAAAAGTAAGAAGAAGAAAGGAGGAGGAAGAGGAAGGGAGGTGGCAGGGAAGAATATAACTAAAGTGTACGGACCAAATGAATGTGTTGGCCATGCTGCTCCCAACAGATCTCACTGCAGAAAGTAGCTCCATAGATGTATAAGCTGGGAATGGGCAGGCAAGGACTCTTGGCATATACTTGGGTGATAACGTGGATGTTGGGTGAAACTGGGAAGTACGATAATGAAAATGGAATTTGAATAAACATGGAAAGAAGGGAGTTCTGGAAACCCTCAAGAGGGCCAAGGGTTATAAGACATGGCTAGTACCTCTCTGCCAAGTAGAGGAAAAGTTCCTTCTCATAACATTGATGAGAAAAGCTCCTTCTCATAAAAAGACTTCCTTCTCATGACATTGTGGAACCACAAGGCAAACACTAACAAACCACACAGGGAAGGAGATTAGGAAGGGTGAAACCTGGCCTATTTTTTTTGCCTTCTTGTTGGTGTGGCTTGATTTCACCAAGATAGGAAGGGACAAGTGGTGGGTAGGGGGACAGGAAGGAAGAAGAGTAGAAAGTGCGGGGGTGAAGGAGGCAATCAGTCCTCACCATGGCTGTTCCAAGGGGGACCCAGAGATGCATGAGATCGGCCCTGTTTTCAAGGAGCTCTAAATCCAGTTAGGAAGACAAAAATCCCTTGGTGAAAAAAACCAAATGCATATATGATAAAAGGCCAACTAGGAACAACAGATGCAGCTGAGTGTGGGCTGTGCGAGTATATTTGGGGACACTTCATGTTATAGAAGGCCTAGATTGGTACCTGAATAGGTGATAAGGAGATAGGGGGTTCCAAGCTGGGGACTCTGCAGGAATTAAGTAGTGGAGGCAGGAATGAGAAGGCGTGTAGACTGGAGAGCACGGGATGTGTACCACCATGTGAAATGGGCAGGACAGTAAAATGAAAACAGCTTAGGCTTTGGGGCCAAGATGACTAGTTTCCACCACCTACAAACCCTCAGGCCTAGGACCTCAGTCTTCTCATCACTTAAATGAGGGTTATTGGGAGGGTTTTTATCCCTTCCAGGATAAAAAGGATAAAGTATAAAAACCCTTCCAATAACCCTCCTTTCGGGGTTGTCAGAAGGATAAAAAAAAGTAAAGTAACTGTAGTAACTGTGTTACTTTACTGTGACTAGATTTGGCAGATATAATCAATGTTAATCCCTTTCCATAGTTTTACCTTTCTTGCAGAATCTCCAAGATTCTCTTTATGAATTAATAACAATCTTACACATTTGAAAAGACTAATTTTGAAGTCAAAGCTAACTAGAGAGCAGGTATATGTATTTTGAACTAATCTCTTGGCCAAGAAACTTTCCATTTTTAACTGTGTTACTGGCACATGGTAGGTACTCAGAAACTGATAAATAATTTTATTACATTACTATTTCTAGGAATAAAAGCACCCCATAGAAATGAGAGGATAGGGCCGGGTATGGTGGCTCATGCCTGTAATCCCAGCACTTTGGGAGGCTAAGACAGATGGATCACTTGAGGTCAGGAGTTTGAGACCAGCCTGGCCAACATGGTGAAATCCTGTCTCTATCAAAAATACAAAAATCAGCTGGGCATGGTGGTGCATGCCTGTAATCTCAGCTACTTGGGAGGCTGAGGCAGGAGAATTGCTTGAACCCAGGAGGTGGAGGTTGCAGTGAGCTGAGATCGCCCCACTGCACTATAGACTGGGTGACAGAGTGAGTGAGACTCAAAAAACAAACAAACAAACAAACAAACAAACACAAACAAAAAAAAAACCAGAAATGAAAGAATAGGAGAATGATAATATGAAAAAAAAAGGTCGAAGATTTTCAGAAATGAAAAGGTTCAAATAAAAAGATACAATGTGAGGGGTGATGAAAATTAAAGAAGGAGTGGATTAGAGTGAGGCTACCTGCTCCCCTCTCCAAAAGTTAAAAACTTTCCAAACTTCAAGTTGTAACTTTAAATTTTAACTTGACTGAGCATATTTATAGTAAGAAGTTCACTTCTTCAGAAAGCTAAATAAGCTATGTGTGTTCATTTTTGCTGGTGGACAGGAGTTCCATGAAATCTGTATAAGCTGGAGAGGCAGCTGGATCGTGAGAAGAGCAGAGAAAAGAGGTGATCCATGGATCAGCCTTACCATCATCGCCTGGGAGCTCGCAGGAACTATATACATTTGGCCCCCACTCCAGACCCGCTTAATCAGATTTTCTAGGGGATAGACATTGGTAATCTATGCATTAAGAATATTCCCCACCTTAAAGTTTGAGAGCCCTGGGATGGAAGATTTGGGAAAGTTTCTTGGCCAAGAGATTAGTTCAAAATACATATACCTGCTCTCTAGTTAGCTTTGACTTCAAAATTAGTCTTTTTCAAATGTGTAAGATTGTTATTAATTCATAAAGAGAATCTTGGAGATTCTGCAAGAAAGGTAAAACTGTGGAAAGGGATTAACATTGATTATATCTGCCAAATACAGTCACAGTAAATGGAATAAAGTAGATCTGTGTCAGTTCACTGATGTTTTGTTGCTATTTAAGTTACATAAAACCTTTAGTTGTTTAGAGCTTTGAAGATTTTGGAAGTGTAGACCTGTATGAACCCATTTAAGCCACATAACAGCCCTATATGTTAGATACTCTTATCGTCCCCTTTGTACAGATGAAAAAAGTAGAGCCTGGAGAGGTTCCAAAGTTACAGGGCAGAGTTACATGACAGTTACATGACAGAGCCAGAATTTGAATCCAGGTGGTAAGACTCAAAATCATGCTTTTAGCTGCTAGCCTATGCTGCTTCCTATCCACCACACTGTATTTAACCATTCCCTTATTATTGGATTCATAGGCTTTTTCTTGTGTTTCAGTTTCAAATTCTCACTGTGAAGAACATCATTGGGCATAAGTCTTTAACCATATTTCTGATAATTTCTTAATGATACAATCCCCAAAATGAAATTCTTTGGTCAAAGGCTGTGAACAGTTTTAAGGCAATTGTTTTCCAGGTAATTTGTTATGACAGTTTCCATTGTGCCCCACTCCACTAGCATTATCTTCAACATCTTAATGTTCCTGATAAGGAAATTGGTATATCATTGTAAAAATGTTTCCCTTATTGAAGAAAAGTTAAAATATTTGTATGTTTCACCACCCATGTGATTGTCTTCATTTGAAAACCATTACAACCTTTGGCTACTTTTTTGAAACCATGGTCTTAATGTTCTTCCTATTAAATTCTATGAGTTCTTTATATTCACAAATTTGAACCTTTTGGCTTATTTGTTGCAAATTTTTTTGAGTTTATTTTCATTTTAATTTAATTATAACCTTTTATATACAAGTATTTTAAACGTTGGCCAGGCATGGTGGCTTATGCCTGTAATCCCAGCACTTTGGGAGGCTGAGGTGGGTGGATCACCTGAGGTCAGGAGTTCATGACCAGCCTGGGCAACATGGTAAAACTCCGTCTCTACTAAAAACACAAAAATTAGCCAGGCATGGTGGTGGGCGCCTGTAATCCCAGCTACTTGGGAGGCTGAGGCAGGAGAATTGCTTGAACCCGGAAGGCAGAAGTTGCAGTGAGCCAAGATCGCACCGTTGCACTCCAGCCTGGGTGGCAGAGTGAGGCTCCATCTCAAAAAAACAAAATGAAACAAAAAACAAAAAAACCCAAGTATTTTAAATGTTTATGTAATGAAATCTATCAATATTTTCCTTCATGATTCTCTGCTACTTTTATACTTAGAAAGAACTTCCTCATTCTTACAAAATATCCACTGCTCCCCTCTCCAAAACATAAAAACATTCCAAACTTCAAGTTGCAACTTTAAGTTTTAACTTGACTGAGTGTATTTACAGTAAGAAACTCATTTCTTCAGAAAGCTAAATAAGCTATGTGTGTTCATTTTTGCTGGTGGACATCCTTTGAGTTCTGTGAAATCTGTATAAGGTGGAGAGGCAGCTGAATCTTGAGAAGAGCAGAGAGCTAGGAGTAAGTAGAATCAGCAACGTTAACCAGATCTTTTACTTATAGTTGCACTTTCTTTGGCAAGCCAACCTTTCAGTACCCTGGTTTCCTAATTTGTAAAATGGAGATAATACCTTCCCTGCTCAGCCGCCTTATTTATCTCCTGACATGTTCTGGGAATCAAATGAATTAATATTAAGAGGGTGCTTTGTCAATTGCTGACTGTTATACCAGTCTATATACTGAGATTTGTTCATTCACTAAGTCACTCATTCATTTGTTCATTCATTCATTCATTCATTGATTCATTCAGCTCCTCCAGTGTACCAGGCACTATGATGGATTCTGGAGTTTCAGTGTTGAATAAGACACGCTGTCTATGCTTGATGAGCTTTAACAACGTGTATTAGCTCATATAAGTCTTTTAACAACCAAAGAGGTAAGTAGTGTTAATTAACTGCAGTTTACAGATAAGGAAAATGGGGCATAGAGAGGTTGGACAACCTGCCCAAGGTCACGAAGCTAGTGAGCTGTCAAACTGAGATACAAGCTCGGGTAGTCTAATTCCTGGCCCTA